>NC_000019.10:39968146-40271177 GCF_000001405.40 Homo sapiens | reverse complement strand
GGCAGACACAGGGTTTCACCATGTTGCTCAGGCTGGTCTCAAACTCCTGGGTTCAGAGGATCCTCTTGCCTTGGCTTCCCAAAGTGCTGAGATTACAGGTGTGAGCCACCGTGCCCGGCCAGCTTTTTTTGTTTGTTTGTTTGTTTGTTTGTTTGTCTGTTTTTTGAGACACAGTTTTGCTCTGTCTCCCAGGCTGGAGTGTGGTGGTGTAGTCATAGCTCACTGCAGCCTCAACCTCCTGGGCTCAAGCAATCCTCCTGGCTCAGCCTCCCAAGTAGCTGGGACTACAGGTGTGCACCACCACACCTGGCTAATTTTTATATTTTTTGTAGAGATAAGGTCTTGCTATGTTACCAAGGCTGGTCTTGAACTCCTGGTCTTAAGAGATCCTCTTGCCTCAGCCTTCCAAAGTGCTGGGATTACACGCGTGAGCCACCACGTCCAGCTTCCTGTTGTCTTTGAATTTATCTCCTGAGCAAGTCTTCCTCCGGGCGCTGTGGAAAGGCACAGATCTGAGTGCAGGCGACAGAGGCTCCTGAGGGGGTCGCTGCCACCTCCCCAATGAGCCTCCGCAGCACCAGGAAGGAGCCCCACCCACCAGCTCCAGCTCCAAGAGACGCAGATCTCTGCTTCCCCACCTGCCTCCCTAGCCCATCTGTGCTGTCTGGCATCAAAATCAGGTCAGTGAGAGGGGGCGAGAGAAAAAGGACTTAGTAAGTGGCAAGGAAAGGAATTGAGCTTATTTTGAGCCTGTTCTGGGCACAGGGCTTCACTCTGTACATGTTCATTCCACAGATACTTATTAAGTACCCACTCCACTCTGTGCCCAACACCCTACAAAGCTCTGGGGATCCAGCTGTGGCTAAGGCAGCCAAGAGTCCTGCCTTTGTCGTGCTGACATTCCAGTGTGGGTGGTGGGCTGTCAGCGTAAGCAAACACATACAGTAACATCGGTGGTGATGGGTGCTTAGGGGAAAATGAAGGGTAAGGGTAAGGGGAGGTAGGGTGGGCATGCTTTGCCTAGGGAGGTTAGGAAGGCTTCTCAAGAAAGGGACGTGAGCAGAGGCTGAAGAGAGTGGAGAGGGGCCTGAGTTTCCACCTGAGGGTGCAGTGCCTGCAAGGCCCTGAGGTGGGGCGTCCCCATGTATCCTGGCAGCTGAGGGAGCCAGGCACTGCTGAAGTGAAGTGCCCTCAGAGAAGCAAAGGGGGATGTTGCAGGCCGCGTAGGGTCCTGGGGCTGCTTTGGGGATTTTGGCTTTTATGTTGCATGGGAGGGTTCGAGCGGAGAAGGGGTGGGAGCTGACTCAGGTGGTCACGGGGCTCCAGGCTGCAGGAGGGGCGTGGGCAGAGTGCTGACTTCTTTCACTCTATAACATTCTCTCACTCCTTCCCTGCTGTATTCAGCAGCAGTTTAGTCCTTTTCGTTGCTGAGTAGTGTTCTACTGTGGATCTACGTGTTTGTTTATTCATTCTCTTGTGGGTAGACTCCTGGTCTGTTACCAGTTTGGGGTTACTGTGAATATTGCTGCTGTCAACATTGTAGTACAAGTCTTTTGTACATACACTAATTTCCTTGAGACGAATTGCTAGGTCGTGGGATAGGCATATATTGAGCTTTGATTTTGACTGCTTAACAGTTTTCCACAGTAGTTGAACCATTTTGCACCTCCCACCAATAATGAGTAAGGGTTCTGGTTCCTCTACATCCGAGCCAGCAGTTGGCCTTGTCAGTTTTTAAAATTCGAGCCATCCCAGGTAGGTGGTTATGATTTGCATTTGCCTGTAACTAATGAGATTATGTATGTTTCTTGGTTGTGTGGGTGTCCTCTCCTGTGAGGTGCTCTTGCTCTTTTTACCTTGTCTTGAGTCAACAGCTGCAGCTCTGGCCCAGGCACTCAGAAGACTCATGCCCAGGAACCTTAGGAAGTAATGAGTGTGGTGGGGCCGTGCAGGGACTCCCCTCCGCAGGGCGTGCTATGGGGGTTCCATAGGCGAGTCTCTGTCCCCCTGCCTGAGTGTCCTCCATTGGCAGCCCCCCGAGTGATCAGGCCATCTTTTTTTTTTGAGATGTAGTTTCGCTCTTGTTGCCCAGGCTGGAGTGCAATGGCGCGATCTTGGCTCTCCACAACCTCCACCTCCCGGGTTCAAGCGATTCTCCTGCCTCAGCCTCCCAAGTAGCATGTGCCACCACGCCCAGCTAATTTTCTGTTTTCAGTGGAGACAAGATTTCTCCATATTGGTCAGGCTGGTCTCGAACTCCCGACCTCAGGTGATCCGCCCACCTCAGCCTCCCAAAGTGCTGGGATTACAGGCGTGAGCCACCGTGCCCGGCCTAAGCCAGCCATCTTCTTGGCTGCAGTGGCTGGTATTTCATCACCACAGGACTGCGTCACGGACACCTCAGCTGAGGCACCACCCTCAGTGGGAGGACAGGGCAGGATCCAGGCGGGACGCAGGGGATCTTCCAACTCCTCCCCCTGCTCTCCCTCCAGCTGTGCTGACTCCTTAGTTGCTGAGATGAGCTTGTAAAAAGCAGCTCTGTTGATCCCAGCAGCGGCCAGGGCCTCCGCTGCTTCTCGGCTGGGAGACCCGAGGTAAACAGCTTCCCTTCTCTCAGCTTCTGTCCTCATCTGGGCATGGTCACTGACTGTCTGGTGGGGTGTTGGGAGCATTCAGGAGAGACTCCATGGGAGCGCCGGCACCCTGCCCAAGGCCACCCAGCTGGCGGTGGCTCTTGGACTCTGGAACCCAGACCACTCTTGGCCATACCTGGCTGCCTTTGCTTCTCTCTGGAATAATGGCAGCCATGTGTTTGGCTGTTCACTGGGCGCCAGGCAGTAGGCCGAGCCCTGGGCCCACAGTGGGTACTTTAGTGCTGCTGCATTACAAGGGCCCTGAGAGGCGATGTCCCTGGGCCGCTGTGGGCCAGCGAGAGGGGAGATGAGACATGGAGCCCCTGTTCTATTCCCTCCACATCAGCCCCTCCTTTGGACTCTGAGTTCTCCCTCCCAGCCATTTGGGAAGTATTTTGAACTGAGCTTGCATCAGGGAAGGTGTGGTGTAGGTCCGTGTAGGGGACGGGCTTCTCTCAGTCCCAGCCATAGCCCAGAAGGCCCTTGGTGTTCTCCCCTGTCCACCTCTCTCGTGTTTCTCCTCACCAGGCCCCCTCCTGCCTCAGGTCCTTGCATTTTCTGTTCCCCTGCTGAAATACATTTCCTCATGTGTTACACAGCTCACTCCCTCAGTTAACTCGGGTGTCTGCTCGCAAGTCCCGCACACCAAGCTAACATCCTGTTCTTCCACTCTCCAGCCTCCCCACCACCTGATTATTTGCATATTCGTGTATTTTTCTGCCCCTCACACCAGACTGTGAGCCTCATGAAGGCAGGGCTGTGTCTTAGTGACATTCTGTTGCTGGTACCATCCGGGGTCTAGGATGCACCCCAAAAAAGATTGGTGTCATGAAGAGAGTCTGGTAGTGTGTCCCTGGCTGTGTGTGGTCCTGGGGTGGGGGTCAGTTGGGGACACTTGGCCTCTTTCTTCATGTGCTCATTAGATAAGACGCTTTGCTGGTCTACTGCATTAGCGTTAATAGGTGTTGGGAGGGTTGCTCCGAGGGTGCACAAAGAGCACACAGTGCAGCCTCTGAGGTGGGGAAGGCTTCCTGGAGGAGGCACTGGTTTAGCTGAGACCTCAAGGAAGAGAGAGAAGAACGCCCAGAAGGAGGTGCTGTCCCTGATGGAGGCCAGAGGGAAGGGCTTGAGTGACAGAAGCATAACATGGAGAGTCAGGTAGGGCGGAGAGGCTGGAGAGGTGCAATAGTCAACGTCATGGTCCTTAGCCTTTCCCGAGGGCTTTCTAGGTGCACGTCTCAGCTCATGCACCTGGAACGCAGGGCAGCAGAGGCGAGGTCCTGAAGGGCCTTGGATCCTCAGCTGAGGAGTTTGGCTTTTTTGCTGGGAACACCAGGGAGCCACAAAGGTTCTGAGCAGGAGAAAGACAGGTTCAGCGTTGGGGATCCCTCTAGCTGCTGAATGTGGGGTGAGTGGGAGGGAGCAAGAGTGGAGCGTAGGAACTCGGGGAAGAGGTGGGGGCAGATGGGGGCAGACCTGACTAGAGCCAGGCCGCGGGCAGGATGGGGAGAGATGGTCACGTTAGAGGTTGACACACAGAACAGTGGGAGATACAGAAATACATACATATTTATATATTTTTTGAGACAGGGTCTCATTCTGTCACCTAAGCTGGAGTGCAGTGGTGCAATCAAGGCTCACTGCAGCCTGGACCTCCCAGGCTCGAGTGATCCTCCTGTCTCGAATAGCTGACATTACAGGTGCACAGCACCATGCCTGGCTAATTTTTTAATTTTTAATTTTTTTGTAGAAAAAAATTAGGTCGTGAGACAAGTTCTCACTACGTTGCCCAGGCAGGTCTCAAACTCCTAGGCTCAAGGGATTCTCCTGCTTTGACCTCCCAAAGTGTTGGGATTACAGACATGAGCCATTGTGCCCGGCCGAGATGTGGGGATGCTGAGGATTGAGAGTCTGGCAGTCCTGTGTGCTTGGGTTGTGGGGTGCCGGGCATGTTGCTGGCAAGGGGAGCCCCTTATTGCTGCTCCCAGCCTCGCATCATTGCCTTTGCAGCTTGGAGCCCAGAATGTGATTTCTCACCCTCTTGTTTACTTCCCTGTCATGTCCATCTTGTCTTTCCTCCCGCTTCCTACCACTTACCTCCCTTCTTTCTGCCGGGACCTGGGCAGCCTGCCACTGTCACATGCCAGGCAGTAGCGTGTCCGGCCCACCAGCTCCCCTGGGGCACGAGAGAAAGCTGATGCCCATGGTGTCCCTAGAGCCAGCTGCCACTTCTCTGGGCGCCACCGTAGCTCCCGACCTGCTGTCCGCAAATAACCCCAGGCTGGGAAAGGCAAAGGCGCCTTGGTCTCTGTGGACCCTGGCCAGGCCCCAGGCTCCAGGTAGGGGCCCAGCTGGCGCTGCCTCGCGCCCTCCTCCCCTCCGTTCTGGGAACCTGAGACGAAGCAGTGGCCTCGGCGTCCCTCAGTCTGTTGGTTGCTGGTCCCTGAGGACAGAAGTGAAGGTCTTGGGGTAGGGATCAGGGCCTCGGTCAAGCCCCCAGGACTGGCTTCTAGGCCCCAGACCGTGCATACGCAGTAGGTTGCTTTCTTGTTCAAGATCCCGGATTGTCTGAGACCTGTCTTTTCTCTGTCATCTGATGGGGGGAGGGAGGCCGCTGAGGCTCAGGGAATGGCATGGGATGGCATGGGGGGACGGGAGTGTGCTTAGTTTGTTGAAGGTGGCAGGTTGGTGGCTTCCTGGTTTGGAAAGAAGGGAGAGGGGAGAGAGAGAAAAGAGTGTGTGTGTGTAAGATGGTGGAGGGACAGGCAGATGCTGGTGGCTCTGCGCATTCCCTCAGGTACCCTGGGCTGCCTCATTCATACTGGGTTACCTCAGTGTTGGGCCATGGGAATGACACGGGGAGGGCAGGGCACGGCTACCTTGATGCTTGCTCAGTCAGGAGTGACTGTGGGTGGAGGGGCCACCTCCCCCCAGCATGGGTGTCCTGAGTTTGGGGTCTGGCCTGCGCTTAGGCCGGGGAGCTCTGCTTCCCCCAGATTGGGGTCGCTGGGGACATTGCCACATCTCTCTGCTCAGAATGGGTCCTTGAGAGCGGGCTCCACGCCACCCTTGCTGGCCTTACCCTTTGCTGAGTGGGCAGAACAGCCAGAGGGCCTCAGAGCCCGGCGTCCTCAGGGAAGGGGCTGGTGTGGAATCCCCTCCCGCCCTGACCAGCTCCTCTCTTGTCTTGCAGACTGTGCCCTGTCCACGGTGCCTCCTGCATGTCCTGCTGCCCTGAGCTGTCCCGAGCTAGGTGACAGCGTACCACGCTGCCACCATGAATGAGGTGTCTGTCATCAAAGAAGGCTGGCTCCACAAGCGTGGTAAGAGGCCGCTTTTGCCCGCCAGATTCTTTCTCCCACGCTGGCTCCTCCTGGAAAGCTGTGCCCTGAGAGGCAGAGGCGGAGGGTCTTACCAGCCTGAGGAGCCAGCATTCCGCAGCCCCAGGCCCACAGCTGCTTATGCCCCCATTTCGTGGACTCCTTCAGTGGTCATCTGGGCAGGAGAGCAGGGATCTGACTGTGCATGAGTGATCTCATTCATAGCCCCATTTTATAGATGAAGAAACTGAGGCCCAGAGAGGGGAAGTCACGTCACTGAACTAACACAGTGAGGCAGTATTCAGCATTCATTCAGTTAGCAAGTATTCATTGACTGTGTGCTGTGCCGGATAGCCCCGGGCTCCGAGACACAGTGGTCCCCTGATGGAGCTTACATTCCAGTGGGGGTGGGGCAGGCAGTAAATAAGTAGACATGGAATGTCGGGGTGGCAAGTGCTGGGGTGAAAAGTGGGAACTGTGAGTGAGGGACAATGGGCTGGGGGCGGGGGGGCATCAAGAGGCTGCCCGGAGGAGACGGCAGTGGTCAGAGGCCTGGAGCCTGGAGGAGGTGAGACGCTGGCTGGGCAAGGGTGTCCCAGGGAGAGGGACAGCAAGGACAGAGGCTCCCAGGTGGGGATGTGCCTGGTGTTTTCTGGTAACAGCGTGGCTGGAGCAGTGTGAGCTAGGGCGAGCTGGGGGAGGCAAGCAGAGGAGCAACGCGGAGTCCAGCTGTGTCGCGCCTGCAGGTCATGGAAAAGGACCTTGGCTTTGGCACTCCAGACGAGAGCAGCCCTGTGATGTCGTGAGCCGATGCGTGGCCTGATCCATTTGTACTAGTGGGAAGCTGAGGTCCCCTTTTAGTGAAGTTAGGACAGGGAAGAGACCCTTTTTGACCCCAGGGCTGTTTGTCCCAAAGTGGCTGCCACGCAAGACTGGGAGGCAGATGGGGAGAAGCGCCACCTGCTGAGAGATGGCTTTGTCCCAGGCCAGCTTCTGTGGGCCTCCCCCTGGAAAGAAGGTCCCCAGGTGTGGCGGTTGGCTGCCCTGTGTGCACTTGCATTCATTCAGCAAACACGTGCTGAGCAGCGCCTGTGGGCCAGGCGCTGTTCTAGGTCCTGGGGTCCAGCAGTGAGCCCGACAGGCAAACATCCCATCCTCGTGTTAGTATCTTGGGCGCTGACAGGGAGGCAGACAGCTCCCAGGCAGACATGCATGTCTCACGGTGGCGCGAGCCATGGAGAAAAAACAAGCAACGTGAGGATGGGAGGGCATGAGGCAGGCAGGGCGGCCAGAGGGGGCTTCGCTGAGAAGGGGGCATCTGAATAAAGGCCTGAAGGAAATCGGGGATTGAGCCTCACAGTTATGCCAGAGGCGACAGCCAATGAGTCCTGAGGGGGTAAGTGGGCTTGTTCAAAGAGGGGGCAGGAAGCTGGCGCTGCAGGCATCGGGAAGAGCCACGCATCCTGCACTGTACCAGCCTGCAGACGCAGACAGGGAGCAGCGATGAGGGATGGACGCCCCTCCCTGGGAGCAGCCTCCCCACCTGACTGAGCAGAGGAGATTCGTGTCCTGCTGCTCTTTCTGGACAGAGATGGCTTTTAAGGTCCCTTGGCCCAGTCCCCCAGCCTGAGCCTGGAGTCTGGGTTTGTTGATGGAGCTTCCTGAGTCTTGGCAGCTATCAAGGTTCTAACCCTGGTTCTGCTGCTTCCTCTTAGTGCAACTGTGAGCAAGCCATGTCACCTCACTGAGCCTTGGTTTCACATCTATAAAGTGGGTTAACAAGCCAGATCTCTGATGTTGTCAGCTCTACAAGGGTAGGCATTTTCATGAGGCTTCTTCACAGTGGTATCCCCAGCACGTCTAAAAGTGGTGGGCATACAGTAGGCACTCAGTAAATGGTTGTTGAATGAATGGTTGGCGTGGTGTGTGGGTGGTGTGCTGGGGAACACAGGGTCATGGGCTCCTGTCCCGTGGCCTGCACGTGCGGAGGCCATGGCTCATTAGGCTGGACTGTGAGAGCCTTGGGATGGGTGTGGAACTGTTGGAGGGGCAAGAGTTTCTCTCTGGTCTAGGATTACTGATGGCATTAAATGAGTCTTGGCCCCTCTTGGGCCTTCAGTGTCCGCATTCATGTTACAAGGGGCCAGATGACCCAGCCACAGGCCTGCCTCTGTCATCTGGGATGGCCTAGCTCTGACACACCTGTCTCAGGTTTGCACCCTACACACACGCTTGTGCACACCTGCACTCTTGGGCCTTCCCAGTGCCCATCTTTCTGAGTAGCAGCTGGCAGAGGTGGGCAAGGTGAGGTGGGCCCTGCTGACTACTGCTGTTTTGGGACCTGTACCACCCCACCGACCCCCTTGGTGGTTAAAATAATGGCAGTGCTGGTTTACTGAGCACTTACTGTGTGCCAGACACCTGTCTCTGCTCTAGGCAAGCCTGATTTTGTTGAATTTTTATAGATGCCCTGTGGAGCACATGCCACCTTACAGACTGGAAAGCTAAGGTTCAGTAGGAAGAGTGACTTGCTTGAGGTTTCAGCAAGGAGTGGGTAGAGCTGAGGTTGGACTCAGGCCCTCTGACTCCTGAACTAGTGCTCTCAAGGCCTGGCCCACGTGCTGCCTCTCACCCAGCAAGCTGTGCTTAAGGCCAAGGGTGTAGTAATAGCACATCTAATCAGAGTCACTCATGCCATGTGCTGGTCCCACTTCTGACACAGCTGCAGCACACCACCATTAGCAGAGCACCTGCCCTCTGCCACGCCCCATGCTGGGCTCCATCTGCCGGTTTAGAGGCAGACGGTATAGTAGTCAAGATGTGGGCTGTGCTTTCCAATTCTGGCTCTCCCAGGTAACAGCTGGGAAGGTTGGGCAAACTAATAGGACCTCTCTGTGACTCAGTTTCCCCATCCGCAAAATAGGAATACAATTGTGAGGATATTTTTCCTTCTACCTGTTTTTTGTCTTTTTTTTTTTTTCATAGATATATGGTCTTGCTATATTGCCCAGGTGGGTCTTGAACTCCTAGCCTCAAGTGAGTCTCCTGTCTTGGCCTCCCAAAGTGCTGGGATTACAGTTGTGAGCCACTGCGTTCAGCTTTTAGGTTTCTTTTCTTAGCTTGTTACCAAAGTATGAAAGGCCACAGATAAATGCCTGGATAATAAACTCGCCCCAATCCCAGTGTACAGTTCAAGAAATAGAATAAGACGGTCCCCGGAAGCTCTCCCAAGTGCTCCTCCCAAGCAGTTACCGCTCTCCTAACCTCCAGTAACACAGATGAGGTTTTTTTTAGTTTTTATCCTTTAAAAAAAAAAAAACGGGGATGAAATTTACATAACGTGAGATTAACCATTTTGAAGTGTATGATTCATTGGCCTTTAGTATATCACAATGTTGTGTAACCACTACCTCTATCTAGTTTCAAAACCTTTTCATTACCCCAAAATAAAACTTTGTACCCATTAAGCAGTCAGTTTTTGTATCCTATGTCTTAGTTCATTCTGTGCTGCTATAACATATTACCCGAGACTGGGTAATTTATAATGAACAGAAACTTATTTCTTACCGTTCTGGAGGTAGGGAAGTCCGAGATTCAGGGTTGGCATCTTCTTGTCACACGTCCCATGGTGAAAGGGGAAGGGTAAGAGAGAACAAGACAGGGCTGAACTTGTCTTGTTTTTTTTTTTTTTTGAGATGGAGTCTTGCTCTGTCGCCCAGGCTGGAGTGCCGTGGCGCGATCTCGGCTCACTGCAACCTCTGCCTCCTTGGTTCAAGGAATTCTCCTGCTTCAGCCTCCTGAGTAGCTGGGATTACAGGCGTGTGCCACCATGCTTGGCTAATTTTTGTATTATTAGTAGAGATGGGGTTTCACCATGTTGGCCAGGCTGGTCTTGAACTCCTGACCTCAGGTGATCCACCTGCCTTGGCCTCCCAAAGTGCTGGGATTACAGGCGTGAGCCATTGCGCCTGGCCGAACTCGTCCTTTTATAAGGAACCCACTCTGTGATAATGTCATTAATCCATTCATGAGGGTGGTGCTCCCTTCACCCAAATACCTCCCATGAGGCTGCATTGGGGATCAAGTTTCCAACACATGAACTTTGGGGGACAATTCAATTCATAGCACCCCCTGTCTCCTGGTGTCTGCTAACCACCAGTTTACTTTCTGTCTCTATGAATTTACCTACTCTGGACATTTCATGTAAATGGAATCATATGTGGCCTTTTGTGACTGGCTTCTTTAACTTAGCAACATGATTTTTTGTTTTGAGTCAGGGTCTTGGGCTATCGCCCAGGCTGCAGTGCAGTGGTGGGACCTTGGCTCATGGCTCACTGCAGCCTCAACCTCCTGGTCTCAAGTGATCCTCCTGCCTCAGCCTCCAGAGTAGCTGGGACTACAGGCAGGTGCCACCACACTTGGCTAAGCTTAATGTTTTTGAGGTTCCTCTATGTAGTAGCGTATATCAATATGTCGTTCCTTCTTATGGATGAATAATCTCTATGTTGTAGATGTATCACATTTTGTTATCTGTTAATTTGTTGATGGACATTGGGATGATATATTCTTTTTTTTTTTTTTTTTTTTTTTTTTTTTGAGATGGAATCTCACTCTGTCACCAGGCTGGAGTGCAGTGGCGTGATCTCGGCTCACTGCAGCCTCCGCCTCCTGGGTTCAAGTGATTCTCCTGCCTCAGCCTCCTGAGTAGCTGGGACTACAGGTGTGCGCCACCATGCCTGGCTAATTTTTATATTTTTAGTAGAGATGGGGTTTCACCATATTGGCCAGGATGGTCTTTATCTCTTGACCTTGGGATCCGCCCACCTCGGCCTCCCAAAGTGCTGGGATTACAGGCGTGAGCCACCAAGCCCGGCCTCGGGGTGATATATTCTATATTTAACTTTTTGAAGAAGCAGCTGCACCATTTTACATTCCCACCAGCAGTGCATGAGGGTGTCAGTTTATATCCTTGCCAACACTTGTTTTTTTTTCATTACAGCCATCCTTGGGCATGTAAAGTTGTACCTCATTGTGTGTGTGGATTTTTTTGTTTTTGTTTTGTTTTGTTTTTTTGAGACAGAGTCTTGCTCTGTCTCCCATGCTGGAGTGCAGTGGCACGATCTCAGCTCACTGTAACCTCCACCTCCTGGGTTCACATGATTCTCAGGCCTCAGCCTCCCAAGCACTGGGACTATAGGCATGTGCCACCACGCCCGGCTAATTTTTGTATTTTTAGTAGAGATGGGGTTTGATCATGTTGGCCAGGCTGGTTTTGAACTCCTGACCTCAAGTGATCCGCCTGCCTCGACCTCCCAAAGTGCTGGGATTACAGGTGTGAGCTACCGCGCCCGGCCTTCATCGTGATTTTGATTTATGTTTGCCAGATGACTAATGATGCTGAACATCTTTTCATCTTTCTGTTGACCATTTGTGTATCTTTGGAGGAATATCTCTTTGAGTCCTTTGCTCATTTTAAAATCAGGCAGTTTGTCTTTTTGTTGTTGCATTGTAAGAGTTCTTTATGTGTTCTGGTTAATAGACCCTTATTAGATTTCCAAGTATTTCCACCCATTCTGTAGGTTATCTTTTTACTTTCTTGACAGTGTCCTTTCATGCACAAAGGTTTTTAATTTTGATGAGTTCACTTGAAGTTTTTCTTTTTGTTGCTTGTGCATTTGGTGTCATCTAAGAATTCATTGCCAAATTCAAAGTAATGAGATTTACTCATGTATTCTTAGACTTTTTTTGTAGTTTTAGCTCTTATATTCAGGTCAATTCATTTTGAGTTTATTTTTGTATATGGTTTACAGTGTGAAGTAGGATATCACAAAAGAATGTGATATCCATTCTTTTGAATGTGGATATCCAGTTGCCTCAGTTTCTTCATCTGCAAAATAGGGATAAGATTGTGAGGATAGGCTACTCTGGGCACATTGCCTATGGGTCACTGTTCCCTGCTCTGCAAGGAACAGTATTTAAATTAACAAAAAAAATTGTAAGGATATTTTTTCTTCTAGGTTTCTTTTCTTTCGTTTTGAAAAAATATAGTCTCTTTGTTGAAGAAACTGTTCTTTCCCCATTGAATGATCTTGGCATCTGTGTTGAAAATCAGTTGAATGTAGATATTTGGGTTTATTTTTTGGCTCTGAATTCTCTTCCATTGGTCTGTATGTCTGTCCTGTATAAACTGTACTGTTTTGATTACTATAGCTTTGTATAGTAAATTTTGAAATTGGAAAGTATTTAACTTTATTTTTCTTTTTCAATATTATTTTGGCTCTTTGGGGCCCTTTGAAATTCCATGTGAATGTGAGGATTGGCTTTTCTATTTCTGAAAAAAGAAAAAGCCTGTTGGAATTTTGATAGGGATTGCATTGAATCTGTATATTGCTTTGGGTAGTATTGCCATCTTAACAATATTGTCTTCTAATCCATGCACACAGGATGTTTTTGCATTTATGTAGATCTCTAATTTCTTTAAACAATGTTTTGTAGTATACAAGCCCTTCACCCCCTTGGTTAAGTATTTTTTTGGAGGCTTTTGTAAATGCTTTTTTTTTTTTTTTTTAAGAGCTAGGGTCTTGCTCTGTCACTGGGCTGGACTGCAGTGGCACCATCATAGCTTCAATTTCTTGAGCTCAGGTGATTCTGCCATTTCGGCCTCCTGAGTAGCTGGGACTTCAGGCACACGCAACGACTCCTGGCTAATTAAAAAACATTTTTTGTGGAGACCAGATCTCACTATGTTGCCCAGGCTCGTCTCAAACTCCAGACTTAAGCCTGCCTCAGCCTCCCAAAGTGCTAGGATTTTACAGGTGGGAGCCACTGTGCTGGTGTTTAATAGCCATGTTGAGGTAAAACTGATGTACTACATGATTCATCCATTTAAAGCATACAGTTCAGTTGGTTTTAGTATGTTCAGAGTTGTGCATCCATCACCATACTCAGGTTTTTTTTTTTGTTTTTTTTTTTTTTTTTTCGAGACGGAGTTTCGCTCTTGTTGCCCAGGCTGGAGTGCAATGGTGTGATCTCGGCTCACGGCAACCTCTGCCTCCCAGGTTCAAGGAGTCTCCTGCCTCAGCCTCCCAAGTAGTGGGATTATAGGCATGCACCACCATGCCTGGCTAATTTTGTATTTTTAGTAGAGATGGGGTTTCTCCATGTTGGTCAGGCTGGTCTCCAACTCCCGACCTCAGGTGATCCGCTCGCCTCGGCCTCCCAAAGTGCCGGGATTACAGGTGTGCGCCACCGTGCCGGGCCCTACTTTTCATCTCTGTAGATTTGCCTGTTCTGGGCATTTTATATAAATGGAGTCATAATGATACGTGGTCCTTTGTGACTGGCTTCTTTCACTTAGCATAAGTTACGGTCCCTCCACATGGCAGCATGTCTCAGTACTTCGTTTCTTTTTATGACTGAATAGTTTTCCGTTGTATGAATCTGCTACATTTTGTTTATCCATTCGTTGTTGATGGACATTAGGGTCGTTTCCACTCGATGGCTGTTATGAATAATGCTGTTGAGGACATTTGTGTGTAAGTTTTTGTGTGGATGTGTTTCACCATCTCCTTTTAATCCTTAGCAGCTCTCTGATGAGTGGGTTCGTGTGTGTGTGTGTGTGTGTGTGTGTGTGTGTGTTTGTGTGCATAGGGTGCTTGGATATTCATGGTGAAGAACAGTTGGAAAGAGTCAAGGGGCGCTGGGAGGGTGTGGCAGCAGTGCCACCCTGCCTGGCACAGAAGTGTTTTGGCATTGGAGCTACCTGCACAGCTGTATTGGTGAATCCCAGCCCATGGGATTTGGCCTTACAGGGCCACAGGGCATGTGTGTTTGGAAGCCTGGGCCTCCCCTGGGACTAGGCCAGGAGCTGGCACAGACAGCTTGCTCCTTGCCACACGCTGAGGCAACTGGTGCCCCAGGGCACTGCTGCTGGCACCTTCCTGCCAGGCATGACCTGTGGATCACCCGGGCTCAGCCCAGTGCCCCAGCCTGCGTCAGCAGGGGCCACCTGGAGGGCTCCTCTGGGAGAGGCATTCTCGTGTGTCCCCCGCACCTCCCCGCCCCGTGGTACCCCTTGTGAGTCACCGTCACACTGGGCCTCCTGCCGCCTACCTGGGACATCACTCAACCTTGTCCTAACCTCTCTCCCTCCCTTCCTGCCTCATTTCAGGTGAATACATCAAGACCTGGAGGCCACGGTACTTCCTGCTGAAGAGCGACGGCTCCTTCATTGGGTACAAGGAGAGGCCCGAGGCCCCTGATCAGACTCTACCCCCCTTAAACAACTTCTCCGTAGCAGGTGTGTCTTGGGATGAGTGGGTCAGTGTTCTGGTGCTCACAGGATGGCTGGCACGTCTTAGGGGCTTGTGGGACTTGGTCATTGAGCCATGGGCCTGTCCTGGGCCTGCTTGCCCTTGGATCTGTTTTCACCCTTCCCCTGCTCTCCCTCCTTGTTAGCTGGCCAGGCGGGGCTGTCCTGCGGGGAGATGCAGAGTGGGAGGGAGGGAGAAGCCAGGGCATTTGCCCACACCCAGCCCCATGCATCGCCTCCTTGTGGTTCCAGCTTCTGTCAGCCAGGCCTTGGAGTCCCCAACTGGTGGCAGGTGCCTCCCATCCTGTGCTTTGGTAACAGCCTCCATCCTCTGTCCCTCGGACGTAGAGGGGTCACAGCTTCCCACTCAGCTGGTCACAGGGCTGGCCTCGCGTCCTCTGTCCCTCTGTAATACCCAAAGGGATGTCTTCCAGCCAGACCCTGGCAGTGAAGTTTCACAAGCCCCAAGCTCTTGACTGAGCCTTGGAGAATATGGTCCTGTCCACATCGCTGCCCCTTTCTGCCGCCTTCCTTCCTTGCTGACCTGATGGGTCACCATGTCCTGTTGTTCTGCCTGCTAAGAACATTACAGAGGCACCCCCATCTCCACTGCCAGTGCCTTAGCTCAGACCACTATCCTCTCCTGCCATGCTGTGGAACCCAGTCCCCGTCCCACGCTGCTCTGCATGAAGCCTTTTCCTGATTGCTCTCCACATGTGCTGGTGACCCTGACACATCTGTTCCCAACCTCAGTGTCTCACTAGAACTCCCAGCCTGTCCCAGGCTGCTCCTTGGACACATCTCCCCAAGTGTCTTCAAGGTCCTCATAAGTGCCACATCCCAACCTGACCTTCAGGCCTCTCCCAGCTCTATTCCTGTCTCTGTCTCAGGGACAGCAGGCCGAGAGGCCTGGGCCTGGTCCTCAGTGCCCTCTTCCCATGGCCTGTCTGCAGGGCTCCACTCTGGTGTGGCCCCATCCTCCCTAGCTGGCTCCCCACCTCCCTGGCCTTCCAACCTCCAGCCTCACCCTCTACATGGCAGCCAGAGGGATCATTCTCAGTCTGTTTGTGTCTCTTCCCTATCTAAAGCCTTCTATGGCTCCCTGCTGCCCTGAGGACAAAGTCCAGATTCTTTCCCATGGCCTCCAAAGCCCTGCCTGGCTGGCCCCAGCCCACCTCTCCAGGGCTGTCTCTCACTTACCCCTCCTCACCCTTGGAGCAGAATTGGCCACCCCCTGAGGATGTTGAACCTCCTCTCACCTCTGAGCGTCTGTTCTCCGTGTACCCTCTAAGTTCCCTTTTCCTTCAGGGCTTAGTTCAGAGAAGCTGCTTCCTCTGGGAAGCCCCCCAACCCCCCAGGCTGGGTTGGATGCTACCTCTGAGCTTCTGCACACCTCTAGGCTTGTCCCCATCGCGGCCCTGTCTATGGAGCCATCACTCTCTGGTGGGCTTCTCTCCTTCCACACACACACACACTAGACCCTGAGCCCTGTGAGAACAGGACCAGGGCTGTCTCAGTCCCTAGAGTGTCCCCAGCACCATCTAGCATGGGGCTAGGCCTGTGGGAGGTGGCTCGGGCACTTTGGGCTGCAGGCTAGCAGGGCTATCCCCTCAGCCCCCTGCTGTCTGTTCCCTCTGCCTGCAGAATGCCAGCTGATGAAGACCGAGAGGCCGCGACCCAACACCTTTGTCATACGCTGCCTGCAGTGGACCACAGTCATCGAGAGGACCTTCCACGTGGATTCTCCAGACGAGAGGTCAGTCTGGGCCTCTGTGTGGCTGCCCTTGAGAGGGAGCAAGCCTGGTGTGAGGAGAAAAGGTACAGCTGGAGAGATTTTCCCTGGGACCCTACATAGGGGTTTCCTATCTGCGCTTCTGGTTGGGGGGTCTCTCCAGCTGGGGCTGAGAAGAGCTGGGGTTCTTAGTCTGAAGACCCTACTCTGCCCTTTGACTTGCGGGTGCATCGGAATCACAGGCAGAGCTCGTGAAATGTCTAGACCGCTGGGCCTCGCCTCAAGACCTGTGACTACCTGGAGATCTGCCCAGGGTCAGGGAGCTACATTCTTTTTTTTTTTTCTGAAATGGAGTTTCGCTCTTATTGCCCAAGTTGGAATGCAGTGGCATGATCTTGGCTCACTGCAACCTCCAACCTCCACCTCCTGGGTTCAAGCGATTTTCCTGCCTCAGCCTCCCAAGTAGCTGGGATTACAGGCGTGTGCCACCATGCCCGGCTTAGTTTTTGTATTTTTAGTAGAAAAGGGGCTTCTCCATATTAGCCAGGCTGGTCTCAAACTCCTGACCTCAGGTGATCCGCCTGCCTCGGCCTCCCAAAATGCTGGGATTACAGGTGCAAGCCACCACACCTGACCCCCTTTTTTTTTTTTTTTGAGACAGAGTCTTGCTCTGTTGCCCAGGCTGGAGTGTAGTGGTGCCATCTCAGTTTACTGCAACCTCCGCCTCCCGGGTTCAAGTGATTCTCCTGCCTCAGCCTCCCAAGTAGCTGGGATTACAGGCACGTGCCACCACATCTGGCTAATTTTTGTATTTTTAGTAGAGACAGGATTTCGCCATGTTGGCCACACTGGTCTCGAACTTTTGGCCTTAGGTGATCTCCCTCGGCCTCCAAAGTGCTGAGATTACAGGTGTGAGCCACCCTGCCCGGCAGGACCTACATTCTTAATGAGCATCTCTATTGATTTTGAGGCAGGTGGTCCAGAGAGTCATTTTAAAAAGATCAATTTAGTAATCAGAAGAGATGATAAAGACTCATCTATTTCAAAATTGAAACAGTATAAGGAGGTGTCTAGTGGGAGCTTCCCCTACCCTGCCCTTTCCATCCACCTCCCTGCCCCCCAGTTAATCACTGTTCTTAGGTGCCCTCAAAGAGCAGAGGGAGACCTTTGTGCCTGGCTGCCTTTTTTTTTTTTTTTTTAAATACAAAAGGTAGCATTGTACATGCTTCTGGACTTGCTTTTTCCCTTAGTGTACCTTGGGGAATTTGCCTTGATATATGGAGAGATGCAGCTGCTTTGTTTCATGTTTTGCTTTTTTTTTTGGACAGTTGGACATGCGTGTCCCAAGTGTGTTTATTTAGCCGTTCTTTATTGTGATGACTGGGGTTGTTTCCAGCCTTTGGCTCATTATAAGGAATGCTGCAGTGAAATAGCCGTGTCTGTCTCGTTTGATGTGTGCACAGGTAGACCTGTGTGACGAGTGCTTAGATGCAGGATTGCCGAGGCACAGGGAAAATAAGTTTGTGGTTTTGCGATGTTTCTATTAGGCGATGTCTGAGAGTGCCCCCATGGCCTTGTGTTTTCAAACATTTGGATTTGTACCAGTCTGAGCAGTGGAAAAATTCAGCACCTCGGGGTGTTTAACTTTCCTTTCTTTCTCTGTGGATGAGTTTGACCCTCAAGGGCCATGTGAGTTCCTATTCTGAAGTGTCTATATTGTCTATTTTTCTGTTGGGTAGTTGGTCTTTTTCTTATTTATGTATTAGCTCTTTATAGATTAAGGAGCTTTGCCCTTTGTAATCAGTGGGAAATGTTTCTTTTTCCCACTTTGTCCTTTTGGGCCTCACTTTGAGAAACAGTCTTCTAGCTTATCTATGGGGTAAGGTTTCAGCAGACCCTCTAGAGAGCCCTAAAATCATGCCGTCCAAGAAAACTTCCGGCCATTGTGGAAATGCCCTTTATCTGCACTGTCCAGTAGGCACCTGTGCCAATTGCCTGTGCCGATTGCCTGTGCTGACTGCTTGTGCCGATTGAGCATTTGAAATACAGCCACCAAGGAATGGATTTTTTCTAGTTTATTTTAATTGATTTAAAGAGCCACATATGGCTAGTGGCTACCTTCTTGGACAGTACAGCTCAGGAACCCACAATATCATGAGACTTGTTACTATAATCTATACTATAATTATTGTTGCACATCCTCCCAAGGTAAAAAATATACTTGCCCCACTGAGGGGAACAAAATTACCATCTCAAGCCAGCTGAGGTGCTACTCAGTTGAAAACTATGGACCAAAACATGAATGGCCAGTAAAAACAGATCGAGACCAGTGGGTGTATAGGTCCTGGGTGTTGAGCTGGGTTTTGAAGACTGGATAGGATTTGGCCACGGAGATAGCAAGGAGAAAGTTCAGAAGGGACAGCATATGCAAAGACCTGGAGGTGAAATAGCTCATGCATTCCAGAGACTACAGGGGGTTCTGTGTCACCAGAGAACCAAGGGGCCAGGAGTGTTGGAAGAGGGGAAGTGGAGGCGCTCGAAGCTGGAGAGCTCAGCCAAGGCCTTGGACTCCAGGTGGAGATCCCCACAGGGCTTGGCAGGCACTTAGTAAATTGCGGTTTGTCCCAGGGTAGTTACACGATGCAGGGGAATGATAAATAGGAGCGGCTGATGCAGCAGTACCTGGCACATCAGGTACTGACAAGGTGGAGCTGACAAGGTGTTTTAGTAGGCAGGAGAGATGGTCTCGTTTCCATTTTCACAAGACAACATGCCCTTTCCTTTACCAAGATTCTGTAGGCTGGAGAGCCCCACCTGCCTTTTCTTCTTGGTACCTGCTGCTGTTGCCAAAGAGAAAACTGCTGGAACGACTAAGAGACCAGGTCCCAGATTTCTGACCTTAACTATGGGTGGGTGGAGGGGGTGAACCAGAAACCCAGCAAGAGGGAGGCCCCCTCCACTCTGCTCCTGGCTGACTGATGCTGTCCTCACAGCCCTGGCCCACACAGGCTGATGTCAGCTGGCCTCTCTTAAGCCTGGGGAGGGAGGCAGGGGTTGCAGGGCAGGTGGGTGCCAGTCGGTGACTGCTTGTTGGCTAGGTGCTGCAGCGCCTCCTCACTGGGCTCCTGGTTGCCTCTCCAGCTGGAGAGACCCTCCTCCCTGTCCCCCACTTCACTGCAGACGTGTTTCACATGGAGAAAAGTTGAAAGAATAGTATAATGAATGGACATCCACGCGCCCCACTCCTAGACTCTGCAGTCCCGCATTCACCGTGTCTGCTTCATCTGGTTGTGTTTTATGCTGAACTTGAACTTGTGTTCATACTTAGTGACATTCTTAGTGTTTCAGCAGGCATCTCCTAAGAATAAGGACTTTCTCCTACAGAATCATGATGCTGTCACGCCTGAGATGATTATAATCTTTGTTTACTAGTAACTTCTCCTTATCCATGCCGTACTTGAATTTCTTTAGTTACCTTTTGAAGGATATGCAACCTTTAGAACATTGTTTTAAAACCAGTATTCATTCAAGGTACATGTCTCTTTGACTTGTTTTATTTAATCTAGTTCAGCCCTTTGTCTTTTTTTTTCCTCCCCAAGACATTGATTTTTTATTAATTTATTTATTTTTTTGACAAGCCAGGCTAGTTGTCTTGTAGAATGTCACACCTTCTGGGTGTGTCATATTATTGCCTTTTGGTGTTGTTTACTTTTGTTCCCCATGTTTGTATTTCTTGTAAACTAGAATTAGGCCAGGAACAGGGTTGGCAAACTATGGCCCTGCCTTCCATTTTTGTAAATAAAGTTTTATTGGAACATGACCATGTCCATTTGTTCATGAATAGTCTGGCTGCTTTTGGCTTACTGTGGCTGGGTTAAGTAGTTGTGACAAAGACTGTCTTGCAAAGCCTAAAAAATTTAATAATTGGCCCTTTTAAAATTTTAATTAAAATTTTTTAAATTTAAAACTTTTTTTTTAGAGACAAGTTCTTGCTCTCTTGCCCAGGCTGGAGTGCAGCGGTGCAATCATAGCTCACTGCAGTCTCAAACTCCTGAGCTTAATCCATCCTTACGCCTCAGGATCCTGAGTAGCTGGGACTAAAGGTATGCACCACCATGCCTGGCGAATTTTTAAATTTTTTTGTGGAGACAGAGTCTTGCTATGTTGTCCAGGCCGGTCTGGAACTCCTGGTCTCAAGCAATCCTCCCTCCTCCACCTCCCAAAGTGCTGGGATTATAGGCACAAACCACCACACCCAGCTTTCTGGTCCTTGATGGAAAAAGTTTGCAGACCCCTGGTCTTGGCAGGCAAGAATACTTAATAGTGCATCAGGTGAGTATGATCTTTTTGTTGTTGTTTTGATGGGGTCTCTGTTGCCCAGGCTGCAGTGCAGTGGCAGAATCACGACTCACTGCAGCCTCAATCTCCCGGATTTAGGTGATCCTCCCACCCCAGCCTCCCTAGTAGCTAGAACTACAGGCGCCTGCCACCACACCAGGCTAATTTTTGTATTTTTTGTAGAGATGGGGTTTCACCATGTTGCCCAGGCTGGTCTTGAACCCCTGGGCTCAAGTGATCTGCCCATCTTAACCTCCCAGAGTGCTAAGATTACAGCCATGAGCCACTGTGCCTGGCCATCTGTGATCTTTTTGACGTAAATCTTTCTTTCTTTTTTTTTTAGACAGAGTTTCACTCTTGTTGCCCAGGCTGGAGTACAATGGTGCAATCTTGGTTCACTGCAACATCTTCCTCCTGGGTTCAAGTGATTCTCACGCCTCAGCCTCCTGAGTAGCTGGGATTACAGGCACGCGCCACCATGCCTAGCTCATTTTGTATTTTTAGTAGAGATGGGGTTTCTCTCATGTTGGTCAGGCTGGTCTCGAACTCCTGACCTCAGGTGATCTGCCCGCCTCGGCCTCCCAAAATGCTGGGATTACAAGCGTGAGCCACCGTGCCTGGCCTTGATGTAAATCTTATCATGTATTTTCTCTGCTTAGAACTCTGAATGGCTTTCACTCCCACTCAGAGTAAACTCCAAGGTCCGTGCTGTGTCCTGCAGAGTCCTGTATGATCCAGCGACCTCTCCAGAAGCATTTCCTACCACAAGCACCCTCACTTAGCCACGTGTCTCCTTGCTGTTCCTTAAACATGCCTAGCACATCTCTTGCCCGAGGGCCTCAGCGCTTGCTGTCGCGTTTGTCTAAGGCCTTCCTCCCTGAGATGCCATCACAGCTCTCCCCGACTCCACGAGGTCTCTGCCCCAGTGTTGCCACCCCAGTGCGTCCTGCCCTGCCTCCCTTCGCTGTCTTGCCCTTCCCCAGCTGTGCTTTTCTTCATAGCACCTGTCCACCAAGTGGGACATTTATATTTATGTATGTATCTGGCACACAAATGGGTGTTCAGTAAATGTTTGTTGGATAAATAAAAAATAATTAAATTCTCTGAGCTAGATCCTGTTCCGAGGACTTTTCATATATTAATTTATTTTCTCCTCACAAGGCAGACTATCTGTGCACAGGGAGGGCCCCAGATGCCCTCCAGCTGTAAATGCCCCTCTAGGTCGGGGAGGTGATGGTTAGGGGAGAGTCCCCACAGTCAGCTGTCACTCCTGAAGCGGTGAGGACGGGCTTGTGCATGAAGGACAGCCCTGCCACCTCTGCTTCGCCGAGCTTCTCTCTGGGGTGCCCCGCAGGATGGCCCAGGGCTGGGGTCCAGGCCCTGGATTCAGGCCAGCTGCCGTGTCTCTCCCTCAGTGGGGCTCAGTTCCCTGGCTGTCATGTGGTGTAGAGGAGGAAGTAAACATGAAGGCACTGGCGCAGGGCCTGCCCATGGCAGCTTTGGCACACGCAGCACTGGTACCTTTCTTACCTCTGTCTCCTCTGCCACCAGCATCTCTTTCCTGGAGGATGCCGGGGTCTCCTCTCACTGCCCCCAGTCCGTAGCCCACACAGCAGCTACTGACTTAAAACAGAAATTTGGAGCCTGTTCCCCCCTGACTAAAACCCTTCAGCGACTTCCTGTGGTGCTGAGGATAAGACCCAGATCTCTAACATGGTGGCACGTAGAGGCCGGAGCGGTCTGGGCATGCTCTCCTCCCTGTCCTCATCTCCTCCACTCCTCCCTGTCCTCATCTCCTCCACTCCTCCCTGTCCTCATCTCCTCCACTCCTCCCTGTCCTCATCTCCTGCACTCCTCTCTCTCCTCATCTCCTCCACTCCTCCCTGTCCTCATCTCCTCCACTCCTCCCTGTCCTCATCTCCTGCACTCCTCTCTCTCCTCATCTCCTCCACTCCTCCCTGTCCTCATCTCCTCCACTCCTCCCTGTCCTCATCTCCTGCACTCCTCTCTGTCCTCATCTCCTCCACTCCTCCCTGTCCTCATCTCCTCCACTCCTCCCTGTCCTCATCTCCTCCACTCCTCCCTGTCCTCATCTCCTGCACTCCTCTCTGTCCTCATCTCCTCCACTCCTCTCTGTTGGCTCCAGCCATTCTGGCACCTGTGTGCCTTTCACAGACACCCCAGCTTGCTCCTGCCCTGGGGTCTTTGCCATGCAGTTCCCTCTGCCTGGGTTCCTTTCCCTCCCAATCCCCTGCCTCCTTCCCTCCATTTCATTTATTTCATAGCTGTGTGCCAAGGGCCTGTTCTAGGCACTGGGGATGGCCATTGTTCAGGTCCTGGTTTAAACGTCATCTCCTCAGGCCTCCCCTGACTGCCCTCTGAGAAGGAGTCTCCCTGTTTGGCCCCCGCCTTGGAGCTTCTACACACTTGTCCTCCCCTTGAGGTCAGGAGCCATGATGGGCTTGTCCCCTGCTGCATCCACAGTGCCCTGAACAAGCCTGGTGCACAGAAATGCTCCACATTTGCAGGCCGGCTGGGTGAACTCTCATGACAGCCTTCTGAGACCTCAATGTGCTGGGCACCGCTCTCAGCACTTTATGTCTAGTGTCTCATTTCACCCTGATAGGACCCTCTAGTGCCTCACCCACCGAGGCACAGGAAGGGCATACAACCTGCCCAGTGTTGCCTGCAGGAAGGGGCAGAGCTGGGATCCACGTCCAGGCCATCCCCCAGAGCCTGTCCTCTCACCCACTGTGAGGTCCCCAGCTGGTACGGAAGGCAGGCAGCGCATTGGGTGGCAATGACCCCACAGCTCCTGGCCCAGAGCCTGTGCTTGCCCCGTACTGTGCCCTTCCCAGTGTTGGTATGGCGAACGTGGCTCCCCCATGTCCCTCCCCTGGCCCTGAGCCCAAATGAGGATGAGAAGGTTCCAGAAAATACCGATGGGGGAAGTGCTCTTGGAGGTAGAAGTGCCTGGGCACTTCTTGTGTCCCTGGCCTCTGTCGGTGGGCAGATGAGCCTCTCTGTGCTTCGGTCTTGTCATTTTAGCATGAAGTGAATGGCAGTACCTACTACACAGGGTTGCTGGGAGGGCGACAGGAGTCCTCCACCATAACGCACAGTGGTACCAGCCTCTGCAAGTGGAAGGTGTTCTTGGGACTGCTGTTGAGTGGCAGGGGTGGGGGCCCCTCTCTGAAAAGCGGGTGCAGATCATGGCTTACGAGGAGAGTTCTTCCTTTGCTTTTCCCGTGGGCTCCCTGGCTGGGTGTCCCATGAGCCTTCCCTAGAGAGGGTCCCTGCTTTACCCTCCTGAGTCTCGTGTAGCTTTCAGCGCTTCACTGAGGCTCAGGGACAGGCGGGTGGTGCTAAGGAGGAGTAGGCTGTGCACAGGTGAGTGCCAGCTCTGCCACATCCCTGCTGTGTGACCTTCACAGGTGACTCCACCTCCATGTGCCTCAGTCCCCACAGCAGAAATGCTGGCTCTTGAGAATTGCAGTGCTCTTGAGAATCAAGCGAGGTGGTGTCTGGAGCTAGCCACTCAGTGCTGTTATTTTTACAGTCGTGGTTTACCCAGGGGCTCTCCTCTGGGGGCTAGAAGATACTTGAGGCCCAGCTTCATGGGGAGCTCCCCTTTGCCCCAGACGCCATGTTGCAAACCCTTGAGAAGGATCCTGGACAGAGGCCCTTGCTTTTCATCTGGAATTCTGAGTGCTGCAACCTTGCAACTTTGGTCCAGTTAGAATTGGATCGGAAGCTAGTCAGGCAGCAGGCGAGCCCCAGTTACTCCCAGATAACCTCCTGCATTGCTGTGGTTTCTGGAGCTTTCTGTAGGGTGGGCAGTGGGAGCCAGGGTAGGTGGGGTAGGCCCGCCCCTGCGAGTGTCTTCGGCACCCTCCCTTCCACCCCGCCCTGCGCGCGGTGCTCTGCGCCGACAGCCCGCCAACCTCTTAGCCCCAGGCCCAGGCCCTGGTGGAGGGGAGAGCTGGGAGGGCTGAGCTGGTCCAGGTGGCAGAGCCACTCTTGGAGCCCCAGCTGGGGTGGGTCCAGGGCCTGTGCTCCTGATTCCCATCTGGAGTAGCCTCCCAGAGCTGCTTCTGGGCTGGTGGTGTGGCAGTGCCATCCTTCATGTATTTGGGTTCTCTCCACAGAGGGACCATCTGTGTTCTCTCCACCCCTGTCTTTGAAAACAAAGATGATACCACGCTGTACATCTTAGTCTGCAATCTGCCATCTTCACGTGACAGTCTCTCAAGATCTTTATATATGAGAGACATATTTTCCTTTTTAATATCTTCACTGTATCTCTTAGGAGATCTGTGATTTTTTTTTTCCCAATCCGCCATCATTTACTCAGAGTCAGCATTAAAAAAATTTAAAATTTGTGAGAGGACAACTATGTCTGATAAAGCATGTCATGGAAGGCTGGGCACAGCAGCTCACACCTGTAATCCCAGCACTTGGGGAGACCGAGGCAGGCAGATCATGAGGTCAAGAGATCGAGACCATCCTGGCCAACATGGTGAAACCCTGTCTCTACTAAAAATACAAAAATTATGGTGGCGGGTGCCTGTAGTTCCAGCTACTCTGGAGGCTGAGGCAGGAGAATCGCTTAAACCTGGGAGCCACTGCACTCCAGCCTGGCAGCAAAGCGAGACTCTGTCTCCAAAAACAAAAAGAAACAAAAAAGAAAAAAGCCTGTCATGGAATGGGCTCCTGCCCTGTCCCCGGCCCCTGCTTTTTTTTTTTTTTTTTTTTGAAAAACAGGAATATTAGTGTAGGGTTTGGGAATTAGGCTGTAATTTGTTCCTAAGGGGGCATGGGTTAAAGCAAGTTGAGAAATACTGGCTTGAGATGTTGGGCCAGGGAGTGCAGAAGCCAACACCGCTCTGCCCGGGTGTGCACCAGGGCTCAGTGCGTGCTCTGCCCGGGTCTGCACTGGGCCCTGCTGCGCCCTGGCCCTGGGGCCACTTGGACTTTGGCTGCCTCACTCTTTCATTACCCAAGTATCTACTGAGTATCCACCATGAGTTCTGGGGGCAGAACTGTGTTCAAAGCAGGTGGAAATCTCTGCCTCCGTGGGGTGGACATAGATGGGTTATGGGGACTCCAGTCTCTGAGTGGGTGGGGAGGGCAGCGTGCCTTTTGTAATTCCAGCTACCAAGCCTGGAGCAACTGCTGTTTTTCTGGAATCTGTTTTTTCAATCTGTGCCCCAGTTCCTCCTTCATAATGGGTGGGAGTAGGGATAGTTGATGATAGCAAGTGCTTCCCATTTGTTATTAGAGGCTGTTCCTTTCCTTCGACTCCCAGTTCCCCTCCCTTGGAGGCAGGCAGGGCTCCAGGATCATGACTTCTCTTCTGGAGATGTTTGTGCCTATGTGAGCATGTGTCTGCAGAAGTTCATTATTTTCTAACTTAGGAGCACAGAACTGTATACTGTTCTTCACCTTCCTTAATTTTGAAATTTTTTATAAAGGCGTGGTCTTCTTATGTTGTCTAGGCTGGTCTGGAATTCCTGGGCTCAAGCAGTCCTCCAGCCTCTGCCTCCTAAATTGCAGGGATTACATGAGTGAGCTACCTTGCCCATCCCTGCACCTTCCTTTTTCTCTTAAGAAGTCTCAGATCATCCCAAGTCAGCATACAGACCTGCCTCAATCTTTCCCCCAGCTGCAGAATGTCTCATTGCACAGATGCCTCACAGGCATTCTACCTCACGACAGCCTGTGTATTAAACACTGCTGTGATATTTCATCAAATCGAAGGCGCTGTCATTGGGGAGGCACCCTGTTTCATATAGTGCCAAGAAAAAGGCGTGCCCAGTTAAATCAAGACAGACCCCAACTGTGAGATTAATCTGCATTCCAGCAGTGTCAAAATGTGGAAGAGGGTGCGTTGTGGGATGGATGGAAATAGAAGTAGTTTCGCGTGGTACACCAGGAAACGAGACTGGGGAGGAATACAGCCCAGCAGGGTGTCCCGGCTTGGATTTTGAAGCCCAGTCCCAGCCACACTTGTTCCCTGCCTGACCTTGGGTAGGGGCCCCAGTGTCTCAGGAACACAGGAGCAGTGACACTTGCCCTGGGGCGGGGGCCATCCTGGAAGATGCTGTGAAGGGCTGGCTGCACTCCCTGTGGCTTATTTAAATCACTGGGATTTGCGTGATTACACTCTCTGAATTTTCTCATTCTTAGTGAACATTTTATTTTTCTTGTTGGTCATATGAGTATTTTCTAGATACAAGCAAAATACACGGGGGGTTCAAAATGCGTTGGGTTGAAACACCTAATTGCAGTGTGGTCAAAAATGGGGGATGTGGACAATTTGGTGTAATTCAGCCTAATATATTTTTCATTTTGGTCTCTGGTCATTTTCACTTATTAGACAGAACAGTTTGTAAGTATCCAAAGAAAATTATTTTGTTTTTTTTTTAGCTGATTGCAGTGGTATGATCATGGCTCACTGCAGCCTCCACCTCCTGGGCTCAAGCAGTTCTCCCACCTTAGCCCCCTGAGTAGCTGAGACCACAGGCATGTGCCCCCACACCTGGCTAATTTTTTATCTTTGGTCTCTACAAAGTGGGTATCCATGTTGCCTAGGCTGGTCTCAAACTTCCGGATGCAAGCCATCGTCCCGTCTCAGTCTCCCAAAGTGCCAGGATTGCAGGTGTGAGCCACCGAGCCCAGCTCAAAGACAGTTCTTTCTCAGCAAGTTCTAAACCATGAGTGACAGAACTAGTTTATTGTTCTTTATTTTATTATTATTATTATTATTATTATTATTATTATTATTTTATTATTATTTTGGGATGGAGTCTCGCACTGTTGTCCAGGCTGGAGTGCAGTGGCGCGATCTCGGCTCACTGCAACCTCCGCCTCCCGGGTTCAAATGATCCTCTTGCCTCAGCCTCCCGAGTAGCTGGGATTACAGGCGCCCGTCACCACGCCCGGCTAATTTTTTGTATTTTTAGTAGAGACTGGGTTTTACTATGTTGGCCAGGCTGGTCTCGAACTCCTGACCTCAAGTGATCCTCCACCTTGGCCTCCCAAAGTGCTGGGATTACAGGCGTGAGCCATCGCACCTGGCCTGTTTTTATTTTTTATTTTTGTTTTTTAAAAACTTTTTAAGAGATGGGTCTTGCTTTGTTACCTAGGCTGGTCTTGAACGCTTCGGCTCAAGCACTTGGTCCACCTTGGCCTCCCAAAATGCTGGGATTACAGGTGTGAGCCACAGTGCTTAGCCTCTAGTTAACTGTTCTTAAACCAGGCTCCCTTCTGCTGGGACCTACTTCTTGTCCACCAGCTTCTCTCCTCTACATCCCTGGGCTGCCAGGACCTCTGTCCCTGCCATGCAGACTCCCTGCTCCCAGTGGACTGTCCCCTCCAGGGAGTCCTGCGGGCCAGCTCTTGCCTTGCAGTGTCTTCAGCTCCTTTGGCTAATGAATGCTGCTTCTTACTCTTGGTTTAACTTTACAAAACATTGGTAACTTATAAACTTGAGCTTGTCATTTGTTCCGAAGAATTCACAGGAGCACTCTCTCTCCCTCATTCAAGGCTCAGGGTGGTGGCTCATTTTCAAGGGGCTGTGAAAAGAGAGGGTCACTCCTTTTTGATCATTTCCCTGCTGCCTGGCTTCAAATGGCCCTCAGGCCAGGTCACTTTAGGGAAATTGGTGATCGCTCTTGGTATTCCACTTTTTTTTTTTTTTTGAGACGGAGTCTCGCACTGTCACCAGGCTGGAGTGCAGTGGTGCGATCTCTGCTCACTGCACCCTCCGCCTCCCGGGTTCAAGCAATTCTCCTGCCTCAGCCTCCTGAGTAGCTGGGATTAGGCGAATGCCACCCCTGACTAATTTTTGTATTTTTAGTAGAGACGGGGTTTCACCATGTTGGCCAGGCTGGTCTCGAACTCCTGACCTTGTGATCCATCCGCCTCAGCCTCCCAAAGTGCTGGGATTATAGGCATGAGCCACTGCGCCTGGCGTGGAATTTCACTCAGGTCCCTTCAGCTCTCTCTGGTTCTGACAGATCTTGCCCAAATTCCCATGGTTATGTGGTCATTTGCTTGCCTGTTGCTGGGGGTGGCTGGGAGGTGGCACTCAGCTGTTCGACTCTGAGGCCCAGGACTCCTGGCTGCTGGGACTCACGTGTGTCCCTGCACAGGGAGGAGTGGATGCGGGCCATCCAGATGGTCGCCAACAGCCTCAAGCAGCGGGCCCCAGGCGAGGACCCCATGGACTACAAGTGTGGCTCCCCCAGTGACTCCTCCACGACTGAGGAGATGGAAGTGGCGGTCAGCAAGGCACGGGCTAAAGTGGTAAGTGCTGGGAGCAGGGGTGGGGCTGCCAGCCTGCGGTGCCCCCACCCCCAGTGCTGGCCTGCTCTCCTTGGTTTCCATAACACAGTTCAGGGGGCTCAGCTGAGAGACAAGGCTGCCCTGCAGGGTGGGGTGATTTCAGGTGGCAGGTGCCCTAGGGTGTGCTCCATGCCCGTAGGGGAGGGAGCAACCTTGGGTGGACCCACTGCAGGTTCGTCCTGGGAGTTGGTGAAGACCTGGCTACCCCCACGTCAGAGCCCAGCCCTCCCAAGGCCCTGTGCCTGCAGAGCCTGGTCTGAAGGCCGCTTCAGAACACACAGTTGCTGCCCAGAGCCTCCCTTCCTGCTCCAGCCTAAGCCGTTTGGCAACAGTGTCTTTTGGTTTTCCTCTTTCTTTTGTTAAAATTTCCTCCCACGGGCCATGAGCCAGGCGCTGACTGCCCCCACTCTCCCTGTCCCTGGCAGACCATGAATGACTTCGACTATCTCAAACTCCTTGGCAAGGGAACCTTTGGCAAAGTCATCCTGGTGCGGGAGAAGGCCACTGGCCGCTACTACGCCATGAAGATCCTGCGGAAGGAAGTCATCATTGCCAAGGTGCGTGCCCCGGGAATTGCGCTCGCGAGCCTCTGTGGGGGCTGCGGTCTGGAGCCTGACCCTGAGGCCTGGACGCTTACCCGCGCTTTCTGCTGCTGTGGGCTTATTTCCCCCACAAATTCCCCCTAGTCAGAAAAGGGGGAGCCTGAGGCCCAGAGAGGAGCAGCAGGCCTTGCTGCTGAGTCCCCACCTCCACCCTATGTTAGGGGCTGGGGGTGCCTGTGGAGAGAGAGAGCCTCGGGGCCCCACCCAGCAGGTACTGTCAAGGGAGGCTGGGGCCTGTTGGGGAGGACGTCGCTGTTGGGGAGTCCCGGGCTTTGCTCAGGGTATCCCAGGTGGAGGCCGGGCCAGGAGTGGAATTCTACTTTTTCCCTTATTTGAATTTTTTGTAGTGGAAGATTCCAAAGACATTCAAAAATTTAAAAAGAAAATAAATATTACGGACCCCCATGTAGCCATTGTCCAGTTTAACCAGTTATCAGCGTTTAGCCAGCCTTGTTTCCTTAGCTCTGCCTGTCCCTCTTGTTCTGGAATACTTTAAGGCCTGTCCTAGACAACACGTCACTTCACTCATCCATACTTGAACATGTGTCCTGACAGATGAAGACTGTAAAGAATATAATCATGTGGTGCTGCCATCAGAGCCAACCAAATTAGCTGTTCATTCCTGATGTGACGATTGGGCCTAAGGCAGCCTTCCTCAGCCTCAGCACTGTTAACGTTTTGGGACAGATGATTCTGCGCTGTCGGGGCAGCCCTGTGCATTCTAGGGTTTCAGCAGCACCCCTGGCTTCTACCCACTGAAGCCAATACTAGCTCCCCAAGTTGTGACAATCAAAAATGACTTTTGGGTTGGGCGCCACAGCTCACGCCTGTAATTCCAGCACTTTAGAAGGCTGAGGTGGGAGGATCGCTTGAGCCCAGGAGTTCGAGACCAGCCTGGGCAACAAAGCAAGACCCTGTCTCTGTAAAAATAAAAATAAATTAGCTGGGCATAGTGGCGTGCACCTGTAGTCCCAGCTGCTCAGGAGGCTGAAGTGGGAGGATCAGTGGAGCCTCAGAGGTTGAGGCTGTAGTGACCCATGTTCACACCACTGCACTCCAGCCTGGGCGACAGAGCCAGACCCCCAGCTAAAAAAAAAAAGGGAAAAAAAAAAAAAAGACTTCAGACATTCTCAGGTGTCCCCTGGGGATAAACTTGCCCCAGAGAGAGCCTGTGTTCACGTTGCTGCAGGTGGCTCCAGATTTTTGGAACCACTCCTGGTGGTTCTGCTGTACAGTCAGGTACCAAATTAGAACCTGAATTAGAGTCACCCAAAGGGCTTGTGAGACAGTGCTGGGCCCACCCCGAGTTTCTGACTCAGTGGGCCTGGGGGTAGGTCCCAGGAATTTGCATTGCTGCCAGTTCCCAGGCGGTGCTGAGGTGCTGTGTGGGGACCACACCAAGAAGCACTGTTTTTCCTTCTTTGGGCAAGAATGCTTTCTAGGTGGGACTTCCCACAGCCTGTGGTGGCACCTCGGGGCTCTCGTGATGTCTGTTTGTCTCCCTTGCAGGGACGTCACAGGTGTCTTGTCCCTAGCAGCCTGGTCCTTACATTGTGACATTCCTGCTGACTTTTCACCTGTGGCTTTGAGAGCCACTGATGATCCTCGTCTGGGTCTGCTATTTGCTGAGGGTTTGCAGGCTTTCACTTTTCACTCCTGTGATTTTCTGCATTTATGGCTGGGAATGGAATTGCATTTCACAAGGCCTTGCTCCCCTTCGTCGGGGCGGAGTGGGCAGGTGTGGTGTTGCCCACCAGCCCCTCACCCGCAGTCTGTCTGCAGGATGAAGTCGCTCACACAGTCACCGAGAGCCGGGTCCTCCAGAACACCAGGCACCCGTTCCTCACTGTGAGTTGCCCTCCCCTTCCCAGACAGTGTGAGGCCAGCCTTTGGACAGAGCTCAGAGAGAGAGCCCTAATCTTCTGGTACAAAGCACAGTCTTGGGGTAGGCCAGGCGGGCAGGGCAAGGTGTTGCTGCGCCCTGCCAAGTCATCCGAACCAAGACATGTGGTGGGGGTGAGCAGGCTCGGGGAGTGGGAGGGTGACAGCTTCTTCATAGATGGTGGCTTCATGTAAGCATTTGAACTAACTGAAGATATCACATTATTTGCTGGCTGCTGTCTCTATGAGTTAGGAGCACTTAGCCCAGCTGGTTGAAGTGGAAACATTATTTTTTTTGTTTTTGTTTTCAGATATGCTCATAGAAGCAGATGTGTTAGCATTGTGTTGTCTGTCAGCCTGGACTGAGTAGATGCCTGTTTGGGCTGCAGTCTCCATCAAGGCCAGTGGCCACCAGTTAAATGGACTAGATTGAGGATGGCTTATGTATCATTTCTTTATCTCAGTTGCTGTCCAGGTATCCTATTAAGCCACAGTACTTTTTCAAATAAAATCTTATGAGGTACCTCAGTGCAGAAAACAGAATAGTTGAGTTGTCATGAGCTGAAGGACCCCCTGGTGGGAGTCTCTGAGGAACTCTCTGTAGATCTCCTTAGTGCAGTGGAGAACTACTGTTTGTTGACTGACAGCCTGTCCATCCTGTCATTGAAGTTGGCTCCCAAGCCTTTGCCACTCCCAGCCACAGCAGACATCACTTGTGTGTGTAAGTTGAACACATTTTACTGTAAAAACAAGAGCCATGGTTGCTCAGAACAGCTCTAGTTCTCCCTTGGCTGTGCCTGATGGAGGCAGAGGACAAGATGGTTCAGCATGTAACCCTTTCCTACCGCAGAGCCATGCCTTCACTTAATGCCCCAAAAGGTGCAGCCGGTATGTGAACCCCATATGGCTGACTCCTGGGGGCCCCAGCCAGGGCAGGGTGTGTGTGTGCAGAATAAGCAGGGCCAGGGCCCTGCCCTGGCATGGCTCAGCAGAGCCCTCCTCCCTCCCACCTCCCACCCTGCTGCCTTCATCCCCCAGGCGCTGAAGTATGCCTTCCAGACCCACGACCGCCTGTGCTTTGTGATGGAGTATGCCAACGGGGGTGAGGTGAGCCGCGGCTGCCTTGACTTTGCCCTCTGGGGCCTCCTTCTTTAGGGTGGGGCGGGATGGAGAGGAGCTGTGGGTGAGATGGAAGGGTGGAGGGAAATTTCAGTGTCATCTAGTGCCCCTCTCCCTTGAGGCAGGCGGCTTCGTCTCCATTTTGGGGGGGCAGTCACTGAGGCTCAGAGAGGTTAAGTGGCTTGCCCAAGTTTACACAGCTAGTGAGTGGGTGGGTCAGGTCCAAACCAGTCCAGAGAGGTGTGGAGAGGGCTGTGGGGCGATAGCACTGGGAAGGATGGTCTTAAAGGCCCCAGAGAAAGCCCCCAAGGGTTAAAACCTAGCAGCCCTCCGTTCCCGTGTCCTCTCGAAGTGAATTCCCGCAGCCGCTCAGCTTCCCCTTACAGAGTCGCCTCACTTTTGTCACCCACTCCTTGCCTCGCGCCTTCTCTGTGCAGTGGTTGGCACACCTGCTTTGGGATGCGTGGTTTGCTCATCTGTCTGATCTGGGCTTGCCCATGGCCTATTGTTACTTGGTCATGACGTGTGCTTCTTTTTGCCTCCATGCCATCCTCCCTCCTGTCTCGGATGTCTCTCCCATACCCTCTCATGGGTGCCTCCTGGCAGACCCTCGCCCTTCCCCCCAGCTCTGTGTCACTTATGAGCTTCTGCGCTCTGCCTTGATTGGTCCCTCTAGCTGTCACTTGCTGGTTCATGATACAGGTGTCACCACATCACTGCGCTGGGGCAGGGGGCTGGGAAGGTGAGGGCAGGTGGGTGGGCTGGGGCCTGACCTCCTCTCCCCACCCCTTCCTCCTGCAGCTGTTCTTCCACCTGTCCCGGGAGCGTGTCTTCACAGAGGAGCGGGCCCGGTTTTATGGTGCAGAGATTGTCTCGGCTCTTGAGTACTTGCACTCGCGGGACGTGGTATACCGCGACATCAAGGTTAGTGGCAGGGTGTGCGCCAGGCTGACCTGTGGCATGCACACCACATGGGACTCACACTGGGGAAGTTGGGCTGAGCTTCTGCCCTCATTCGCCAGGCTCCCCACCAAGGTCCAGGGTGGTGGCTGCCCTCATTCGCCAGGCTCCCCACCAAGGTCCAGGGTGGTGGCTGCCCTCATTCACCAGGCTCCCCACCAAGGTCCAGGGTGGTGGCTCTGTGGCAAGTTGCCCCAAGTAGGGACCTTCCCAAGCCTCCCATGAGCGCTCCTAGGCCACTAGCGGAGTGTCAACTGCCACAATACCTACTTTATTTGTATTTATTTATTTATTTATTTTTGAGGAGTCTTACTCTGTTGAGTGCAGTGGTGTGATCTCGGCTCGCTGCAACCTCTGCCTCCCGGGTTCAAGCGATTGTCCTGCCTCAGCCTCCCGAATAGGTGGGATTACAGGTGCCCGCCACCATGCCCAGCTAATTTTTGTATTTTTAGTAGAGACGGGGTTTCATCATATTGGCCAGGCTGGTCTCAAACTCCTGACCTTGTGATCCACCCACCTCAGCCTCCCAAAGTGCTTGGATTACAGGCATGAGCCCCCGCGCCCGGCCAATTTTAGAAGATAGTTTGGCAGTGTCCACCAAAGCTGAGCACCAGTCATCTGCCCTAGCTGTGTGCACAGGAGAAGTGGGGACACACACTCACCTTAGAAAGTGTCCCCCTCACTCAGCAGCAGGACTTACTCTAGCCCCAACTGGAACAACCCAAGTATCCACTGTGAGAGGAACAGTCAGATCCACTGTGGAGTGTTCTCACAGTGGGACGCCACACAGCAGTTAGGAATGAGCTACAGCTACACACGACAGTGTGGACGCGTCTCATAGGCTAATGTCGAGGGAAAGCCGCACAGAGGAGGTGAGTCCACAGTTCACAGGTGTGTCTGTGTGCAGTGGTACAGATGGGAAGTAGAGGTTAATTCTTGTGGGGGATGGTCAGTAACCGGGAGGGGCACACAGGGCCTTCCAGGGGGAGATGCCACCTCAGCCTCGCAAGTAGCTGGGACTATAGGTGTGTGCCACCATGCCTGGCTAATTTTTTTTTTCATATTAAGAAATATGGAGATGGGGTCTCGCTGTGTTGCCCAGGCTGGTCTCAAACTCATGGGTTCAAGCAATCCTGCCACCTAAGTCCCCCAAATTGCTGGGATTACAGGTGTGAGCCACTTTGCCTGGCTGCATATTTCATAATTAAAGGACAGAAAGTCTAGAAAAAAAGAATAGAAGAAAGCTAGTGCCCCCACGTTCGAAATAAGAACCACAGTTCACAATGGGGACGGTGGGTGGACAGGGCCTGGCTCTCGGCTCTCCCTGCCCAGCTGTTCCCAGGTACCATGGGGGTGGGCCAGAGGGTGAGGAGGGTTGGATCTGGCCTCTCTCTGAGCCTCAGAGGGTGAGGCTGTGTGTGCTGGGCCCAGCCTGGCATGGGAGGGTTGATGTCCAGGAGCCCCGGGCATCTTTCCCTGGAAGGAAAGGCTGGGGTGGCAGGAAGCCTTGGGAGCATGCACCTGAGATCCGTTGACTTTTCCAACAGCTGGAAAACCTCATGCTGGACAAAGATGGCCACATCAAGATCACTGACTTTGGCCTCTGCAAAGAGGGCATCAGTGACGGGGCCACCATGAAAACCTTCTGTGGGACCCCGGAGTACCTGGCGCCTGAGGTGTCTGGGGTTGGTGGGGGTAGGAACGTGTGAGGCCAAGGGTAGGGGGATCCCCCAGACCTGTGTGTTTCCAGCCCAGATGCCCTGAGGGCAGGACTGTGATGCCAGCCTCAGGGCCACGGGCCCAGCCCTCATTTCTCCTCCATCCTCAGGTGCTGGAGGACAATGACTATGGCCGGGCCGTGGACTGGTGGGGGCTGGGTGTGGTCATGTACGAGATGATGTGCGGCCGCCTGCCCTTCTACAACCAGGACCACGAGCGCCTCTTCGAGCTCATCCTCATGGAAGAGATCCGCTTCCCGCGCACGCTCAGCCCCGAGGCCAAGTCCCTGCTTGCTGGGCTGCTTAAGAAGGACCCCAAGCAGAGGTGAGGGCTGGCGTCGGCCCCACCCAGCCCAGCGCCAGCTGCTGCCACTGTCCCTGCGGCCTGGAGGGGGCAGCGTCCACAAGGGTGCTCGCTTGTAGGGTCGCAGTGTGTCGTCCCCACACAGCCCCTGAAAACGTCCACAGTGGCACTTAGGGAGTGCTTCCCCCAGGGCAGGCCCATCCTTGACACTGCCTTATTTTATGGGGACACTGAGGAACAGGGCATCCCCTGGGCCTGGCTGGGGCCACCAAACCATATGTGGCAGAGCCAGGATAGGAACGGAGCCTGCCCTACTAACTCCCTTTCTGGACTCAGGGTAAGGCCAGGCAGTGAGGACACGTGGGTCCGGGTTGCTGACTCCCTGGCTCTGACCCTGGGCACGTGAGCTCCCTCCCTGAGCCTCGGTTTCCTCCTCTGTGAAGTGGTTTGTGGTCAAGACAGAATCATTAAGGGCCATACAGGGCCTGCCTGCTCCGAAAGCCCGTCTGCCCGAACCCAGCTGCTCCGGGAGGCAGGTGCTGACGGCCGTCTCTGCACAGGCTTGGTGGGGGGCCCAGCGATGCCAAGGAGGTCATGGAGCACAGGTTCTTCCTCAGCATCAACTGGCAGGACGTGGTCCAGAAGAAGGTGAGCCCCACTGCTTGCCCCAGCAGGACCCTCAGGGACCTGGCCCACTCGTGGTGACCTTGGTTGAGGCCTCCTGGCCTCAGGGTCCCTGAGCCTGAGCTCCTCTCCTCCGTAGCTCCTGCCACCCTTCAAACCTCAGGTCACGTCCGAGGTCGACACAAGGTACTTCGATGATGAATTTACCGCCCAGTCCATCACAATCACACCCCCTGACCGCTGTGAGTGCCTGGGGCCCCCGCGCTGGTGTGCCTGCCCCAGGGGTGGAGGGATGGGATCTGCTCTTAACTCACTTCTCAAGGAGGGCCCTCGAAGGCCCCCGCTTCATGTCTGGGAGATTTCCCCAAGTCTGCTCTCAGGCCCTTTTGCTGTTGGTCCTCTTTGGACCTGGTGAGGCCACCAGGAGCCATTGACTGCAGCACGTTCTGGAGCTCAGTCGGGGGGCTCAGGGCAGGAGGCAGCCCGGTCCCTGAGCCTGGCTGGGTTCACTGCTTTACAGCTGTTTGGGTTCTTACTCTGAACTCAGCCCAGGGCTGGGCTATGCTGGGGACACAGCACTGATTGAGCCAGCCCTGGGCCCTGCCCTGGAAAGCTCCCAGCCCAGGTAGGGTGGGCGGCCTGGAGTGGTCAGGGCTAGGGCGTGGGAGGCCAGGGACTGGGGAATCCCAGAGGAAATATCCGACCTGGCCTGCAGTTAGGGAGGGCTTTCTAGAGGAGGAAGCAAACGTGTCAGCTGGCCGGAGGAATGACGTGTGGGATGCCAGCAATGGGAGAAGCATGGCATAGCTAAGGACCGGCAGCAGCCAGGGAGATGGTGGTGAGAAGAGAGGGCATGGGGCTGGAGTGCAAGGGTCTGGGGGCCACTGGGAGGGGTGGGGACTGCTTGCATGGCGGGAGCCAGCCATGGAAGGGTTTCATACAGAGAGGGACAGGGTTAAAGCAGGCCTTTAGAAAGCCCCCCTGGCTGCCCGTGGAGAATGGATGGGAGGGTGCGAGAGGCAGGCCAGGACAGGGCTCTGGGCTGGACTCTGGCATGGTGGTGTGTGGGGCAGAGAGAAGGTGGGAGGCTCAGAAGGCCCTGCCAGCTGTGGGGCGCATGGGCAAGGGCACAGGAAACTCCCAGAGGAGGCCGCCCGGGGCTCAGGTTTGGGGAGTGGGTCCGTGGCTGAGGGCCTCCATTGCGGAGGGATGGGCCTTTCCTGTCCTGTCCTGTGGGCAGCCCCCGCCAGCTGGGGCCGTTTCCCCAGGGAGTCTGGGCAGGTGTCCCAGGCCCTCTCCTGACTGGTCCTCCCCATCCACCTCTGCCGCCCACAGATGACAGCCTGGGCTTACTGGAGCTGGACCAGCGGACCCACTTCCCCCAGTTCTCCTACTCGGCCAGCATCCGCGAGTGAGCAGTCTGCCCACGCAGAGGACGCACGCTCGCTGCCATCACCGCTGGGTGGTTTTTTCCCCCTAACTTTTTACTTAGCCTTTTTGGTTTGTGTCCCCACCCCCACCTCCTCACCCCCTTTCCAGTTCTTCTTCAGGCCCCTCCCAGACGCACCCCAGCGGCCCCTGCAGCCCCTGCCTCCAGCCTCCAGCCTCACCTTTGTGCCCAGACTCGCATTTGGAAGACTCCACCTCCCGCCCAGGCCTGGGCTGTTGGGCGGTTGGAGATTCAGGTTTTAATCCACACAAGCCCCAGTGAGGGGTGAAGCATGGCGCCTGGGGCCTGCCTGAGTTTCTGGCCTGGGTGTCGTGCTGGTGTCTGCCTCCGCGCTGCTGCATCTGGACGAAGGCTGCCTTCTGGTGGGACGCGACACCCGGCAGACAGTGGTGCTGCCTTCCAGGCCCCGTGGCCTAGGCTCGGAGTGGCCAGGCACGGGGCGGTCCAATCCCCCACCCGCTGTCCCCCTATGGGGGCAGAAAAGCAATAATGTCCAGGGGCAGGCAGGGGCCCTTGGGAGCTGCAGGGCTGGGGGTTAGGGCTGCTCCCTGGTGAATGGAGTCAGATCCTAGGATCTGTACCATGGGGAACCAGGAGTGGCCGGGCTGGGTGCCGCCTCCTGGTCCGGCCTCCTCCCCACCAAACTGTCCTCACCCTATGGATGAGGCAGGAGGAACATTTGGGGCCAAACCTGCCTGCCTCCCAGCCCCGTGCCTTACTAGGGCTTCCTTCCAGCTGGCCTTACCTCCCGCTGGACCCTGGGCCTGGCCTGGCCCCACTGGGGGCTATGGGCTGGGCTCACCCTCTCCTCTGCGGGGGTGGAGGGCCACCAGCCTTGGCTGTTACAATCTTACACCGGACAGTATTGGGCCCCATGGACTTGGTCAGGGAGGGGTGGGGGTGGGCATCTCTGGTACCTATTGGGGTGGGGGGCCTCTGAAAAGGGAGGCTCCTAGGCCCCCCTCACCCCTCCCTCTCCCCAGGGCCCCACGTTCTGCAGCCTTAAGGTTGAACATGAGTGCACGTCCATGTCAGTGCTGTGGGACTCCTGTGCGTGCCTCGGACTGCGTGTGTCGGCGGGACGCAGGCACACGTGGGTGTGTGTGCATGTGTGTTTGTGTGAGGGCAGCGTGTCCTCCAGTGTGCATGGTGTGTGGGCTTGGGCCCCATCCCTGGCCCGAGCATTTCATCCTGTGGGGGAGGGGTGCTGACCTAGTGGGAGGAGCCCCACTGTGATCCATGAGCTGCCCTGCCCACGCCTCCCCTCCCTGTAGCAACACCTCTGGGTGTTTGGAGTTTAGCTTTTGTGGGTTTGCTCTCCCTATCCCATCTCCTGTACTACACAGTTCATGGCAGGGTGGGGAGGGGTGGGGTTGGTTCGGGTGGGTGAGGGTCTTTTTCCTCTGTGTGCGATGTTGTTATCTGACAGTTCTCCGTCCCTACTGGCCTTTCTCCTCGTCTTCATATTTGTACGGTACAAGCAATAAAGACACTCATTTCAGACCAGGGCCCAGCCTGCACTCACGCCAGCCCAACCACTCTGGGCTTTGCCTTGGTGATGGAGTCAGACCCCTGGGCCCCAGCTCCTCCTGTACTAGCCGTTCCCTTCAGCAAGGAGGGCACTGAGCTCAGGGTGAGGGCAGCTGGGGTGTGTGCAGGAGCTCAGGCTGGAGAGGGTGGGTGGAGCTGGTGCTGTGGGGCTGAGGGGTATGGGAAGGCTCCCCGCATGTGGGGGTGGGGTGGACAGAGACCACTCCAGGCCCTCAGTGCTGCTTAGGCTAAGAGAGGTGGGGTGGAGGGACAGGGCTGGAAGATCTGGGTAGCCCAGAATGAGGAGGGTGCCTGTGCTGTCACTGAATGAGAGGGAGTGGTTCATTCCACCCGGCTGCCGAGCCTCAGAGGGGGGCATTCCTATCCTGCCCCACCTCCCTGTTTATGCTGCCACCTGGAAGCCTTGAGGCCCCCAAATTCCAGTACAGACCCAGTGGTGTGTTCATGGTGGCGTGGTTGCTGTCACCTGGGAGCTCCTGAGCGTTTGGTTAGAACCCTGTTCAGCTTGGGGTCAGCCCTCCCCTAGTCACTGCCCTTTAGCCTGGATGTGTCTGGGCCCCTGCACTTCCCGTGCTTGAGTCACGTGGCTGCATGGCCGGGCGCTGGCCGGATGGAACACCTCCCCCAGCAAGGGACCAGGGACCAGAGCCCTGGCCTGCCCTGCTGAGCCCTGCTGTGCAGAGGGCCTGGCACAGATGAATTTGAGATTTTGCCGCAAGGTGTTAGCACTTCACACCCATTGAGTCTTTGAGATTTTAAGTGAATGTAAGCAGAAAAAGTCAGATCCAATTTACAGAAATCAGAGTTAGCTACAGCTAGGACTCGTTTGGTTGGGGTTTTTTAGTTTGTCTTTCTAAAGTCATGTGGACCTTAATTTAATTACAAAAGTCTACCCTGGTGGTCATAAAATAGGCAGGCCTATGAAGAAAGGCCTTTTACTCTTCCATCTCGTCCCAGCCCCGAGTTGACCCACGTTGCTGCTCCTCACACCATGGTGATGCAGGTCTCGTAGTGTGGGCACAGGCCTGGCTACCTCATCTTTTTAGTGCCTCTCTCCTCTTCCACAGGATGGGGTCCCACAGCTGCAGCAGCTGGCCCCGTAGTTGAGCATGTGTGGTTATCCTGTAGAGCTTTTCCCAAGAAGGGTGTTTGAACTTAGAGTCTTAATAAAATCTTACCAAATAAATTTTGAGTAGAATAATCGTCTTTTGCAATGTACATTTTAAAAATTTCACACATTCTTTTTTGTATATAAAGAACAGTGACTGGGCACAGTGGCTCATGCCTGTAATCCCAGCAATTTGGGAGGCCGAGGCGGGCGGGTCTCTTGAGGCCAGGGGTTCGAGACCAGCCTGGGCATCATAGGGAGACCTTCATCTCTACAAAAAATACAAAAATTAGCTGGGCATGGTGGTGCATGCCTGCAATCCCAGCTAACTTGGAAGGCTGAGGTGAGGTGGGAAGATCACTTGAGCCCAGGAGTTTGAGGCTGCAGTGAGCTATGATTGCGGCACTGCACTGCAGCCTGGGACAATGAGACTGTGTCTCTAAAAATAAAAAAAAAAAAAACATGATACATGCTATTAAAAAAGACAGCAAAGCAGGAGTATAAGAAAGGAAATTCACCCGAGGTCGCAGGGCCTTGAGTACTCATTTTGGTGCTGATTACCTCTCTGCAAATGGACACGGCATCATAAATTGGTAGTTTCCTGCTCTTTTTGTGTAATCTTTTCCAGTTAATGTGAAGCCTCTGGGGGCTGCCCTCGTGCACTGATGGTTGTGTGGAGTCGGGGGCGGCAGTGCGATTCCCTTTTAGCTGCTGCATGGGGGGAACTCAGGCTTTCCAGCTGCTTCCTGGGGTTCCATGGGGTAGACCCCTCAACCGCTTCAGCTGCCCCGTTAACAGGAATTGACTTGGTTTCGTTTGGTGCTACCAGCAGTCCTGTAATAAACTAGCTATCCATCTGTACTGTGCTGGTGCTTTTGTTTGTCTACATCCCAGGATTTTAATGTCCAGTACCTTTCCAAAAAAGTGTAGCCATTCAGATACTTTAAATTTTGAAATAATTGCAGACTTGCAGAAAACTTTCAAAAATAGTGCTGTACTAAGATTATTCCAGGCCTGGGGCAGGAAATGTACAAGATGAGCCTGGGGCATCTTGCAGTGCCTGAAAGCACGCACTGATATGCTTAAGTCACAGGGACACAGGAGCCAACAGAAAGCTTCCAGTGGCCAAAGCTGAAAAGAATTTGAACAACAAAATAAATAGCATAATATTGGGTTTTCACCTAAAATGTGAAATAAGTCTATTGCTAAGTGGCAAAATGGGGAGAATATGCAAATCTACACAAAATCATAAGTAATTTCTGTAGACAGCCTTCAAGGAGGGCTATGGAACCCCCACTTCTTAGGCGTGGGCTGCAGTGACTCCTCCAAAGAGTGCAGTGTGGAGAGGGGGAAAAGTAACTTTTCAGTGAAGGTCCCTGGCAAACACTACATCATCCAGCCAATCGAGGCAAACACTGCTGATGAATCACCTTCACAGTGTCCCTTTAATGTGATAGAATGGCACTTTCCCTCTGATCCTCCTCTTGCAGACACACACCACCTCACTGAGAGGAAGCAGACATCAGACAGATCTCAGTTGAGGGATTTGTCTGCCAAGGTGGTTAATCAGAAAATTCTGAGAAAGTGACACATCCAAGATCAACCAAAAGAGTCATGGTGACTAAATGTAATGTTTCCTGAAATAGAAAAAGAACGTAGGGAAAAAGGAAGGCTTGAATAAAGCATGGACTTAATAGATGAATATTGGTCTAACGGATTGTGACAAATGGGGCACACTAATATGAGATGTTCATTGGGGAAATTGGGTGTGGGGTAGGTGGGAACTGTCAATCTATTCAAAAAAGTTATGTAGAAGAATTACAAAATATACCCTTCGCCAGGTTCGTCATAGCATTTTACTTAAAACGGACAAAAATGGGATCAGAATGTTAAATTCACCCCTCCACCTCCCGCTCCACATTGTATACCTGTCCTAAAGAACATTCTGCTACATAACTGCTCTCCAGTTACCAAGGTCAGGAAGCTAACATTGAAACTGCTCTTCTGTACAGATTTTATAGTGTTCGCTAATGGTCACGCTTAATGTCCTTGTATGTTAAAAATTCCTAGCTAATGACCAGGCTCACATGTTGCATTCAGTTGGCAGGTGTGAAACTCACAGGGCAGTTATTTTGCAGTTATTTTCCCTCAACCAGGGTTGGTTGCCTCACTTTTTTTTTTTCTCTTTTTTTTAAGACGGAGTCTCACTCTATCGCCCAGGCTGGAGTGCCATGGTGCGATATTGGCTCTCTGCAACCTCTGCCTCCAGGGTTCAAGTGATTCTCCTGTCTCAGCCTCACCAGTAGCTGAGATTACAGGCACCCACCACCACACCCAGCTAATTTTTGTATTTTTAGTAGAGACAGGGTTTCACTATGTTGGCCAGGCTGGTCTCGAACTTACCTCAAGTGATCTGCCTGCCTCACCTTCCCAAAGTGCTGGGATTACAGGCGTGAGCCACTGCGCCTGGCCTAAAAGATATATATATATATATATATTTTTTTTTAAAGCTACTTACGTCTCTCCATTTGCCCGCAAGGAAATTCCTTGTGGACAGAAGACAGGCAGAGTTCAAAGTCATCCCTGTGCTCACATGAGACCAATGCATATCTGATGGCTTCCTCCGTCCTATTGTTTGACCCAGACTAGGCATGGATGGCTCTTCCTGTAAATTGTGCATTCAGTAAAAGGCTAATCAAACTCAAAAGAATGCAGCCGTTTGTCTCCTGTCTATGACCTGGAAGCCCCCTCCCCTGCTTCGAGTTGTCTTGCCTTTCCGGACCGAACCAATGTACAGCTTACACATATTGAGGACGTCTCATGTCTCCATAAAACGTATAAAACCAAGCTGTGCCCCGAATACCTCCTGAGGCCGTGTCACACGCACACCCTTAACTTTGGCAAAATAAGCTTTCTAAATTGATTGACACCTATCTCAGATACCTTTTGGTTTACACAGTTAATAAACATCTTGTGTAGAGACATTTTGTAGATATCCCGATTCCTATCAGATGTTCACCCACTAGTTTGAACATCTATTGATATTTCTTGCATGAAACGATGCTGTGGTGGTTGCCAAATAGGATTTTCCAACCTTCTACATTATTAGTTCGGCCAGTCATGGCGGCCCACACCTGTAATCCTAGCACTTTGGGAAGCCAAGGTGGGAGGATTCCTTGAACCCAGGAGTTCAAAACCAGCCTAGGCAACAAAGTGATACCCCAGTCTCTACAGAAAAATTTAAAAATTAGCCAAGCATGATGGCGCACACCTGTAGTCCTAGCTACTTGGGAGGCTGAGATGGGAGGATCACTTGAGCCTAGGAGGTTGAGGCTGCAGTGAGCCGTGTTCACACCACTGCACTCCAGCCTGGGTGACAGAGCGAGACCCTGTCTGAAAACAAAACACATTTATTAGTTCACTTTCTAAAGATTAGAAGAGCTTTTCTTTCCCACTGCCTGAGTTATATCAGAATAAACTTGTATTTTAATTTTATTCAGTGGTTTGTGATCTATGACTATCATCTTGATGCTCACATTTTCTAGATTTAGCTAGTGACTTCTGCATCTATGTGACTTGCCCTGCTGTTGGGACACTTTCTGCCACACAAAAATATTCCAGATCTTGTACCTTCTCTTGTATGACCCTGGGATCAGCCATTTCTCCAGGTAGCCCTGGTTCCTTTTAGTGGAGAATGGGATGTGGCGGCCAGGGTTTGGATGTTAGGGGTGCTTCTCACTATTGGGGTGTCGCTGCTCTTAAGCTCTCCCAGTGGATTAAGCTAGGAAATACATGTTTGCATACACACCACTTTTTAAAAAAAATTTTTTTTTTTTTGAGACGGAGTCTCGCTCTGTCGCCCAAGCTGGAGTACAGTGGCCCAATCTCGCTCACTGCAAGTTCCGCCTCCAGGGTTCATGCCATTCTCCTGCCTCAGCCTCCTGAGTAGCTGGGACTACAGGCTCCCGGCACCACGCCCAGCTAACTTTTTGTATTTTTAGTGGAGATGGGGTTTCACAGTGTTAGCCAGGATGGTCTCCATCTCCTGACCTCGTGATCCGCCCGCCTCGGCCTCCCAAAGTGCTGGGATTACAGGAGTGAGCCACCACACCCGGCCACACAACACTTAACTTCTATGTAAACAACCATGTGTTCACACAATTTTATCTCCAATTCCATTGCGACACCGACACCACAAGGGTCATTCTAACCTCCGATCTATGTTTGTACATCCATCCTCTGACGGTGCAAACCCTGATTCTACATTTTGAAATCATCCCGACTTTATGGTCAGGAAAGCGAGGCCCAGAGGGGCTGCTTCCGGGCAGCAGGATGAGGATCTGTCTCCAGCTGTCCGACCTTAGAGGGCTTCGAGAGGACAGAGCCAGCCTGCGGGGCACTCACCTTTGTGCACCTGCCCGGGCGAGGCGGGCTCAGTGCGCACGCGCCCAGGGGCCTTTAAAGCGCCCGCCGCGCGTCTCTTCCCCTAGCTGCAAGGGTCGGTGCTTGGCCTCGCCCGCAACACCCTCCTGGAGGATGCTGGTGAGAGGCAGGGACCAGGGGTCCGGCTCCCGGCTCGGGCCTATCGTTAGGCGCTGGGCCCCCAGGCCCTCTCCTTTGCAGAGTCTCGCTGCCTCCCTCGACGCAGAGCCTTCAAGCGCCGCAGTCCCCGACGGCTTCCCCGCGGGCCCCACTGTCTCCCCAAGACGCCTGGCGAGGCCGCCGGGGCTGGAGGAGGCGCTGAGCGCGCTGGGGCTGCAGGGAGAACGCGAGTACGCCGGGGACATCTTCGCCGAAGTCATGGTGAGCCTACCCGCCGCCTGCCCTGGTGAGGGCGACGCCGGCCCACCGCCCGGCACCCACTCAACACCACTCTGAACTCCCACCGCTCCAGCCTCTCCTCCCTATCACTGGCAGCCGGCGTTCCTTCCCTGCAACGTCCAGGCTTTTGTTTTGTTTTCACACAGCGCCGTTTCTACCGCTGGGAATGCCCTTTCCCACCGTCCCCGGGCTCTTTGCAGTCCCTCCTGGGGTGTTTATGGTCCCCTGTACTTGTCCTCCACATTTATTTGTTTAACAAATATTTAATGGTTTAGTAGCAAATGTTTTAGGTGCTGGAGATGCTGCAATGCTGGCCTCGTTCTGGGGAGATGAGCAAACACATAGAACAACTAGGGAAAGGCCACGCAAACCAAAACATTGGCCTCGCCAGCCTTCAGATATCCCTATGAGAGGGTTGCTGCGGAAGGAAGACTGAAGGGAGGAGTTTGTTGAACGTCTTGCCTGCGACTCTCCTGGGCCAGGATCTCTGTTAGGACCTGAGAGACACTTGTGTTGTGGGCAGAAGTCCCTGCCCTCGTGGGACTGGCAGCCTAGCGGCCAAATAGACAAAGCACACAGGGAGACATCTTCACAGTGAAAATGCTGAGACAAAGAGATAGTGATCGGGTGGTAGGAGTATAGACAAAGTCATGGAGATGTTAGCTGAATGACGGAAAGGTCGAGTAAGGGGCTGGGGAAGGACCCTCTCTGTAGAGGAAACAGGAAGTGCAAAGGGCCTGGGGTAGGAATGGGCTTGGTATAGTCTAGGAGCTAAAAAGAAGGCAGCTGTGGCTGACGCATGGGTTGTGGGGAGAGAGAGGGAAGAGGTGATGCTGGAGCAGAGCCTGAAAGAAATCAGAGTTTTCTCCAAGGGTACTGGGAGCCATGGAAGGGTTTTAAGCTGGGGAGTTCCTTGGTCAGATCTTTCTTTGGGAAGATGCTTCTGGGTGCTCTGAGGCAGAGGGGTTGAGGATTCGTGGTCAAGAGTTGAAGTCTGAGGCCGGGTGCAGTGGCTCATACCTGTAATCCCAGCACTTTGGGAGGCTGAGGTGGGCGGATCACCTGAGGTCAGGAGTTCAAGACCAGTCTGGTCAACATGGTGAAACCCCGTCTCTACAAAAATATAAAAATTAGCCGGGCATGGTGCCACATGCCTGTAATCCCAGCTACTAGGGAGGCTGAGGCGGGAGAATCGCTTGAACCCAGGAGGCGGATGTTGCAGTGAGCCAAGATTGCGCCATTGCACTCCAGCCTGGGCAACAGAGTGACTTTGTCTCAAAAAAAAAAAAAAAAAGTGAAGTCTGGGAACCTAGAGGGAGACGCCCAGGAGTCCACGTGGCGGAGAGGTGGGTATGGAGGCATCTGGAACGAAGCCCAGAGTTCTAGGTGAGGACACGTAAGAGGAGCTCATTTGGAGGCCAGTTTGGGTGTGGCATGCCTAAGATGTCCAACTGACTGGAGGAGGCTGCTGCATCCAGGGCTGGAGCTCAGGAGAAAGGCAGAGGCACAGGTGTGGAGAGTGAAGCGTCCCTGCCCCAACCCCAGGTGTGCCGCGTGCTGCCCCTGAGAGCCCTGCCCCGCGCTGTGACCCCGGAGATGCGCGCCCTGGTGGTAGACTGGCTGGTCCAGGTGCACGTAGGTATCTGGAAGGGTGTGGGGGGCTGAGTTTGCGTCGCCGCCCAGGACCCCGTGGTCACCCTTGCCCCTCCTCAGGAGTACCTGGGTCTGGCTGGTGACACACTTTATCTGGCGGTTCACCTGCTTGATTCCTACCTGAGCGCTGGCCGCGTGCGTCTACATCGCCTGCAGCTGCTGGGCGTGGCTTGCCTGTTTGTGGCGTGCAAAATGGAAGAGTGCGTGCTTCCCGAGGTACTTCCGGGGTGGGGTTTGGGAGGGTGGATGGAGTCCTTTGGGGAGTAACTGATTCAGTGACTACTGTGTGCCAAGCACCGTGCTGAGTCTGGGATTCCCAACATGTATGAGGGAGGGGCTGTCAATGTGTCCCTTAAACAGAAGAGGAGACCGAGGCTCAGAGAGAGGAAGACATTTGCCCCAAATCAAGCAGTTGGAACTTGGACTCAGTCTAGAATAGTCTGTCTTAAGGCTGGGGGTGGTGGCTCACGCCTGTAATCTCAGCACCTTGGAAGGCTGAAACCGGCAGATCACTTGAGATCAGGAGTTTGAGACCAGCCTGACCAACATGGTGAAACCCTGTCTCTACTAAAAATATAAAAATTAGCCAGGTGTGGTGGTGCACGCCTGTAGGCCCAGCTACTCAGGAGGCTGAAGTAGGATAATTGCTTGAACCCAGGAGGCGGAGGTTGCTGTGAGGTGAGATCGCGCTACTGCACTCCAAAAAAACAAACAACAACAACAAAAAAAAACAAAACAAATCACTTTGGGGAGCCAAGGTGACCTCGTCTCTAATTTAGAAAAGTAAATAAAAATAATATAAACTAGTCCATCTTGAATAGTTACCGTCAACATGCATGAATTCAGTGCCTTATCAGAACTGCCTGGTGAAGCAGGGAGTAGTATCTGTTTTACGGGGGGCGGGGGGTAGCTGAGGCAGAGAGCTTAAGTGAATGTCCTATGTCACACAGTGAGCAGATGATGGGGTTTGAACTCGAACCTAGGTCTTGAACCCAGGACCCTCAAGCCCGTGCTCTCTACGACTTCCAGACACAAGTCAATGGCCCCATTTTACACACCAGGAAACTGAGGTCCGGAACTTGGGGCCTTTCCAGGGCAGGGAGTAAAGAGCCCGGATCCAAGACTCCTTCACCTCCCCCCGCATCCCCCATCTGCAGCCCGCCTTCCTCTGCCTCCTGAGCGCGGACTCCTTCTCACGGGCGGAGCTGCTGCGCGCCGAGCGTCGCATCCTGAGCCGCCTGGATTTCCGGCTGCACCACCCCGGCCCGCTGCTGTGCCTCGGGCTGCTGGCCGCGCTGGCAGGGAGCAGCCCCCAGGTGAGCCCTTGTGAATACGCGGGGTGGGGGCGTGGCCGGCGCGAAGTGGGGCGTGGCCTGACAGTCGCCCCGCCTCACTTGCAGGTGATGTTACTTGCCACCTACTTCCTGGAGCTGTCTTTGCTGGAGGCCGAGGCGGCGGGATGGGAGCCGGGTCGTCGTGCGGCTGCGGCTCTGAGCCTGGCGCACCGCTTGCTCGACGGGGCGGGCTCCAGGCTCCAGCCAGAACTTTACAGGTGTAGTCTTGGCGGAGGAAGTGTATGGGGTCACCGCAGCTTCAGGGACTTACCTTCCTGGTCATTTTTACGGTCTCGGAGAATGAGAGACAATTATTGAGGAGGAGGTGGCACCTAGACTTGATTTTTCTGGGTGTGGGAGAGAATGGGGTGGGAGGACCCCATTAGTCCAGATCTGGGGTCTCTTAACCTTGCCCCAGAGTGGAAGATAGTCTCCCAGGCCCAGAAGATGCTCCTATTGCCTTCCAGGGCTGAGAACGAAGGATCACCCAGGCCTCGAGTCCTCCATCTCTGTATCTGGTGGTGGATGGGGTGTTCCTTTAGCTGCTAGGGCCGCTAACCATGCTACCAGGTGGCAGGGCGAACCATGGTTTCCCTCAGCCTGTGCACCCAGCATAGAGAGGATGGCTGCCCATCCTCAGCTCCCCTCCTTGCTTCCTCGAGTGTTCTGACTCCGCACTAGCCGCGCCCTGTAGGAAGAATAGGGTGTCCACCTCTCCCCGGTGCTCGCCTAGTCACTCCAGTTGAAGACGGGACGCGTGCCCGATCTCAAGAGAGCCCCCGACCCGTCCGTGGGGAACCACATCGACGCTTCTTCTCAGCCTCCAGTCTCCAGTTCCAAGGATGGGTCATCTCCAACCACTTGCCCTGCCTCAGTTTCTCCATCTCCCTGCTGCAGCCCCGAGGAACTGGGCACCCTCGAGCCGTGCATGGCCCGCGCTGCGCTCCGAGGTCCCGCGCCGGGTCGCGCCGCAGTCTTCCTCAAGTATGCGCGGCCCCAGCGCCAGGGGACCAGCCTTGCCGCCGCCTGCCTGCTCCGCCGCCTCCAGTCTGAGCCTCCCTGAGTACTGGGACTCAGTCACAAAAAAATCAACAACAAAAAACAAAACCCTCCCAGTGTGTGTCCGTCTCTCATCTCAATAAAAGAATTTATTTTATTCTGAGCGCTCTCTGCCCTCATTGGTCGAATTCCGGTCCCCTCTCGCTTTTGATTGGTCGCTTTCTAGGCCTCGCATCCCTCTGATTGGATGTGCTCACCACTTCCTTTAATGGTTGCTGGGAGATAAAATGCAAATTCTGAACTCCTCCACCAGGGGGCAATGGCGGGCTTCCCCAAGAGTCATTCAGCGGGATAAAACTGGGATCCCTTAAGGACTGGCAAAAAATCACAAGAGATGGGGACTGTGGGGGAGTTGAGAATGCCCATCCCGGTCAGAAGAAATGCTACCTCGATGTTGCCGGATTTTCAGATCTTATTCAAGTAAACCTGAGATTCTGCAATTCCATATCTGCGTTTAGATGTCAACTAATTCAGTCTTTCTGTTTTTGTTGTTGTTTTAGACGGAGTTTCGTTCTTGTTGCCCAGGCTGCTGGAGTGCAATGGCGCGGTCTCGGCTCACTGCAAACTCCGCCTCCCGGGTTCAAATGATTCTCTTGCCTCAGCTTCCCAAATAGCTGGGATTACAGGCTCCTGCCACCACGCCCGGCTAATTTTTGTATTTTTAGTAGAGACATGTTTCACCATGTTGGCCAGGCTGGTCTCGAACTCCTAACCTCAGGTGATCCTCCCGCCTCGGCCTCCCAAAGTGCTGGGATTACAGGCTTGAGCCACCGTACCCGGCCTAATTCAATATTTCTTAATGGTTGTACAAGCCCAACACATCACATATACTGGGCTATGAAGATAGGTTCTCCCAAGCCTGGAAGATGCTCTGCGAAGGTCATCAGTTTGTAGTAGTAAGTCCTGGATAGTAAGAGTTTTATCAATGGGGTCTGATATACTTAACCTGGGAAGTGCCCAGGTGTCAGTGGGGATAATTATGGTACCAACCTCCTGACACTGTGGTGAGGATGTGAGTTAAAATATACGTAAAGCAGCCAGGTGCGATGGCTCAAGTCTATAATCCCAGCACTCTGGGAGACCGAGGCGGGCGGATCACGAGGTCAGGAGTTTGGGACCGGCCTGGTCAACATAGTGAAACCCCGTCTCTACTAAAAATGCAACAAATTAGCTGGGTGTGGTGGCGGGCTTCTATAATCCGAGCTACTCAGGAGGCTGATGCAAGAAAATCGCTTGAACCCGGAAGGTGGATGTTGCCGTGAGCCGAGGTCACGTCATTGCACTCCAGCCCCGGCGACAGTGCAAGACTCCATCTCAAAATAAATAATAAAAAATAAATAAAAGGGAAAGCTCTTTATGACAATGTCTGACACCTAGGAGGTGTTGTAAAAGTGTTAGCATTGCATCCCAGCAGGACTGTGATTTTAGGTACAGTTGTCCTGTGCTACTGTGCCTGGGTACCTAGGCATTTACTTCGTCAGAAAACATGGTTATGAATCAACGGATCTCCTTTTTTTTTTATTTTTTTTTTTGAGACAGGGTCTCACTCTGTCATCATTCAGGTTGGAGTGCAGTGGTGTGATCTCAGCTCACTGCAACTTCCACCTCTTGGGTTCAAGCAATCCTCCCGCCTCAGCCTTCCAAGTGGTGCACGCCACCACCCCTGGCTAATTTTTTGTATTTTTGGTAGAGACAAGGTTTTGCCATGTTGCCCAGGCTGGTCTCGAACTCCTGAATTCAGGTGATCCACTTGCCCCGGCCTTCCAAAGTCCTGGGATTACAGGTGTGAGTCACTGCGCCCAGCCAGATCTCTGTGTTTTTCATTACAAAACAGACACACCGGAGGTAGGGAAAGGTGTGTGCACTGCTCAAGAACTCAAATTCATGAGTTTTACACTCCTAACTGAGCCTGGGTTTGGAGATGCAGAGAGGAAAATGTTTGCACCCCTGAGGTGTTCAAGGCTGGACCCCAGGGATAAGGGAGAAACTCACTCAGCAAAAGCGTTTTACAGCAAAGTACAATAAGAGATAGAGGCAGATGCTCTGGTTGAGATGGAAGGTGCTGAGTTCTGGTTTCTGTCTGTCACATGTGACCTGCCATGGGACCTCCAGCTAGAGGATGTGCTGTGGGGGTGGAGTTGGGGAGAGTGGGGAGGCCTGGGGCTGAGACCCAAGCTAGAGTCTCAGAGGAGGGGGAGGAGTAGTAATGCATAATGCCATTCACTCACACACTCATTCATTCAACAACTATATATGGATGCTGACTCAGAGCCAGGCACTCATGATCACATGACTCAGAGTCTAATGGACGATAAGAAACACCAGTTGTTAATTGCCCATTAATGTATGAAGCCCTGTGCTAAGTGCCTTACCTGCATAAGATAATTCAGTCTCTGCAACCGCTCTGAGGTTAACTTGCCTTCTATCCTCATGTCGCACAGACGAAGCCGAAGGAGGAGGATCGAGGAACTTGGCCCAGGTCCCACAGCTAAGGAGGCGGCAAAGGAGGACTGAAGGGCAGTTGACTCATTCATCCTCGATTTTTTTCTTGAAAGCCTCCTGCATGCTTCCTTTCCTGGGGACTTGTTTGCCCTCTCACTTGTTTTCCCCCATAGACAGCCGAGCTGGATGAGGGCAAGAAGGAGATCTCTCTTGTTTTTAGAGTTATTCCCTCCTCCAGGAAGACTTTATCACCACCTCAGCCCAGGGCAGGTACCTCCCACATCCCAGCCCCGACCCCTCTGCCTGTGCCTCTTCCACCTCGGCCCCGACCCCTCTGCCTGTGCTTCCCAGGCTAGCCTGCTCAGGGCTGTCACTGTCTGGTCACTGGTCTGTCTTCCCACTGAACTGGGGCCCAGTGAGAGTAGGGTCTGAAGCTCACGCAGTGTCTGCTATGTCCCAGCATCATCCAGCACAGAGCTGGGCACAGAAAGGATGTCAGTGAATATTTGTTTCATAAATTAACAGATGAATCCCAAAGGTGGTATTATTTTTAATTCCTTTCCTTTCCTTTTTTCTCTTTCCTCTTTCCCCTTTCCCCTTTCCTTTCCTTTCCTTTCCTTTCCTTTCCTTTCCTTTCCTTTCCTTTCCTTTCCTTTCCTTTCCTTTTTTGAGACGGCATCTCCCTCTGTCACCCAGGCTGGAGTGCAGTGGCACAATCTCGGCTCACTGCAACCTCTGCCTCCCAGGTTCAAGTGATTCTCCTGCCTCAGTCTCCCGAGTAGCTGGGACTACAGGTGCACGCCACCACACCAGGCTAATTTTTGTGTATATATACAAAAATTTTGTATATATTGTATATTAGTAGAGACGGAGTTTTGCCATATTGGCCAGGCTGGTCTCAAACTTCTGACCTCAAGCGATCCATCCACCTCGACCTCCCAAAGTGCTGGGATTACAGGCGTGAGCCACCTCGACTGGCCCTAAAGGTGATATTATTGTGCCATGTTACTGATGAGGATACAGAGTTCCAGGTAGTTTAAGCGAGCTGTCTAAGTCATACCACTAGTGAGAAAGTAAGCAGGGATTTGAATTTGGGAAGCTTGGGTCCAAATCCTGTGTTCTCATTCGATATGCCAAATGGCCAGTGGGCTGAGAGCCAGCTTTCCGTGAGGCTGATGTCTTCCTGCTCTTTCCCCCAGGCTCGTCCTTTCCTTCTAGAAATCTTCGGGAGCTTTGGGCACCGGGGAGGAGAGCAGGCAGGAGGTTGGGGAGGGTAAGGGGAATGGGAACAATTCGGGGGGCGGGCTGGAGAACTAGGACTTGGTTAATTTGAGAGTGAGCATGGGGGAAGTCTCGAGGGGTTTCCCTAGACCCATAGGGGGCAGCCGGAGTCGGCTGCCGGAGGTGAGGGGGCGGAGAAAGGGTGGGGACCAGCCCCGCGGGGGGCGATGCGGTAGCTGCAGCGGCGGCGGCAGGAGTTTCCCACAATGCAGCGCGGCGCGCTGTCCCCGGTGCTGATGCTCAGCGCTGCCCCGGAGCCTCCGCCGCGCCCGCCTCCCGCCCTCTCCCCACCGGGCTCGGGCCCAGGCTCGGGCTCCCGCCATGGCTCGGCTCGTCCCGGTCCTACCCCAGAGCCGTCGGGGAGCCTGGGCGCGGCGCTCGACAGCAGCCTGCGTGCCGCCGTGGCGTTCAAGGCAGAGGGCCAGCGCTGCTATCGAGAGAAGAAGTTCCGGGAGGCCATCGGCAAGTACCACCGAGCGCTGCTGCAGCTGAAGGCGGCGCAGGGGGCCCGCCCTAGCGGCCTGCCCGCCCCCGCCCCCGGGCCCACCAGCAGCCCCGGGCCGGCGCGCCTCAGCGAGGAGCAGCGGCGCCTGGTGGAGAGCACGGAGGTGGAGTGTTACGACTCCCTCACGGGTACGCCGTCGGGGGGTGGGGGGATGGGGCACGAGGGGAGGGGGCAATCGGGAGAGCTTGGCGACTTGGGGGCCAGGGGCCCTGGGGCTGAAGGGTCCAGGGCTGTGGGCTTCTGGGGGAGCCTTCAGAGCTTGATCAAGGAAAGGGATTAGGGGTAGGGGATGACAGGGGTCTGTGGCTGGAGGGAGCTGGGATGCAGGAAATGGTCTTTGGGTCGGGTATTCAGGGCCTCGCTTCCCCTGAGTCATTCTTTCCACCCCCTGGCCGCACGTGGACCCAAGGTGAGGAAGTCTGCCCTGAGCCAGGCTCTCGAGGTCCCGGCCCTCGCCCCCGCGCGGGGCCTTAGTGCTCTTGCCCACCGACAGCTCTGGGTGGATCGCCCAGTGGCGCCTGTCCGTGTTTTGGCGCCCCCTAGCAGCGGCGCAGTTGCGCCTGTTTCGATAGGCGAGCGGATTGGCGCCCCTGGTTGCCGGAGCAATCCCTTAGGCCTGGTTCCCTGCCGCCTGGAGCCTCGGCTCCTCGCAGTCAGGTGGGTTCTGGGGGTGCCAGCAGGCTCTGAGAGTGCCGGCCGCGGGGCCCTCGCAGCTTGCCTGCTGCAGTCGGAGCTGGTAAACTACGAGCGCGTGCGCGAGTACTGTCTCAAGGTACTGGAGAAGCAGCAGGGCAACTTCAAGGCCACCTACCGTGCCGGCATTGCCTTCTACCACCTGGGCGACTACGCACGCGCGCTGCGCTACCTGCAGGAGGCCCGCAGCCGGGAACCCACAGGTGAGTGGCGGGGCGGGGCAGAGGTGAGGGCTGGGCCCAGGGCGGGGAAAGGGGCTGCAGCGGAGGGAACAGGCAGGAAGATCAGGGCAGAATAGCAGAGCCCTCCTCCCGCGGAGCTGCTTCTAGGTAGGGCTGCGCCACCCACCTACTCCCTACACGCCCACTCATCCATTCATCCACCCCGCCCTTCACCCGCCATTCAAACATCCGTCCACCTATCGCTCCTCTGACATCTCCCCGGCCATTTCTCATCTACCGTCATTGCCACATCTGATATCTCCTATTCACCTGCTCAGTCACTTCCCTATCCACCCACTGTCATCTCCATTACCCCGTCCCACCCCTGCCTACCGCACACACTCATTCCTCCACTCACCCATTCACGCACACCTATTCATTCACTTCCTGCACCATCCACTCATCCACTCGGGTGGACGATGCCAGGAAATTGGGGTGTGTGTGTGTGTGCGTGCATGTGTGCACTTACACACATGAGTGCAGGAGGGCAGACACAACACTCAGTTTTGTATTAAGAGCCAATGAAGAAGGAAGAGGGATTACAACAGGTGCAGGGTTGTGGGAGCCGAGACGAGATTAGTTTTCCTGTTAAGTGGCTCGGAGAGAACAGACTTCTTGCAGATGTCGCTGGAGGATGAGAAGTGTGACGGGAGCCTCTGCGAAGAGGCATTCCTGGCAGAGGGTGCCGCAAATACAGGCGCACAGAGGTGTGCGATGGCTCCGCTGTGACTGGGGACTGCCGACTGTGACTGGGGCTTTGGGGAAGGGCTCTGGCTCTACTGGCTGTGTGAGCGAGCTGCTGGATACTTCGGAGAATGGGGTGTGAGCCAGGGAGGTGTGGAAGTCACCTGCTGCCCCGGGACACCCAGATGATGCCCTGCCCACCTCCCCTGCAGACACCAATGTGCTCCGCTACATCCAGCTGACTCAGCTGAAGATGAATCGTTGCAGCCTCCAGCGGGAAGACAGTGGGGCTGGGTCCCAGACTCGGGATGTAATTGGCTGAGGCCAATCCAGGGGGACCTCTCTATCCCTCGCCCTCCCACCTCACCATGTAACTTCCCCCGACTCATGTGTTTGTTGGTAAAACACTTGTCACTGGTGATCATAACTTGTGTGGTGTTCTTGGGGGGACCAGGGAGGGCCTCATCCCTTGGACCTTAGAAACCCAGAGAAGCCCAGGGAGGGTGTGTGGGGTCGGGGGGAATGTTCCACTGGGATGACCCAGCATCAGGGCCTGGGCCAGGGAAAGAAACAGTCTAGGCCAGGCGCAGTGGCTCACGCCTGTAATCCCAGCATTTTGGGAGGCCGAGATGGGTGGATCACTTGAGGTCAGGAGTTTGAGAGCAGCCTGGTCGACATGGTGAAACCCTGTCTCTACCAAAAATACAAAAATTATCTGGGTGTGGTGGCGGGAGCCTGTAGTCCCAGCTACTCATGAGGCTGAGGCAGAAGAATCACTTGAACCCAGGAGGCGGAGGTTGCAGTGAGCTGAGATGGTGCCACTGCACTCCAGCCTGGGCAACAGAGCAAGACTCTGTCTCCAAAAAAAAAAAAAAAAAAAAAAGGAAAAAGGAACACAATCAAGTGCGGTAGGGGGCAGGGGTTACCTTTAATGCTCCATTTTGTGCCAAATCCCCCATGATGCCCTGTCCCTGAGTATCCCTGCCCACCCTCCCCCCAGTGCAGGGTGGGCACAGGGCTCCACCCCCTGGGGTACAAAGGAATAAGTTAAGTGTCCCCCCCCTCCCTCCTTCCCCAATAAATAGAGTGAACATCCTGCCCAGGGCCTCCCCCACCTTGTGGCATGGCGGGCTGGGGCAGGGCCTGGGGCGCTACATTCATGGCTGCCCAGGCGGGCGGTGGTGGGCAGGCCTTAGTGGGAGCCGTGGGCCCCGCACAGGGGCACTGTGCTGTCTTGGTTCTGCCCCTCCATGTCCATGTCCAGCAGTGTGGGCTGCACGCTGGGGGGCCCAGGGCTCTCCGGAGTGTCTGGCCTGCTGGGAGGCGAGATGGTGAGTGTCCGGCCGAAGGAGACCAGTTTCCAGGGGTCCAAGCGGGGGCGACTGGCAGCCGGCCGAGGTCTCGGGGCAAAGGTCAGGGTGGTGGGGCGGCCTGGGAACTCAGGGGGCCGGCGGCGGGCTGGGAACAGGGCCTGGGGGTCGGGCAGGCGGGGGAAGTCCAGAAGGTCACGAGGGCCTGGTAAGAGAGGTTCAGAGGAGGTGAGTGGGGTGGGGCAGAGGGTGGCATTAAAAAGCCCAGAGCTGTTACATGAAAAGCACAAGTTCTGGTTTCTCTCGAGAAATCCGTGGATCTTGCTGCATCCAGTTTCCATCTGTAGTGTGGCAGTGCTGGGACCTTGACCTAGACTGGGACCACTCCCAGCTGCTTGCTCCTCTGGGTGGACCCTGGCATGTTCCTCAACCTTCTGGAACTGCTGCTTAGCGGCAGCCTCGGGGGCCAAAGCCCTGGTCTTCCCGACTCTCCTGCACTGGGCTAAGCTCAGGCATGGCTTAGCTCTGAAGGGGGATAAAAATGGTGCCTCACCACGCAGGTGAGGAGCAAATAGAATAACCATAACTTAAAACAAGCAGCACAGTGCCTGACGTGGGTACTTAATAACACTGCTATGGCCGCATCTCCCACCCAGTTAACAGATGGAGGAGAACAGTGTCTAGGCTGTGTAAGAATTGGCGATGGTCATGCTGGTCACAACCGCTATAGGCACCTGCCTGGCCTTATAGGCATCAGTTTGCCGCCTGTGTCTCAGTCCCCTGGAGACCCCCGATGCCTCCAGGAGTGAGCGGTAAAGGGACACAGACCCTCCCTCCTCCACAAGAAGCAGGAGGTGGCTGCCTGAGGGGTCGTGGCTGGGCTGGACTTGCGACCCTGGCAGAGGAGGAAAGAAGGGGTTTTCTGTGACCTGGGTGCAGGGCGCCTCACTCACCAGGGCCATGGCCCGCGGGCTCGGGCGGCCCCCGCTGCCCCAGCGCCCCGTCCGATGGCGTCCGCCGGTGCCCGCGGCTCACAGCGCATGCAGCCGTGACGTGGGTGGGCGTGAGCGACTGGCGGGGGTCCTTCTTGAAGCTCTCCAGCTCCAGGTCCACCAGGGGGTTGGTGCTGGGCGAGGGCGTGGGTGTGGGCGCGGGCGGGGAGGGTGGTGGGGAGGGCGCGGCCGGTGCGGCCTCGTCACTGTCAGAGCGCAGCAGTGAACGCGTGGAGTTGCAGTCGGACACGGACGACAGCGACACGAGGGTGGCCGAGGGCGCCAGGCCCAGGCCGGGGCCCACGTCTTCGCGGCGGCCGTGGGGACGCGCGGGTGGGCTGAGGCCCCGCGGGAAGCGGCCGGCGCGGGGAAAGAAGAGGCCGTCGAGCCAGCGCCGCTGCTCCTCACCGTCGGCCGCGCGCGCCTCGGCCACGTCGGCGCCCAGGCCCACAGCCCCCAGCAGCGTGGCGCAGCCTAGCAGCGCCAGGTCGCAGCGCCGCCGGGCGCCGTGTCCCCACCGAGCGGGGGGCGCGGACGGCGTCGGCTCCCACGGCGCCCGCGCCCCCGGGGAGGGCTCGGCAGGCAGTGGCACTGAGAGGTAGGACGGGGTCGAGTAGGGGGAAGGGGGCACGCTGCTGCCTCCATCCTCTGCCTCCGCGAACTCCTCTGCAACCGGAGAGGGCCATCACTCCGCTGCAGGGCTGGCCAGGGCCCCACGGGGACTTGTGCCAAGGGACAGCCCCCGATGACCCCTCCAACAGCAAGACCAAGACCCACGAGCATCGTTCTTGAATCTGTCTCCAGGAGAAGCCTCAGAGAAGGGTGGTCCCTGCCCCTGGAAATGACCCCCCACGCCCCAGGGGCCACCATCTCCCTTCCCAGGAAGGCCTTCCACTCACTGGCCCAGTGAAACCTGGTCTCTTCGCTCAGCCCCAGGAGGCTCACCCCTTTGGCCAGGGAACCCCCACCCCCTTACAAGAACCCAGGCTCTTACCCATCTCATTGAGGCTGGCAAAGCCAGGGGCGATGGGTGTGTGTTTGGGGGACTTGCCCAGGTTGGGGGCACTTGATGACCACTGTTTGCTTCCTTCCCCCAGCCCCTTCAGCCTGCGGGGTCCAGGGAGAGATGGAGACCTCAGTCCTGTGGCCTGGAGCCTGGGAGCTGGGGCTTGGGCACAGGGTGGGCATGACCACACCACACCTCACCTCTCCTCTCCTCCCACCCGCTCCTTCTGCAGGGTGGAGCTGGGCCCCCACGTTCGTCCCTTCTTCTTGCCCCCGACCAGTTCTTCCTTCTTTGGGGGCCCACCGCGGCTCCATGTCCCACTTCCTCCACTGCTGCTGCCACTGCTGCTGCCACCACAGTCCACGGGAGTCACTGGGTCCAGAGAAGCCACTTGGTTACTGGGTGGAGGATCTGTCCCCACTGGGCTCCCAGCCTCCAGTGCCCCCAGCTCAGGCCCACCCTCCGCCTGGGAGTCCAAGGGCTCTTTTGAACTCCAGTCATGACCCTCCCTGCTATATATCTCCCCATAGCCCCCTACTGCTGTCAGGACAAGGTTCCAGCTCCTCCGCCTGGCACTGAAGGCCATGAGCGGTTCCCTGCCAACTCCTCCAGCCTCCCCTCCTCTTCACAGCCTAACCCTTCACCATTCATTCTGGCGGGCTGCCTGCGCTTCTGGTCTCCAGCTCTGGGTAGTTAGTTCCCTGGGGGTCAGCTGCCTTCATCTCTGTACCTGCAATGCTCTGGACCTATCTGGTGCCAGTGTTTGCTGCCATGGTATGGGTATTTGTCTCTGTGTCCCCTGCAGGACTGACCTCCTGGGCCTGGTACAAAGCAGGTGCCCAGACAGAGGGCAGGGGGGCTGTGGGTGGGGACAGTGCTGGGGTGAATGAGGTGTTGGAACTTGGGAGCTAGCCTTTCACCCTTCAACCCACCAGGAAACTCCGATGACCGTGTCTCTGCCATATAGCCCCGACTGTGGACATCTGTCCCTTCCAAGTCCCCCACCCTGGCCTGGCCTCCATCATCTCACTGCTTTCTCCACCTTTATTTCTTACAGCAGCCAGAGGGAAAAAGGTCAATTTGATTCCCTCAGTGCCTTGCTCGCATGGCTCTGGGGGCTGCCCCAGGGCAGTTAAAAGAAAATCCATACCAGGCCAGGTGCGGTGGCTCTTGCCTGGAATCCCAGCACTTTGGGAGGCCCAGGCAGAAGAATCACTTGAGGTCAGGAGTTGGAGACCAGCCTGGCCAACATGGTGAAAACCCCATCTCTACTAAAAATACAAAAATTAGCCAGGCATGGTGGTGCAGGCCTGTAGTCCCAGCTACTTGGGAGGCTGAGGCAGGAGAATCGCTTGAACCTGGGAGGCAGAGGTTGCAGTGAGTTGAGATCGCACCATTGCACTCCAGCCTGGGAGACAGAGCGAGCGTCTGTCTCACCATGGAATACTATGCAGCCATAAAAAGGAACGAGATCATGTCCTTTGCAGGGACATGGATGGAGCTGGAAGCCATTATCCTCAGCAAAATAATGCAGGAACAGAAAGCCAAACACTGCATGTTCTCACTTATAAGTGAGAGCTGAGCAAATAGATCACATGGACACAGGGAGGGGAACAACGGACACTGGGGCCTGTTGGGGGGTAGGGTGGGGGAGGGAGAATATTAGGAAAAATAGCTAATGCATGGGCTTACTACCTAGGTGATGGGTTGACAGGTGCAGCAAATCACCATGGCACACGTTTACCTATGTAACAAACCTGCACATCCTGCACACGTACCCCAGAACTAAAAACAAAAATTAAAAACAAAAAAATCCATACCAAAGGTGTCAAATGAAAATTAAAAAAAAAAAAAAAAAAGAAAGGAAAATCCAGACTCTTATCCTGCTCTCAGGGCCCTGCCTGATCTGACCCCTGAGAACTCCCTGATCACAAAACCTATGTCCTCCTCCCATTCACTCTGCTCCAGCCAAACAGGTTAACAAGCAGCCCATGCTGTTCTCACCTCCAGCTTTTGCCTTTGCTGCTCCCTCCGCCAGGGGCATGCTTCCCTGAGGTCTCAGCCTGTCTCACTCAGCAGGAAGGTCCCTGCTCAAACCTCACCTCCTCCCATAGGGCTTCCAGATGGAAAATCGCAACCCTTCTGTGATGGGTAATTTTATGCGTCAACTTGACTGGGCCAAAGGACGCCTAGGTAGCTGGTTAAACATGATTTCTGTGAGGGTGTTGCTGGATGATTAGCATTTCAATCAGTGGACTGAGTAAAGAGAGATCATCCTCGCCAATGTGGGTGGGCACCATCCAATCCACTGAGGGCCCAGACAGAACAAAAAGAGAGTTAGCTCTTTTTGTCTAGGAAGGCAGAGGAAGGGTGAGTTTGCTCTCTGCATGAGCGTGGATATCCATCTTCTCCTGCCCTGAGACACTGGACATTGGTGTTCAGGTTCTCAGGTCTTTGGACAATTTTTTTTTTTTTTGAGACTGAGTCTCACTCTGTCGCCCAGGCTGGAGTGCAGTGGCACGATCTCGGCTCACTGCAACCTCCGCCTCTCAGGTTCAAGTGATTCTCCTGCCTCAGTCTCCCGAGTAGCTGGGATTACAGGCATGCGCCACCACGCCTAGCTAATTTTTGCATTTTTAGTAGAGACTGGGTTTCACCATGTTGGCCAGGCTGGTCTTGAACTCTTGACCTCAGGTGATCCACCTGCCTCGGTCTCCCAAAGTGTTGGGATTACAGGCGTGAGCCGCCGTGCTGGGCCAGGTCTTTGGACTTGATTTGGAACTACATCACCGGCTTTCCCGCACCTCTGGCTTGCAGAAGGCAGATTGCAGGACTTCCCAGCCTCCATAATCGTATGTGCCAATCCCTCATAATACATCTATTTCTTTTGTTTTTGTTTTTGTTTTTTTTGAGACGGAGTCTCGCTCTTTCGCCCAGGCCGGAGTGCAGTGACGCTATCTCGGCTCACTGCATGCTCCGCCTCCCGGGCTCATGCCATTTTCCTGCCTCAGCCTCCCGAGTAGCTGGGACTACAGGTGCCTGTCACAGCACCTGGCTGACTTTTTGTATTTTTAGTAGAGACGGGGTTTCACCGTATTAGCCAGGATGGTCTCGATCTCCTGACCTCGTGATCCGCCTGCCTCGGCCTCCCAAAGTGCTGGAATTACAGGCGTGAGCCACCGCGCCTGGCCTTTGTTTTTGTTTTTAAGTAGAGATGGGGTCTCGCTTTGTTGCCCAGGCTGGTGTCGAACTCCTAGGCTCAAGCAATCCTCCCACTTCATCCTCCCAAAGTGCTGGGATTACAGGTATGAGTCATCGTGCCCAGCCAATACATCTCTTTCTATATATCTAAACATATGCTGTTGATTCTGTTTCTCTGAAGAACTCCGATTAATACATCTCCTCTTTTATTCCCTTCCCTGAGCTCCTTTAAAGAACTTATCACTACTAGAAATTATCCTGCGCCCGGGCGCGGTGGCTCATGCTGTAATCCCAGCACTTTGTGAGGCTGAGGTGGGTGGATCACTTGAGGTCAGGAGTTCGATACCAGCCTGGCCAACATGGTGAAACCCCCATCTCTATTAAAAATACAAAAAATTAGGCAGGCGTGGTCATGTGTGACTGTAACCACAGCTACTCGGGAGGCTGAGGCAGGAGAATCGCTGGAACCCAGGAGGCGGAGGTTGCAGTGAGCTAAGATTGCACCACTGCACTCCAGCCTGGGAGATAGAGCGAGACTCTGTCTGTCTCCAAAAAAAAAGAAAAAAAAAAAAAAGAAATTATCCTGCTTACTGACTTATTTGTTTACTATCTGTTTCCTGTGATAAGAATGAGGAAAAGGGCCTTGTCTGTCTTCTTTCTTGCTGTTACTCTGGCTTGGTGCCAGGTATAAACATCGTGCTAAAAAATGTTTGTTCACTGACTGACTGACTGGTCAGGGCCTTGGGAGATACTCACGGCGAATGGCCCTCAGCCGGGGGATGATGCTGGGGCTTGCAGGGGGGCTGGCCCCATCGGATCCTTTCCGCTTATCCAGAGTTGGAGAGGCCTGGACTGTGATCTTATGCTCAAAGCCTGCAGAAAGAAAGAGAAGCTTTCCTAAGCAAATGGTTCCAGGGATTACCAAAGGGAATTTTCTTCTGTAGAAGTAGAGAAGGAATTCTAGAATGGGAACACCGCCATTTTTCATTCCTTAATGCAGTGGTTCTCAGAGTGTGGGCCCCAGAACAGCAGCATCACCATCAGCTGAAAATTTCTTGGCAATGCAAATTCTTGGGCCCTCCCTGAATCAGCAAGTTGGGGTGAGGCTCAGCAATGGACTGTGGTTTAATAAGTACAAGCACAAGAGCTCTTGTGGATCAAGGACCTAGGCCTCAGTGTCCAATATGGCCGCCAGTAGCTACGTGTAGCAGCTGAGCACCTTGAAATGTGGCTTGTGCAATGGGGGAATTGGAGTTTAACCTTTATTTATCTAATTTTTAAACTGTATATATATATATATATAAAGGATGAGTTCTCACTGTGGTGACCAGGCTGGTCTTGAACTCTTGGCCTCGAGCAATCCTCCAGCATCCGCCTCCCAAAGTGCTGGGATTACAGGTGTGAGCCACCATGCCCAGCCAACTCTTTATTTTATTGTAATTACCGCAATTTGAGTTTAAATTTTAAAAACAGGTATGGGGGCTGGGCGCGGTGGCTCATGTCTGTAATCCCAGCACTTTGGGAGGCCGAGGCAGGCGGATCACGAGGTCAGGAGATTGAGACCATCCTGGCTAACACGGTGAAACCCTGTCTCTACTAAAAATACAAAAAAAAAAAAAAAAAAAAAAAAGAAAGAAAGAGCCAGGCGTGGTGGCGGGTGCCTGTAGTCCCAGCTATTCAGGAGGCTGAGGCAGGAGAATGGCATGAACCTGGGAGGCAGAGCTTGCAGTGAGCCGAGATCATGCCACTGCACTCCAGCCTGGGTGACAGAGCGAGGCTCCATCTCAAAAAAAACAAAAACAAAAACAAAAAAACAAACAACAAAAAACAGGTACTCCATTTGGTTATTGGAAACATTTAAGCATGTTTGGAGCAACTTGGGTATGTATATGTACTTTTTCAACTCTAACTTTTATGAAATCTAAATACAGATCCAATATTTTTGATGGGTCAGGTACAGTAGCTCACACCTGTAATCCCAGCACTTTGGGAGGCCAAAGTGGGAGCGCTGCCTGAGCGCAGGAGTTCAAGACCACCCTGGGCAATATAGCAAGACCCCATCTCAGAAAAAAAAAAATTTTTAATGAAAATTTACTGTCCAAATTTAGATGTGCCATAAATATAAAATACATCTGGATTTCAAAGATTTAGTGTGAAAAAAGAAGGTAAAATATCTCACAATTATTTTGTATTGATTGCATGGATATATTGGGCTAAATTAAAAAATATATATATTTTTTGAGATGGAGTTTTGCTCTTGTCGCCCAGGCTGGAGTACAATGGCGCGATCTCGGCTCACTGCAACCTCTGCCTCCCAGGTTCAAGCGATTCTCCTGCCTCAGCCTCCTGAGTAGCTGGGATTACAGGCATGCGCCACCACGCCCGGCTAATTTTGTAGTTTTAGTAGAGATGGGGTTTCTCCATGTTGGTCAGGCTGGTCTCAAACTCCTGACCTCAGGTGATCTGCCCGTCTTAGCCCCAAAAAGTGCTGGGATTACAGACGTGAGCCACCCCACCTGGCCTAATAAAAAATATTAAAATTGACATCTCTTATTTCTTTTTGCTTTTATGTGTAGCTTACTAGAAAATTTAAAATTATACACGTGGCTTGTATTATATTTCCACTGGCCACTGCTGCTTAAGGCACTGCTTTCTGGCTTGTAACATCACAGAAAGAGACAAGTAGACACTACGTGCCTCCCTCCTGAATGCATTACCTGGGAAGCAGTGTGGGGAAAAAAAAAATCAAACCTGAATCTGAATCTGATTAAGTCTTGAGATCCAACTATTAGGTTGATCCATGTGAAACTTCTGTTTTTGTAGGTAAAAAAATGGTCAAATATCAGCATATATATGTATATCTTAATTATATATTTTGTGACAGAGTCTCACTCTGTCACCCAGGCTGGAGTGCAGTGGCACAATCTCGGCTCACTGCAACCTCTGCTTTCCGGGTTCAAGCGATGCTTGTGCCTCAGCCTCCCAAGTAACTGAGATTACAGGCGTGTGCACCACCACACCCAGCTAATTTTGTAGTTTTAGTAGAGGCGGGATTTCACCATGTTCTAGAGCCAGGCTGCTCTAGAACTCCTAGCCTCAAGTGATCTACGCACTTTGGCCTCCCAAAATGCTGGGATTACAGGCGTGAGCCACTGCACCTGGCCAGATTAAAAGATATTTTTAAAGAGAGATAACATGAAAAAGAAAGTTCAGAAGTGACTGTCCTAAGTGTCAAGACAGATGTTCCTCTCAGGGGATGGTGTGAGGTTGTCTGGAGGGGCAGGTAGAAAGCACTTGGGATGGCTGTGAGGTTCTCTCTGCTTTCATGGGGGTGACTAGAGTAACTCATTTGGCTGTACAGGTTTTTGGTCATTTTCTTTTTTTCTTCTTCTTCCCTTTAGAGATAGGGTCTTGCTCTGCTGCCCAGACTGGAGTGCAGTGGTGCAATTACAGCTCACTGCAGCCTCGAACTCCTGGACTCAAGTGATCCTCCCACCTCAGCCTCCCCACTAGCTTGGACTATAAGTGCATGCCAACGTGGCCAGCTAATTAAAAAAAATTTTTTTTTTTTTTGGTAAATATGGGGTCTATGTTGCCCAGGCTGGTCTCAAACTTCTGGCCTCAAGTGATCCTCCCACCTTGGCCTCCTGAGTAGGCTGGGACTACAAGTGCTCGCCACTGCACTGGGCTGATCACTGACTATGTGCGATATATTTAGCAATAAAAACAAGTTGAAAAAGAAAAGGAAGAGATAAATCCTAGGTCGGGGCTGCTCCCAGCAGCCTCTTGGGGGGCGCTCTGGGGACACGGGTGGGTACCAGAGGGCAGGCTGATGTGGCTGCCGCCTTCCCGCAGCTTGAGCAGGCGGCTGCGCTTGAAGTTGCCCTTGCGCTTGCGGACCCGGGGCTTCTCCTGGCTCAGCTGGCACATGAGCAGGTGCAGCTCCCGTTCCACGATGTCCATCTCACGTTCTGCCAGCTCCTGCTCCCGCCGCCGCAGCTGCTCCTCCTGGAAGCGCTGCTCCTGTGCCGCCCGCAGCAGCTCCTCCTCACGGCTCCGAAGCTCCTGGGAAGGAGAGGCGGTGGCTGGGGGGAGGGGCTTAGCTGCTCTGCTTCCTGGGGAGGGACCCAGGGCTGCTGCGTCTGGTTGGTGCCTCACACAAGGGTACCTTGCTGTGGGGTACACTGGTTTCACCACCCGACTCATGCTTTGCTAGCCAAGCTGGGTGCCAGGGCAGGGAACTGTGTTAGCTCAAAGAAAGGGGTGCTTTTTCTTTCTTTTTCTTTCTTAACTCTTCAATTTAGAAAACTTCAAACATCCACAAAAGCAGAGAACAGTGCACCCCCCTGTACCCATCATCCAATTTCAACAATTACCTATGCTTTGCGAATCTTGTATCCCCGTCCTTCTCTCCTCTTGCCCTCTCTTCGTTTCTGCTGTAGTATTTTAAAGCCAACCCCAGACATCATGCAGTGTCACCTGTAAGTACTTCAGTACAGGGTGCCTTTTTCTTATTAATCCACCAACAGGAGGCTGTCTTTTCTTAATATGCAAAAAAGGCTCCCTTGACCCTGCATGGACCCAAAGGCTGGGGTTCAGGGGAGGAGTCTCTGAGCAGCCCAAGGCATCAGAACTCAGGGGTCTTGCTCCATCTTTCCCACCTTGCCCCCTGCCTTCACCTTCTCCTTGGTCCGAAGGTCATCAAACATGTGCTGAATCTCCAGCTTCCAGTCTTCCTGCAGCGAGTGGAAGGACTCCAGTGGCATCTGGAACAGGGCTGACTGTTCGATGACTTCAAGCCGCTTCAAGATGCTACCGAAATCTGGCCGCCCGTGGGGGTCTGGGTCCCAGCATTCTGGGGTGGGAGGAGGAAGGACAGTGGTGGGGCATGGAGGTGTCAGTGGTCATGCTCTGGGGACTCAGCCTGCTCAGAGGAAGGCAGAATTTCTGGGGATGGCAGACAAACAGCTGCTATGGAGCTGAGGGGAAGGGATTCAAAGCCAAGCTCCTGGCCAATTCCACTCAGTGAAACGCTGGGAGAGAAACCCTGGGACCTGCACCCCGAGGAGGGGCTGGTAGTGGAATCAGGATCAAGGTGGAATCCCAGGGCCAAGGAATCCTAACAGGTTGTCCTGAGAGCTCTGGGCCTGGCCCAAACAAGGGCTGGGATGTGGGGGATGGAGCCAACCATGGGGAGGCTGTTTAGAGTCCAGTGGGTTCCAGCCCCTTCTTCCTCACTCCTGGGCCCACTGGTATGGATAGGTGTGAAGGGGAAAGGTCTGGGCCCACAGGTCCCTGCCACTCCAAGCTGAGCCTACCCTCGTCACGGGGCCCCGGCTCACCCTCCAGGAGGCGGGCAAAGGGCTCGGGGCACGTGGAGGGAATGGGCAGCGTCAGCTTATTCATAGCCACGCCATACGCCACGGCCAAGGCGTCGATCTCACGGTAGGGGACCTCCCCCGTCAGCAGCTCCCACAGCAGCACCCCGAAGCTGCAGGCAGGGGAGAGGGAGGGGTGATGTCGCAGCCCACCCCAATCCTCACCTATACCCAGCCCTGCCCTTGGTCCCATGCAGGGCTGCCCTCACCCCAACAGCCACCCCCGGCCAATGAGGTCACAAGAACTTGCTTTGACCTCCATGGCCTTGTTCTCCAATAGATGGGGTGGGTTTGGCTCTCTGATGTCTCTCCTTTGCTCGGCCTGTCTTCCCTCTCCCCTGCCTGAAAATCTTCAGGTCCCGTGTTCCTACTGGCCAAATCCATCTTTCTTATTTTTATTTTTGTAGAGATGGAGGTCTCACTATGTTGCCCAGGCTGGTCTCAAACTCCTGGGCTCAAGTGATCCTCCTGCCTGGGCTTCCCAAAGTGCTGGGATTACAGGCATGAGCCACTGCATCCCACCTAAATCCATCCTTCTTGGCCCTGGCCTTTGATGACCCCTGCAGCCTCACTTCCAAACACTCTCAGCCCATTCTAACCCCAACTTCATCTTGCAGCCACACTGAATACTGAGCAGGCCCTGTGCTTTCTAACCTCTGGCCTTCACACATGCTGTTCCCTTTGTGGAGAACACTCTTCCCTTGTGTAACTATTTGTCCCTCAAGTCTCAACACAGGTTGCCCCCTCTGTCAGGAAGCCTTCCTTGATTCCACAGCCTCCAAAGCTAGGTTAGAGGCCCCTCCTCTACGTTTCCCCAAAACACTCAGCACTTACCTCTAAAAACCAGTTAACATTATTTAACATTTATAAAGCACTTACTGCAGGCCAGGCACTGTGCTAGGCACTCGGTAATCCTCACAACAGCCCTGTAAGGCAGAAGGATTTGGTATGACCCCTGCTTTAGCTGATGAGCAGGTACACGCTCAGAGAGGTAAGGGGCTTGCCCAAGGTCACACAGCTAGTGAGTGGTGGAGCCACACTTGGACTCAGGTCTGCCTGCTGCCCACGACAGTGCTCTCAGTGGCTCCATGGTACCAGAGCGTGCGTCACTGTGCTGTGGTCCCTGCAAGGCTATCTTCCTCTGCAAACTCTACATCCTCCCAGATCCTGATGGCCATTCTGTGTGGTGTTTATCCTGGAGTAGATCCCTGGTCTCCCCACTATCCACTCATGCATTCATTCAACATATCCTTTTTTTTTTTTGAGACAAAGTCTCTGTCACCCAGGCTGGAGTGCAGTGGCATGATCTCGGCTCCCTGCAACCTCCGCCTCTTGGGTTCAAGTGATTCTTGTGCCTCAGCCTCCCAAGTAGCTGGGATTACAGATGTGCACCACCATCCCAGCTAATTTGTGTATTTTTAGTAGAGATGGGGTTTCACCATGTTGGCCAGGCTGGTCTCCAACTCCTGACCTCAGGTTCCGCCTGCCTCAGCCTCCCAAAGTGCTGGGATTACAGGCATGAGCCACTGCGCCCGGCCCATTCAACGTATACTTATTAAGTGCCTACTGTGTGCCAAGCACCATTTTAGACATTGGGAAGAGATAGACACAATCACTGCCCCCATATGCAGCTGACAGCCTCCCATTCTTCAGTGACAGTGCTGGTGAATTGAGCTGGCCACATGCTGCCTGCATGAATTTTCCATTCTCCTTTGCAGCTAAGCATGCCACATGACCACAGTTCTGGTACATGGGATGTAGGAGGGGGTGTAGTAGGCAACTAGCTTCCAGGAAGTATCCTCAAAAAGAAGGGGTGCCCGGCCGGGAAAGAGTGTGAGGTGGGATGATGGCTTGAGCCCAAGAGTTCAAGGCTGCAGTGAGCTATGACTATACCACCACATTCTAGCCTGCGTGGGAGAGTGAGAGCCTGTCTTTTAAAAATTTTTTTAAATGAAAAATAAATTTATAGTGGGTTAATTTTATATTATTTATATCTTAAATAAGATGAAATCTGTCCCCAAACACCCTATCCTGTAAAGACTATTGTTCAAAGAAGGAACAGAATGGACCCCAAAATAAGAGGTGAAAATCCCCACATACACTCTAGTCATGCCAAGGGCAGCCTGACAGGCAAGGCTTCTTGCTTCCTGTCTCAACTTATCCCTGTCCTGCGAAGCCGCGGCAGGACACATCTGCAGCTCAGCACAGCAGACAGGCACAGGAGCGCAGGAACAAAAACAACATGGGTAAGAAAATGAGGCCGGGCGCGGTGGCTCACGCCTGTAATCCCAGCACTTTGGGAGGCCGAGGCGGGCGGATCACAAGGTCAGGAGATTGAGACCATCCTGGCTAGCACGGTGAAACCCCGTCTCTACTAAAAATACAAAAAATTAGTCAGGCGTGGTGGCGGGCGCCTGTAGTCCCAGCTACTCGGGAGGCTGAGGCAGGAGAATGGCGTGAACCCAGGAGGCGGAGCTTGCAGTGAGCTGAGATCGTGCCACTGAACTCCAGCCTGGAAGACAGAGTGAGACTACGTCTCAAAAAATAAAAAGAAGGGGTGCCATTTTCCTTTTTTCCCCTTCTTGTGGTTGGAATGTAGACATAAAACCTGGAGCCTGGGGGGTGGGGGACAAGGGGAGGGAGAGCATTAGGCAAATACCTGACACACGCGGGGCTTCAAACCTAGATGATGGGTTGATGGGTGCAGCAAACTACCATGGCACATGTATACCTATGTAACAAACCCTGCACGTTCTGCACATGTATCCCAGAACTTAAAATTAAAAAAAAAAAAAAAAAAAAAGCTGGCGTGTGGAGCTAGGCACAGTGGCTCACGCCTGTAATGTCAGCACTTTGGGAGGCCAAGACAAGAGGACCTCTTGAGCCCAAGAGATCGAGACCAGCGTAGGAAACAAAGTGAGACCTCGTCTCTACAAAAAATTAGCCTGGTGTGGTGGCATGCCTGTAGTCCCAGCTACTAGAGAGGCTGAGGTGGGAGGATCACTTGAGCCCAGGAGGTTGAGGCTGCAATGATTTGTGACGGCATCACTGCACTCCAGCCTGGGTGACAGAGCAAGACCCTGTTAAAAAAAAAAAAAAAAAAAAGGCTGGGTGCGGTGGCTGACGCCTGTAATCCCAGCACTTTAGGAGGCCCAGGTGGGCAGATCATGAGGTCAAGAGATCAAGGCTGTCCTGGCCAATATGGTGAAACCCCGTCTCTACTGAAAAATTAAAAAAAATAAATAAATAATACAAAAATTAGCTGGGCCTGGTGGCATGTGCCTGTAGTCCCAGCTACTTGGGAGGCTGAGGCAGGATAATTGCTTGAACCCAGGAGGCAGAGGTTTCAGTGAGCCAAGATCGCGCCGCTGTACTCCGGCCTGGGCGACAGAGCAAGACTCCAGCTCAAAAAAAAAAAAAAAACAAAAAACGCTGGAGCTCAAGCAGTCATTTTGGATCATGAAGTAAACTTCAGAATGGAGACCATACAAGGTGGGGGAGAAACAGTGGTTTATAACTGGAGGGTAGCATGATCCACCCCTCTCTCCCATGTCCTTGGAAACCTATGGGGTTACTGTGATTGTAATAATGACTGAGAATGTTACTGAAGTTTATGGCGGGGAGGTGTGGATATCCTGCATCCTGCTAAGTACAGGACAGGACCACATCAGAAAGAATTAGCCTGCCCGGCCGGGTGCAGTGACTCATGCCTGTAATCCCAGCACTCTAGGAGGCTGAGGCGGGCGGATCACCTGAGGTCAGGACTTCAAGACCAGCCTAGCCAACATGGTGAAACCCTGTCTCCACTAAAAATATAAAAATTAGCCAGTGCATGCCTATAATCTCAGCTACTCGGGAGGCTGAGGCACAAGAATCACTTGAATCTGGGAGGAGGAGGGTGCAGTGAGCTGAGATTGTGCCATTGCACTCCAGCCTGGGCGGCAGAGTGAGACTCTGTCCCAAAAAAAAAAAAAAAAAAAAAAAAGGTAGCACAAATGAACGCCTGATGTACAGCCAGTTGGAAATTCTCCCAAAGGGCTGCTCTGCTCTAGGCTGAGCTGGAGACTTCCTGTCTGATCTGTCTCAGTCCCATACCCATTAATTTGCTGCTTGGACAATCTGGAGCCTCAGCTGGGAATTGACGGGAACAGTAAATGGGGAGACCCAGGTTTGGCTCCAACCAAGCAGAAGGTCCTGGGTTGAAAGTCTCCATGGCCACCATCAACTCTCACTGGTGACAGCAACAGACCCATCATTGGCTGTCTCTACCTAACAGTCAAAGGAGCTTTTATTTTTAAGTATTTTTTTTCAGATGGAGTCTTGCTCTGTCACCCAGGCTGGAGTGCAACGGCGCCATCTCAACCTCTGCCTCCTGCAGTCAAGCAATTCCCCTGCCTCAGCCTCCTGAGTAGCTAGGACTACAGGCACCCACCACCATGCCTGGCTAATTTTTGTATTTTTAGTAGAGATGGGGTTTCACCATGTTGGCCAGGCTAGTCCTGAATGAACTCCTGGCCTCAAGTGAACCACCCACCTCGGCCTCCCAAAGTGCCAGGATTACAGGCGTGAGCCACCGCGCCTGGCCGAATTTTTGTATTTTTAGTAGAGGTGGGATTTCACCATGTTGGCCAGGCTGGTCTCAAACTCCTGGTGTCAAGGGATTCACCCACCTGGGCCTCCCAAAGTGCTGGGATTACAGGCGTGAGCCACCGCACCCGGCCTCCAAAGGAGTTTTTATTTACTTCCTTTTATAAAAATTAATTTAAAAATTTCTTTTTCATATACATGGGGTCTCACTACATTGACCAGGCTGGTCTCAAATTCCTGGCCTCAAGTGATCCTCCCACCTTGGCCTCCCAAAGTACTGGGATTATAGGTGTGAGCTACCACTCTATTCAGACATGGCTCCTCATGGCTTCCTACTTCATTAGAATAAAACCTGAAGGCCACTCCCTCACCCACAGGGCCTTCCAGCTCCCTCTCCTACATAATTTCCTACCTCTCTCTTCCTTGCCTGCACAGTGGCAGCCACATGGGCCTCTTTGCTGTTTCTGGGACACACCATGCTCACCTCAGCACCTCCTTCTTCCTCCAAACTTTTCGTGACTGGTTCCTTTTTGCCACTTGGAACTCAGATGAAGTATCATTTCTCAGATTGCTCAGAGAAGCGTTCCCAAAAGTAGTCTTCCAGCCCTTAAAGTGCCTTCCTCTCAGCCTCCTCGCACTTTGTACTAACACTTTTTTCTGGTGTACTTGTCTTTAAAAATTATAATTTTCTTAAAAAACAGCTTTATAAAAAAGAGCTTCTTGTATGTTGACTGACTTACTATTCCTGAGGGCAGGGATTGCATGTATTTTTCTTCTCTGCTATATCCCTAGAACCCGGTGCAGTTAGATGAAGGAATGAATGAGTGAATTAATCATTTTCCTGTCTGACAGATGGGACAGTGCATGGGCTAGTGTCTGAGGGGGCTTTCAGTGCTAGCATCCATGTGCTGTCTCTATGCTTTTTTAAATTTTTTCTTTTTTTGGAGACAGAGTCTCGCTCTGTCACCCAGGCTGGAGTGCAGTGGCCAATCCCAGCCCACTGCAATCTCTGCCTCCCGGCCTCAAGTGATTCTCCTGCCTCAGTCTCCCGAGTAGCTGGGACAACAGGCATCTGCCACCACGCCCAGGTAATTTTAGTATTTTTAGTAGAGATGGGGTTTCACCATGTTGGTCAGGCTGGTCTCAAACTCCTGACCTCAAGTGATCCGCCCACCTCGGCCTCCCAAAGTGCTGGGATTACAGGTGTGCGCCCCCGCGCCCGGCCTTGTCTCTAGATCCTATGAGCTTTTTATTCTAATCCAGTGTGCCCCCTAGTTGCCATTTGTGCTAGCTGAACAGGTAACTGGCACTTGTCTGGTGGCCTGACCTTGCCAGCAGGTCCCTTTGTCAGACTGAGATCCTGGCTTCAGCAGGAGACCCTCCCTCCCACTCTGCCCTCACCCCTTCCTCCCTCCCTTACTCCCCAGAGGCCATCCCGGCCGCGCCTTTCAGCACCTCCAGACATCACTGCTTTTGGAGAAGAGGGAGAGACGGATAACCTCCGGCGCCATCCAGGCGTAGGTCCCCGCAGCGCTCATCTTGGTGGTCTTGTGCCACTCGCGGGCGAGGCCGAAGTCCGTGATCTTGAGCACCGTGTCTGCGAGGTTGTGGTTCTCGATGGCCTCCAGGATCAGGACTGTGGGGTGGGAAGAAAGGTGGGTCACCCCAGACCTGCCACGCCGCAGACCCAAGTGTTCTGGCCCGCTGCCTCAGCTAGAAACACGTCTTTCCTCTCACTGCCTCAGGCTGCCCCGCTCTGTGGCAGGTCCTTTCCTGGCCTGGAACATCCATGAGCCCCTCCGCCCAGGTCTAATCCCTGTCCCAGGCTCCCATGAGGGAGTAGGGAGCTCCTCCTGTGTCCTCTGCCCTCCTGATTCTGTCCTGGGCTTTGGGGAGCTCCATGAATGGTCAAGAACCAACAGCCAAGGCTGAAGCGGGTCACTTGAGCCCAGGAGTTCGAGACCAGCCTGTGCAACATGGCAAGACCTCATCTCTACAAAAACTTTTTAAAAATACCTGGGTGTGGTGGTGCATGCCTACAGTCCCAGCCACTTGGGAGGCTAAGTTGGGAGGATCACTTGAGGCTGGGAGGTTGAGGCTGCAGTGAGCCATGGTCTTGCCATTGCACTCCAGCCTGGGCAATAGAGTGAGACCTCGTCTCAAAAAAAAGAAACAACAGCCAAGGCCTTAGTCCTCCAGGCCTTGAGTTCCCAGCTACCCTGGAAGCAGGAAGTGCAAACCTGGGGCAGAAGGGAGGAACGTGGCTTCCCCCTCGTGTCTATCACCCCCGTGGCACACTGCAGTCAGGGTCCCAATTCTACCCCTTCCTGTGTCCACACTCTGCCATGAGACTTTGCCATTCTTTCTGCTAAAGAGGCAGAGTATGGCCAGGCACGGTGGCTCACACCTGTAATCCCAGCACTTTGGGAGGCTAAGGCAGGCGGATCACTTGAGGTCAGGAGTTCGAGACCAGCCTGGCCAACATGGTGAAACCTCATCTCTACTAAAAATACAAAAATTAGCCGAGCATCATGGTGCTCACCTGTAATCCCAGCTACTTGGAAGGCTGAGGCATGAGAATCACTTGAACCTGGGAGGTGGAGGTGGCAGTGAGCTGAGATTGCGCCATTGAACTCCAGCCTGGGTGACAGAGCGAGACTCTGTCTCCGAGAAAACAAAAACAAAAACAAAAACAAAGGCAGAGTGCACCCTGACTCTGGCTCAGCCGTATGACTTGCTTTGGCTAAGAATGACAGGGTGCCAATTCCAAGCCCAGGCCTTGCATGTCTGCTGGCCCTCTTGCACTTGTGTCATCACCATGACAACATGCCTCAGCTAGCCTGCTTGTCCAAGAAGATGAGAGCTACTTGGAGCAAAGCCTCTCCAGCTGAGCCCAGCCTCCATCAGTTTACCCTCCAGCTGGTCCGCAAATGCAGGAGCAGTAATACACAATGGCTGTTTTAAGATGCCGAGTTTTGGGGGTAGCTTATTACACAGCATGATCGTGACAAAATCTGACTGAAGTATTCCCTAAACATACTGGATGGTTCTAGCTTACTTTCTACCCGGGTTGTCACTAACAGCCATGAGGATCATGGCTAGTGTTTGTACTGTGCTAAGCTCTCTATAGGAATTGACTCATGAATGACCCCCACCCCGAGCCCTTTTTTATTTTTTTAAAGAGACAGGGTTGGCCAGGAGCAGTGGCTCATGCCTGTAATCCCAGCACTTTGGGAGGCCAAGGTAGGTGGATCACTTGAGGTCAGGAGACCGAGACCAGCCTGGCCAACATAGTGAAACCCTGTCTCTACTAAAAATACAAAAATTAGCTGGGTGTGGTGGCGGGTGCCTGGAGTCCCAGCTATTTGAGAGGCTTTGGTGAGAGGATCACTTGAACCCAGGAGGCAGAGGTTGCAGTGAGCCGAGATCGTGCCACTGCACTTCAACCTGGATGACAGAGCGAGACTCCATCTCAATGAAATAAATAAATAAATAAAGAGACAGGGTCTTTTTCTGTCACTCAGACTGGAGTGCAGTGGTGTGATTATGGCTTGCTGTAGCTTCAAACTTCTGGGCTTAAACAATCCTCCAGCCTTGGACTCCCAAATTGCTGGGACTACAAGAGTAAACCACTGCACCCAGCCACAACCCATTTTTCTTGACTAGCTAACAGAGGCTCAGAAGTCACTTGGCCAAGAGGTCACATGGTTAGAAAATGGCAGGACAAAGGCTTGAATTAGTTTTGTCATCAGAGCTCAATCTCTTAACTGCTGAGATATTTTACTACCTTCTATCACATAGAGGCTCCAAAGTATACAGTGTGCTGCCTGGGTTTGAGTCTCAGCCCTGCTTCTTCCTAGGTGCATAACCCTGTACAGTTTACTTTAATCTTCACACCGAGACTTCTCCTCTATGAAATGGGGCTCGTAACAGAATTTACCTTCTAGCGTTATAGTAAAAATTTATTGCCTGAAGCAATAGGGCCTTTAAAAGTGTTAGCTGTTATTATTAGTGTGTGATATTGCCATAATTGTTCCGAATTTCTCCACTTTTCTTTTTGCCATTCCTGGCTACTTCCCAGTCATAATAATAATAGTAAGGTAGTTCTACTATCATGCCCATTTGGCAGATGAAGGAACTGAAGGTGGCAGAGATTGGCAAATCACCCAGGGTCACACAATTGATAATCCTGCCCATCCTTTAAAGCCCAGCTTCAGATTGGACGCGGTGGCTCATGCCTGTAATCCTAGCACTTTGGGAGGCTAAGGCAGGCGGATCACCTGAGGTCAGGAGTTCAAGACCAGCCTGGCCAACATGGCAAGACCACCGTCTCTACTAGAAATACAAAAATTAGCCAGGCTTGGTGGCGCACGCCTGTAGCCCTGCCTACTTGGAAAGTTGAGGTGGAAGGATCACTTGAACCCGGGAGGCGGAAGGTTCAGTGAGCTGTGATCACACTACTGCACTCCAGCCTGGGTCACAGAGTGAGATGACTCTGTCTCAAAAAAAAAAAAAAAAAAAAAAAAAAAAAAAAAAAAAGGCCGGGCGGGCTTCAGTGTTACCTCCTCCTGGAAGCCCCCACTGTAAATTCCTAGTCTGTAACTCCACCTCTGCAGAAGTTTTCCCTTCTTAGGTCCCCACCTCTCCTGTTTGTATCGAAACCCTGTGACAGAGGGAACATCTCATGGTTTTATGCTTTATTTCTGTATTTCCCAGGCTGGGCCTAAGTCAGTCCCCCTTCAAAATCTTTATGTAATCATGTCACTCCCTGCTTCAAATCCTCTAATGGCTTCCACTACATCAAATAAAATACCCCAAGTCCTCACCATGGCCCCCAAGGTCCTATGTGATCTGGCTCCTGCCAGCCTTTCTGATCCTACTTCCTCCCATCTCTGCCTCAATGCCTGCTGTTCTGGTCTTGCTGTTCTCCAGTGAGACACACTCACTCCCACCTCAGGGCATGTGCCCCACTGTTCCCCTTCCCCAGATCTTTGTAAAGCTGGGTCCCCTTTGTTCAGGTCTCTGCTCAAATGTTGCCTTCCCTGACCACCCGATCTAAATAAAGAGAACCCTCTGCTCCAGCCTTTGCCTTAGTCCACTGAGAGCCCCTGATACTCTCTGAAATTTTGGTATCCATCTATCCATCATTTATTCCTGTTCACCGGAATATAAATTCCATAGCTGGGGGAGGGAGAAATCTTGCCTTGTTCACTTCTGTAATCCCAGAGCTGAGGCAGTGCCTAGTAAGAGTAGGCACTTAAGAATTACTGGTGGAATGAACCAATGAATGAATGATGGCAGATGAGGCGCTCCTTAGGGTAGGATGAGTGGGGAAGCAGTGCTGTGGAGGCGCTGTGTCCTCTGTTTCTGGCACAGAGCAGACCCATCACCCCGGGAGGAAGCCCTGGCCATAAGAGGCCCACTGACCCTTTGACCAGATAGCACTGGCTACAAAAAACCTGGGGGTGTGGGGCGTGCTGTCAATCAGCAGAGGTGAGGAAGGGCTGAGGAGTCCCAGCCTTCAACAGGAGCATGCTGGGTGGCCCTGCCTCCATTTACCCAACATTTCAGAGGTGCTGGGGCATAAGCATCAGTTCCCCAGACACAGCACCAGCTCTGGCACATCGTGGTCACATGTTAGCTTTTTTTTTTTGCGATGGAATCTTGCTCTGTCACCCAGGCTGGAGTGCAGTGGTGCAATCTCGGCTCACTGCAACCTCCACCTCCTGGTTTCAAGCGATTCTTCTGCCTCAGCCTGAGTAGCTGGGATTACAGATGCATGCCACCATGCCCAGCTAATTTTTGTATTTTTAGTAGAGAAGGGGTTTCACCATATTGGTCAGGCTGGTCTCGAACTCCTGACCTCGGGTGATGCACCCACGTCGGCCTCCCAAAGTGCTGGGATTACAGGCGTGAGCCACCGCGCCCAGCCAAGCTCTCTGTTGATATACAAATGTCAGGCTTGGGAGGCAAGGAAGATGCAGTCCCTCTATTCTAGGGGCTTACAATTGCTATGGGTGGGGAATAGCAATATATTCCTAAAAATAGTGGGATGGATTAAAATAAATTTCAAGATGTAGAAGTGACAGAAATCAGGAATAGATGAGATGTGGGTGTTGAGAGCAAAGGGGGCACCTTCACATTTTGGGGCTTAACTGTGAGTGACGTGAGGGCCGGGGACATGCTGGCCTTCTCCACTGCTGATGCCTTTGCTTAGCACATGATCTGGCCTGGTAAATACCAAATGGAAGAATGAACAAATGAATGAAGAAATGAAAGGGAGTGAGATGGGGCACAGCACGAATGGGAGAGCCAGGAATGTAAGATTTTTTTTTTCTTGCTGTATCCCTGGGACAGGGTCTGGCACACAGCACTCTGGAAATATCTGTGGAATGAATGAATGAAATTGCTAGCCTGTGAGTACTGTCAGGGCAGAAACCATGGCTGTCTTACTCCCAGCTGGGCTCCTGCTTAATAGGTGCTCAATTAATACTTGTTGACACCACATGAAGCTCTTCCATCTAGAAATGAGTCTTGCAGAATGTTCCCTTCTACCTGGCTCCATTATTTATTCAACCAACCAATCAACTTTGGAGAACCTATCAGGCAGCCTGGAAGCTTTTATATAAGCCACATCAATTTAATTCCTCCCTCATCTTTTCCAGTTTGCCTTGGCCAGCTCGGCCTATGAAGACTCCAGGAAATGGTTCTCAACTGGGGGTGATTCTGCCCCCCAGGGGACATTTGCAATGCCTGGAGACACTTTTGGTTGTCATAGCTGGGGAGAGGGGGCAGGGAATGCTAATGACATCTAGTGGGAAGAGGCTAAAGATGCCGCTAAGCAACTCACAATTTACAGGACAGCCCCTACAACAATGATCTGGCCTCAAGTGCCAATAGTGCTGGGGTTGAGAGACACTGACTCCAGACGGGGTAGGCTCTTTTTGTCTCTGCCTGGTGGACTCTGGCAGCATGGCTGGATGGCAAGCACCTTGAAGGCAGGCACTGCATCTGTCCTGTTCATGCAGGGAACGCAGGTGTTCATGGATACATGTTTACTGAGCGATTGTGACTCTGCAGCCTGGGAGGCAGGTAAGTCCTTCAACCTTTCTGAGCCTCCTTTTTCTCCCTTAAGGCAGGCAAGGCCTACCTCACCTTCACCCTGAAGGTATCATACTGCTGCCCCTTCTCACTCCAGGCACAGTGTCATCTGGTGTCCCTCACCCTGTTTCCCACCACCTAGGCCTGGCCTTGAGAGGTTCTGTGGAAGGAATTTTGGGGAGAGGACACCACTTACTGTTGATGGACTTGAGGTCCCGGTGGATGATGGGCACAGGGGCATCATTGTGTAGGTAGTTCATGCCCCGGGCCACCTGCACAGCCCAGTTGACCAGCACGTGAGGTGGCACCCGGCGACCTGCCAGCACCCTGCTCAGTGCACCACCCCGGGCATACTCCATCACTAGGCAGAGGTGTGGGGGGTTGAGGCAGGCGCCCCTAAGGGCAATTATGTTGGGGTGCTGCAGGGCTCCAAAGAGCCGGGCTTCCTGGCACACCTGCTCCGCTGTCACTGCCGGGTCCTTCTCAGGGTCCAGCCGGGCGGCCTTGACTGCCACCTCCTCGCCACGCCACAGGGCCCGATAGACCTTGCCAAAGCCCCCCACACCGATGATCTCCTCTAGCTGCAGCTCGTGGAAGGGGATCTCCTGGGGCAGCTGGAGGCCCGCGGGTGCAGCGGGGGCGCCGGGGGCCACGTAGTTGCTGGGGAAGACGCCCACGCGGCCGCTGGGGAGCTGCCCGGTCCACCAGCCCTCGTCGCCGGACACCGCACAGTCTTGGGAAAGCACCTGGACGCGATCGCCCCTCCGCAGGGTCAGCTCCTCGTCGCCCGCCGCCTCGTAGTCGAACACCGCGGTCCAGACGGGCCCCGCGGGGGTCGTGCCCCACTCCTTGGCCACCGCCCCCTCCTCCTCCTCCATGGGGGAGGGGCCGGGGGCTGCGGGAGGCCGCTTCACACAGGCTGCCCGCGGGATGCAGAGGGCGGGCCCCGGCGGCCGGGATGGAGGGCAGTCCCTGCGGGGTCTAGGGAGCTCCTGAGGGCCATGGCTGGGGCGCCCTCCGCAGGAGCAAGAAAAAAAACCCTTTCAAAGGGCAGGCTCGTCCCTTCCGATTTGGCTGTACGGGCGGGGCGGGGCGGGGTGGGAGTGGGGCGGCAGGTTCACCCGTGCCCCCCAAACGGCAGAGGGCTAAGAGGGCCTGGCCGCGCGGCTCTCGAATGCCCGCCGGGGTCCGCCGGTGGGGGACGAGGGCGAGGGCGGCAGGCAGTCCCCGTTCCCCGCGCCGCTCACCCCGCGCAGCTCCACCGGCGGCCCCCGGCTCCGCATCCCGGGCCACGACTGCCGGGCCGGGCGGGGGTGGCGGGGCCCCTGGGGCGGCCGCCCCGGGCCGGGGTGGCGCGCCCCTCGGCCTCCTCACGCGCGGGGCAGCCGGGCGGCCCCCATCCTTGGCACCGGCCTCCCGGTCGGCCCCAGCCCCTGCCCCCCGCCCGTGCTGCTTCCCCGGGCCACCGGCGGGGCCCGAGTGACGTGTGGGCGCCGCCGCCGCGGTGCCTCCTGGGAGTTGTAGTCTCCGGCCGTGCGGCCTCGGGGCCCGGCTCTCAGCGCCCTCCAGCAGAGCCCCGCGGCCAGCCTCGGGCCGCAATGGACATGACACCCCACGAAGCCGAAGGAGTCCTCCCGGGGAGATGAGCCCGGCCTCGGCCCCTCCTTCGGACGCGGCGTAGCGGGCGCCCGGGGCGGGGGGAAGCGCTCCTCACAGACCCTGTGGGGGCCGCGGCCCAGGATGGGTTGGACTGCAACGGACGCGATTAGCAACGCGAAAAATAGGAGCTGCGTGCATGACTGTGACTGCCCGGAGCCGCGAACGCAGCCTGGACCTTATCCCTGAGGCAGGACGGCCCCTCGGACCCCCCGACCGAGATGTACGCTGGGAACTGTAGTCCGCGCGGGGACCTGGCGCTGCAGGGGGCGGCCCCCAAACAGCGGGCTGCGGGCGTCGGCGGGTGGTTGGAGCAAGTTAGGGGTCGGGCCGGTGGCGGGACTCTGCGGGGAAGATGGGGCTGGGAGGATGTGTTTAGTGTCCCTGGGGATGTCACAGCCACGTCTGCTTTCCCCACCAGCTCTGGGTTCCTCTGCTGAAGTCAGAACTCCTGCTCTTGAGAATCCCCGATTCCTATTTTATAGGAGTTTCAATTTCGGGGAGCTTAATGTGCATGTTGTATTCAGTGCTTTGTACACGTGGTATCGTTAAGTCTTCACAAAGAGCCCCATTTTACAGATGACTCATAGAGAAGTGAAGTCATTTGTGCAAGGCTACAGAGCTATAAATGGCAAAGCAAAAATGAAAGGCAGTTTTAAAAATTAACAACCAGGCCGGGCGCGGTGGCTCACGCCTGTAATCTCAGCGCTATGGGAGGCCAAGGCGGGCGGATCACGAGGCCAGGAGTTCGTGACCAGCCTGGCCAGCATGGTGAAACCCCCGTCTCTACTATTTAAAAAAAAAAAAAAAAATTAGCCGGGCGTGGTGGTGTGCGCCTGTAATCTATCCCAGCTACTCGGGAGGCTGAGGCAGGAGAATCGCTTGAACCTGGGAGGTGGAGGTTGCAGTGAGCCAAGATCACGCCACAGCACTCCAGCCTGGACGACAGGGCAAGACTCCGTCTCAAAATAAATAAATAAATAAATAACCATCGCCACGATTAACAAAAACAACAACAACAAAAAAAAAAACAACAAAAAACAAACAAACAAAAAACCCACTGCCTTTCTATTTAAAGAATGAGGAAAGTAGGTCCCGCAGAGGTTCAGTGACTTCTTCAAGATCTCTAAGCTTGTAAGAGGCAAAATTCTGGGTCTTTTTACTTGGCCTCTCCTGAGTGGTATGGGGTCTAGAGGGAGGAGAGAAGAAGAGGAAATAAGAGGGACTCTAGTGCCCAAACTCCAGAGAACTGCCCCTCAGGGTCCTTGGGGAATTGTTCCATTGTCAGAGGGAAGTGGGTTACCTGGTCTCCTGGCTACCTAGCAGGGACACTCGGAGCATATCAAAAATGCTTGTTGGAAGAGAGAGCCCCAGCTTCATTCTGAGTATAAGTGTTTCTGCTATAACCTGCTATATGCATTCTTAAAAAACCTTCAGTTCTTCAAAACGGTGCACTAAAATTAACAAGACTTCATGGAAAAAATAGAGTTAGAGACAGATTGCTCAAAATATATGCAACTAGCTGGGCACGGTGGCTCATGCCTGTAATCCCAGCACTTTCAGAGGCCGAGGAGGGAGAATTACTGGAGTCCAGGAGTTTCAGACTAGCCTGGGCAACATAGGGAGACTCCGTCTCTACAAAAAAATAAAAAATTAGGCGGGTGTGGTGGTGTGCACCTGTGTTCCCAGCTACTCGGGAGACTGAGGTATAGGGGTATTACCTGAGCCCAGGAGGTCGAGGCTACTGTGAGCTGTGATTGTGGCACTGACTGCACTCCAGCCTGAGAGACAGAGCGAGACCCTGACTCAAAAAAAAAAAAGTAAAAATAAAAACCTGTATACAACTTTTTTTTTTTTTGAGATGGAGTCTCACTCTGTTGCCAGGCTGGAGTGCAGTGGCACGGTCTTGGCATACCACAACCTCCGACTCCCTGGTTCAAGTGATTCTCCTGCTTCAGCCTTCCGAGTAGTTGGAATTACAGGTGGGCGCCACCATGCCCAGCTAATTTTTGTATTTTTAGTAGAGACAGGGTTTCACCATGTTGGCCAGGATAGTCTCGATCTCCTGACCTCGTGATCCGCCCGCCTTGGCCTCTCAAAGTGCTGGGATTACAGGTGTGAGGCACCATGCCCGGCCTCTTGTATACAACTTTATATTCAGAGTGCTACAAAACCAATAATGATGCTAATAGAAACACTAGAATAGGTAAATTTCCATGAGCATTTGCTTTCAGCAGCACTTTGCAGCCTTGAAGGTGGGGCTTATGCTTCCTCTTTGGGGATGCTGGTTGGAGATATTAACTATTGATGGGGATCATTTTCATCAAAACTCGAAATGTGATCCAAGGTGTGATCTTTTTCATTAATCTGTTATTTTAATATGGGAGAAATATATTTGCAATTTCTTCATCTGCATTCATGGATTTGCCATAGGCATAACACTGTGACAAATATGGTGGTCTTTGAAGTCACTAAACCAGCCACCGTGGATCCAAAGGAAGACACTTCTGTAGATTTGCAGCTTTTTCCTCTGAAGATCTTCTTTTAGTACTAAGGCTTCCCCTTTAACTGTGAGAAAGCTTGGCCCTGATTGCTTCAAAATGTTAACTTCCTGGAGAAAATTGCATGTTAACCAACATGCTTGTGTTATGCTGACATCATTACTCTGTTTACCAATCATTTATGGGGTGATTCATCTCAAAGAAGCAAATAGAGGGTGGGGGCGGTGGCTCACACACCTGTAATCGCAGCACTTTGGGAGGCTGAGGCAGGCAAATCACCTGAGGTCAGGAGTTTGAGACCAGCCTGGACAACATGGTGAAACCTCATCTCTACTAAAAATACAAAAATTAGCCAGGCGTGGTGGCAGGTGCCTGTAATCTCAGCTACTCAGGAGGCTGAGGCAGGAGAATCGCTTGAACCTGGGAGGCGGAGGTTGCAGTGAGCCGAGATCGAGCCAGTGTACTCTAGCCCGGACGACAGAGGGAGACTCTGGAAGAAGCAAATGGGCTGCAGAACAGGTTGTCTCTGGGCCCGGTGCGGTGGCTCACGCCTGTAATCCCAGCACTTTGGGAGGCCAAGGCGGGTGGATCACAAGGTCAGGAGTTCAAGACCAGCCTGGCCAACATGGTGAAACCCTGTCTCTACTAAAAATACAAATTTAGTCAGGGCATGGTGGCAGTCACCTGTAATCCCAGCTGCTCGGGAGGCTGAGGCAGGGGAATCGCTTGAACCGGGTGGCAGAGGTTGCAGTGAGCCGAGATTGCGCCACTGCACTCCAGCCTGGTGACAGAGTGAGACTCCATCTCAAAAAAAAAAAGAAAAAAAATTATCTTGGATTTGGCTGCCTTGTTGAACTCACTCTTGCTTGTTCTAGAATAGCTTGACAGATAATTCTCTTCGATTTTCTAGCTAGATGATCCTGTTGTCCAGAAAAAAGAAAAAAATTACAGCTTTAAAAAATCTGATGTCTATGCTTTTTTTCTTAATCCTCTCCTCTTTGGCTAGGAGTTCCAATACAATGTTGAATGGCAGTGGTATTAATGGACAATTCTTGTCTTGTCCTAGACATTTAAGGGAATGATCCTAAGGTTTCATCATTAAATATGATGCTTTCAGTAGATTTCTAGTAGAAGTCCTTTATCAGGTTCTATTCCTAACTTGCTAGAGATTTTTCTTTCTTTCTTTCTTTCTTTCTTTTTTAAATGCAGGTGTTACATTTTATCAAATGCTTTTTATGCATTTATTTATGCAATCAGATGGTTTTTCTGCCTTTAATCCATTAATGTTGATTATCTCCTCTTTCTTGCTTTCACCATTGCTGGATTTGATTTAATAATACTTTATTTAGGGTTGTTTTGCATTTCTTTTCTTTTCTTTTCTTTTTTTTTTTTTTTTGAGACAGCCTTGCTGTGTCATCCAGGCTATAGTGCAGTGGTGATATCTCAGCTCACCCACCTCCTGGGTTCAAGCGATTCTCCCACCTCAGCCTCCAGAGCTGAGACTATAGGCGCATGCCACTGTGCCCAGCTAATTGTTACATTTTTAGTAGACATGGGGTTTTGCCATGTTGGCCGGAGTGGTCTCCAAATCCTGGCCTCAAGGAATCCACCTGCCTTGGCCTCCCAAGGTGCTGGGATTACAGGCATGAGCCACTGTGCCTGGCCTGCATTTGTTTTCATAAATGGAATTTTCTGGTGTTATTCTTGCCTAGTTTTGACATTGGCGGAATGCTAGCCCTATTCAATGAGTTGGGGAGCTTTTTTTTTTTTTTGTGGTGAGAACACTTAAGACCTACCCTTATAACAAATTTCAAGTATACAATAAAATCTTATTAACGATAGTCGTGTCATTGTACATTAGATCTCTAGAACTTATTCATCTTGCATAACTGATATTTTGTATCCCTTGACTAATATCAAGTCAACTTTTTATTTTTTAATCTTTTTTTAAGATGGAGTCTCGCTCTGTCGCCCAGGCTGGAGTGCAGTGGCACAATCTTGGCTCACTGCAACCTCCACCTCCTGGGTTCAAGTGATTCTCCTGCCTCAGCCTCCCTAGTAGCTGGGATTACAGGCATAAGCTACTATGCCCACCCAGCTAATTTTTGTATTTTCAGTATAGACTGAGTTTCGCCATGATGACCAGGCTGGTGCTGAAATTACAGGCATGCGCCATTTCTGACCTCAAGTAATCCGCCCTCCTTGGCCTCCCAAAGTGCTAGGATTACAGGCATGAGCCACCTCGCCCAGCTGTGTTAATTTTTTCAATGATGTTCTGATGTCCTTGTTTGGAAGAAATCTTTAAATTTCATGTAGTCAAACCCGTCACATTTTCACCATATGTGCTTTCTGGGTTGAAGAATCTTTGCTCACTCCAAAGCCATAACAATATTCTACATTTTTCTAGCAGCTGTTATGGGTTGAATTGTGTTCTTCCAAAAGGATATGTTGAATTCCTACTCCCAGTACCTCAGAATGTGACTGTATTTAAAACAAGGTCGTTGCAGATGTAATTAGTTAAGATGAGGTCATACTAGAGTAGGGTGGGCTGCTAATGCCGTATCACTGTTGTCCTTATAAGAAGACAGCCTGGTTGGGCGCCGTGGCTCACACCTATAATCCCAGCACTCTGGGAGGCCAAGGTGGGAGAATCACTTGAGCCCAGGAGTTCAAGATCGGCCTGGGCAACACAGTGAGACCCCGTCTCTATAAATAAATAAATAAAAAGAAGATAGCCATGTGAGGACACACACACACACACACACACACACACACACACACACACACACACACACGGAATGCCATATGACAACAAAGGCAGAGATTAGAGTTATGCAGCTACAAGCGAAGCAACTCCAAAGGCTGCCAATAAATCATCAGAAGCTAAGACCAGGTGAGGAAGGATTCCCCTGCAGGGTTCAGAGCGGGCATGGCCTTGCTGACACCTTGAGTTTGGACTGCTGGCTTCCAGGAATGGGGAGACAATAGATTTCTGTTGGGTTAAGCCACCCAGTTTGTGGTACTTTATGGCAGCCCTAGGAAATTAACATACAGTCCTAGCCTTCTGGTTTTACCTTCCTTATTTAGGTTTCTAGCCCATTTATTTGACCTTTGTATTATGGAGAGAGGTGGGGAACTAACTTTACTTTTCTCCTTACAAGTGCCAGGTTCCCTAATACTATCTCTAACAATCTCTCTCTTTTCTTCTTCTTTTTTTTTTTTGACTTTGAGACAGGGTCTCAATCTGTTGCCCAGGCTGGAGTGCAGTGGTGCGATCTCGGCTCACTGCAACCTCTGCCTCCTAGGCTCAAGCGATCCTCCCACCTCAGCCTCTCCAGTAGCTGAGACCACAGGTACACGCCACCACGCCTGGCTAATTTTTTAAATTTTTAGTAGAGACGAGGTCTTGCTATGTTGCCCAGGCTGGCCTCGAACTCCTGGGCTCAAGTCATCCTCCTGCCTGAGGCTCTCAAAGTGCTGGGATTACAGGTGTGAACCACTGTGCCTGGCCACACCCTGTATAATTTCTTCCAATATGTGCCTAGTTTCTTTTCTTTTTAGCTGTGCTGTAATCGATTTCATTTGTTCACTGGGTTTTAAAGTTTTCACTTATATAATTTTTAGTTTTTCCTCTTCAAATCTTCCTTGACAGTTTTAATAATCAGCTTTTCCTTCAGTATTTTTAAAGCTCTGCCATTAATTTCTTTAAAGATTTACTGTATTTATTTTATATTCTGTACAGCATACTTCCAGTGGCTGTGCCATTTGTGAGTCTGATTCTGAGGCTTATTGCTTCTGCTTATGTAGTTTATTTCCTGTTAGTGATTTTTTAAAATATCAACTTATGTTCCTTGGGATTTTATATGAGGAATTTTTTTTTTTGAGATGGAGTCTCGCTATCTTGCCCAGGCTAGAGTGCAGTGGCACAATCTCAGCTCACTGCAACCGAGATCTCCCTCCTGGGTTCAAGCGATTCTCCTGCCTCGGCCTCCCAAGTAGCTGGGATTATAGGAGCCTGCCACCACGCCTAGCTAATTTTTGTATTTTTAGTAGAGACAAGGTTTCACCATGTTGGCCAGGCTGATCTGGAACTCCTGATCTTCCCACTTTGGCCTCCCAAAATGTTGGGATTATAGGTGTGAGCCACCGTGGCCAGCCCTAAGGAAATTCTTGAAAGCCCAGGTTTAAATGCATTTTCCTGGCTAGGTGCAGTGGCCCATGCCTGTAATCCCAGCACCTTGGGAAGCTGAGGTAAGAGGATTGCTTGAACCCAGAAGGTCAAGTTTGCAGTGAGCTATGACTGAGCCACTGCACTCCAGCCTGGGCAACAGATCAAGATCCCATCTCTACAGCAACAACAACAAAAGACTTTTTTTTTTGGACTCTTTTCAGTCTTTTATTTACCATACTCTCTTTTTTTCTCCTTTCCTTGCTTCCATGAATACATTGATTATTTTCTACTTCTGATTTGAAAATTATTTAATTTAAAAAAATTTTAAAAAGTTATAGTAGTTATTCCTAACATGCTCAGACTAATTTGTGTTTATTCTACCCCATAAATTCTCCCCTCTGCTTCCTTTTGCCCTGAAACTGCCATATTGATATTTTTTAGACTTTTGATTTTGGATTTGTATAAATATGCCTTTTGGGGGCATTATTTATTTATCATAGAAATGTAGTCACTATTATTTGCTGTGTCTCATAAGTTGTTTCTCTTCTCGCTGTAATACTTCCTCCAGGATTATTTTTGAAGGTTTTTGTGGGGTAAACTTTTTTTTTTTTTTTGAGATAGAGTCTCACTGTGTTGCTCAGGCTGGAGTGTAGTGGTGGGAACTTGGCTCACTGTAACCTCCACCTCCCGTGTACAAGTGATGCTCCTGACTCAGCCTCCCAAGTAGCTGGGACTGCAGGCACCTGCCATCACACCCGGCTAATTTTTTTTTTTTTTTTTTGTATTTTTGGTAGAGACAGGGTTTCACTGTGCTGGCCAGGCTGGTGACGAACTCCTGACCTCATGATCCGCCCACCTTGGCTTTCCAAAGTGCTGGAATTACAGGCATTGAGCCACTACGTCTGGCCCGGGATAAATTTTTGACACTTTTTTATATCTGAAAATATCTTTATGTACCCTCACATTTAAATGACAGTTCTGCTAGACATAAAATTCTCTAAGTTCCAAGTGTTTTCCTTTTATTCTTTGAACAAAATACTACCCCATTGTCTTCTTGCATCTGTTGTTGCTGCTGACAAGTCTGGTGTTGTTTAGTTTCTGAAAGCTGTTAGAATTTTTCTCTTTGACGGTCTTCAGATTAATTGAAAATTATCTACATATTTTGAAACCTATTTGTCTATGAGCCTGGTGTGGGTACCCCACCCCCCAGATTCACATGTTGAAGTGCCAACTCCCAGTGCCTCTGACTGTATTTGGAAATAGGGTTGTTGCAGGTGTAGTTAAGATGAGGTGATACTGGAGTAAGGTGGGTCCCTACTCCAATATGACAGGTGTCCTTATGAAAAGGGGAAATTTGAGGCCGGGGCAGGGGCTCTCACCTACAATCTCAATGCTGTGGGAGGTGGGTGGATTGCTTGAGGCCAGTATTTGGCGATCAACCTGGGCAACATAGTGAGACCTCATCTCTACAAAAAATACATGTTGGCCAGGCTGGTCTTGAACTCCTGACCTCAAGTGATCTCTCCACCTCAGCCTCCCAAAGTTCTGGGATTATAGGCGTGAGCCACTGTGCCCAGCCTGTTTTTCATAATTATTTATGTCATTTTGATTTGTGGCCTGCAAATATCCCTTCCTCAATTAAGCCTCCTCCTGGGCTTTGGCAGGGCTGGAGGTAAATTACTGACAATTCTGGTTAGAAGATAGCATTGCCATTTGCTCTGCTATGTCATCTTCATCCAGCTTAATGTCACTCACAGAGCTGCTTGGCTCTGGGCTGGGGACCAACAGGAAGCTATTCTCTTTAATTTTTTTTTTTTTTTTTTTTGAGACAGAGTCTCTGTCTCTCACCCAGGCTGGAGTGAAATGGCATCATCTTGGCTCACTGCAACCTCTGCCTCCTGGGTTCAAGCAATTCTCCTGCCTCAGCCTCCCAAGAAACTGGGATTACAAGTGCCCGCCACCACGCCTGGCTAATTTTTTTTTTTTTGAGCCAGCCTGACCTCTGTTGCCCAGGCTGGAGTGCAGTGGCACGATCTCGGCTCACAGCAAGCTCCGCCTCCCAGGTTCATGCCAATCTCCTGCCTCAGCCTCCCGAGTAGCTAGGACTACAGGTGCCCGCCACCACGCCTGGCTAATTTTTTATATTTTTAGTAGAGATGGGGTTTCACCCTGTTAGCCAGGATGGTCTCGATCCCCTGACCTTGTGATCTGCCTGCCTAAGCCTCCCAAAGTGCTGGGATTACAGGTGTGAGCCACCTTGCCCGGCCAACCTTAAGATTTTAATTACCATGAAAAACAAGAGATGAGACTCTGAATGAGGCCCTTCCTGACATCTGGTATAGCTCCATGGAACTTCCAGATATTTATAAACAGAAAGAAGGATGAAGTCTTGATATAAGAATTTGCAGCCAGGCACAGTGACTCACGCCTATAAGGCCAGCACTTTGGGAGGCTGAGGCAGGAGGATCGCTTGGGCCCAGGGGTTTGAGACCAGCCTGGGTAACATGGTGAGATTCTGTCCCTACTAAAAATCAGACAAATTATTGGGTGTGGTGGTACATATCTGTGGTCTCAGCTACTCAGGAGGCTGAGATGGGAGGATTGCTTGAGCCCAGGAGGTTGAGGCTGCAGTGAGCCATGTAAGTACCACTACACTCCAGTATGGGCTTCAGAGTGAGGTCCTGTCTCAAAAAAAAAAAAAAAAAAATTTCTGTGCTCCATTCTCAGTGCCTAAATCTTAGATTAACTGGATGTTTCAGTGGGCACTTCCTAGAAGGATTCTTCTCTGTGAAAGGATCTCCTGCTAAACCCTGTTCACTCTTGGGATACTGCAGTGGAATTTGCTGACTCCATACCTAAGGGACAGTGCAGGTAGGTCCATTGGTGCCCATAGGGATGTTTCCAATTGTGTCTGTTTGGTTCCATCTTGTTTTACGTGGAAGTTCTTTCATGCTTTATCCACACAAGGTGTCCAATTCATCCAGCCTCCATTCAGGGAGCCTATAAGGATCCAAGTCTATTGAAAGGTGGGTTGTCCATAGGTGATGAGTGTGTAAGGGGGTAAACTCCAGAACAGCTCATCTTTGAATCCTTTTTACTCTGTCTCTGGTTCTCATGCTCTTTTTGGTTCTCTGTTCTCCTACTTCAAGGACTCCTGGGATGTTTTCCAACACCAACAGCCAGTTCTCTGATTCTCTGGCCACCAACTGGATATTCAACAATTCAGTTCAATTCTGATACTACCTGGAGTTAGGGCAGATTCCACAGCTGAAGGGCTCAAAACTGCCCCACCCACCAACTTCAGATGCCAGTTGCAAGTCCCAGGACTCCCATACTTCTGACCAATGTAAACCAAAAATAAAATTCTTTTTTTTTTTTTTGAGACAGAGTCTCACTCTGTGCCCAGGCTGGAGTGCAGTGGCATGATTTTGGCTCACTGCAACCTCCACCTCCCAGGTTCAAGCAATTCTCCTGCCTTAGCCTCCTGAGTAGCTGGGACTACAGGCAGCCACCACTCCCAGCTGCTGATTTTTATATTTTTAGTACAGACGGGGTTTCACCATGTTGACCAGGCTAGTCTCCAACTCTTGACCTCAGGTGATCCACCCGCTTCAGCCTCCCAAAGTGCTGGGATTAACAGGCATAAGCCACTGCACCCAGCCGAGACCAAGGTTCTTCTTATGGAGATGAAGCCTCCAGGTAGCAGGCTTCAGAGAGAATAGATAGTAAAATTTCTTGCAGTGGCACGCACCTGTAATCCCAGTTACAGGGAGGCTGAGGCATGAGAATCACTTGGACCCAGGAAGCGGAGGTTGCAGTGAGCCAAGATTGGGCCACTCCACTCCAGCGTGGGCAACAGAGTGAGACCCTGTCTCAAAAAAAAAAAAAAAAAAAAAAAAAGAACTTGGTCCCTTATCCTAACTCAGATACTCCTTTCTATTGACTCCAGGTCTTTAGTTAAACTCTTTCAACCAACTGCCAATCAGAAAATCTTTGAATCCATCCATGACCTGGAATCCCCACCTCCCCTCCCTTCCACCCCACTGCCTTGCTTTCAGTTGTCCCACCTTTCCAGACCAAACCAGTGTATATCTTACACGTGTTGGTTGATGTCTCATGTTTCCCTAAAATGTATAAAAGCAAGCTGTGCCCCAATGACCTTGGGCATGTGTTCCCAGGATCTCTTGGGGTTGTGTTATGGGTCATGGTCACTCGTATTTGGCTCAGAATAAATCTCTTCAAATATTTTACAGAGTTTGACTCTTTTGGTTGACCAACCAGCTATAAATCGGGGGGTTTGCATGCCTCCCTCATAATGTTCGATAATTTTCTAGAACAGCTCACAGAACTCAGGAAGACACTTTACTTATGTTTACCAGTTTAATATAAAGGGTACAAGGGAACAGATGAAGAGGTGCATAGGATGAGGTCTGGAAGGGTTGTAAGTACAGGAGCTTCTATCGGCATAGAGTTGGAGTGCACCACCATCCCCGTCTGAGGATATATTTAACAATCAGGAAGCTCTCCATAATCTCGAAGTTTAATTTTTTTTTTTTTTTTTGGAGGCAGGCTAGAGCGCCCAGGCTAGAGCTCAGTTGCATGATCATGGCTCACTGCAGCCCCAACCTCCCCAGGCTCAAGTGATCCTCCCATCTTAGCTTCCCGAATAGCTGGGACCACAGGTGCATGCCATCACGCCTGGCTGTTCTGTCTTTTTTGTTGTTGTTGTGGAGACGGGGTCTCACTCTGTTGCTCAGGCTGATCTTGAACTCAGCCTCAAGCGATTCTCTCACAGCAGCCTCGCAAAGTGCTGGAATTACAAGCATGAGCCACTGCCCCTGGCCTCAAAATTTGTCTTAGTTCTTGCTTTTGAAAAGCAAAGAACAGGGGAGAAATTTGTCACTGAGGGACAATAAATGTGAGGAGGAAGAGGTAGGGTGATTGCAGGGTAGGACAGAGGGTGTTGATCATGCAAGAGTCAAGATGGACATGACGATCAAGAAGGGAATGGATCCTTTTTCTTGAAAACAGACAGGAATTGGCCGGGCGCAGTGGCTCAAGCCTGTAATCCCAGCACTTTCGGAGGCTGAGGCGGGCAGACCACCTGAGGTCGGGAGTTTGAGACCAGCCTGGCCAACATGGAGAAACCCCATCTCTACTAAAAATACAAAATTAGCTGGGCGTGGTGGCACATGCCTGTAATCCCAGCTACTTGGGAGACTGAGGCAGGAGAATCGCTTGAACCTGGGAGGCAGAGGTTGCGGTGAGCCAACATTGCAGCACTGCACTCCAACCTGGCCAACAAAAGCGAAACTCCATCTCAAAAAAAAAAAAAAAAAAAGAAAGAAAGAAGACAGGAATCTGAAGCAGAAGATGAGAATAAGGACTGGGGTTGAGAGGAAGAGAGGTGAGACAATAAACATGGAGAGAGAAAAGAATTGGCCAAGGAAAGATGCAAGAGGCCGTTAGAAGCCAGAGGATGGGGCAAAAAAGAAGCTGGTATGGGAATATCTACCGGGAAGCTTTTCATTTTGTGCATACCAGTATTGCTTTCTTTTGAGTACCTGTGACTCACCTTTAGGTATACACTTCTTTGCTGGAACATTCTCATTGTGTTCTGTCAACTGCCCTGAGGAGTGGGCTAGAACAGAAGTGGCTTGTGAGGCCCAGCTGTCCTAATGCCCCAAAGGCAGCTCCTGGACCAGTGGATTGAAATGGATGTATCATTATATGACAAATCGCCTTTGAACGTGCCTGGAGATCTGACTGTCAGCAAAGATCATGTCAGGGCACTGAAGTACTTCTTTGGCTTCTTTAAAACACAGTAAGCCAGGGATAGTGTCTCATGCCTGTAACCCTGGCACTCTGGGAGGCCAAGACAGGAGGATTGCTTGAGCCCAAGTGTTTGAGACCAGCCTGAGCAACATTGTGAGACCCCATCTCTACAAAAAAATTTTAAAAAATCAGCTGGGCATGATGGTGGATGCCCTGTAGTCCCAGCTACTTGGGAGGCTGAGGTGGGAGAATCACTTGAGCCCGGGAGGTTGAGGTTGTAGTGAGCCATGATCACGCCACTGCACTCTGGCCTGGGTGACAGAATAAGACCCTGTCTCAAAACAAAACAAAATAAAACAAAAACAGTAAACTTTGAGGATAAGGAGGGTGTTGATGGATCTGTTTGTAATTCCTTCACTCTCTTTCCTTCCCCCAAACCTATTTTGGGCCAGGAGCAGTGGCTCAAGCCTGTAATCCCAGCACTTTGGGAGGCCAAGACGGGCGGATCACGAGGTCAGGAGATCGAGACCATCCTGGCTAACACGGTGAAACCCTGTCTCTACTAAAAATACAAAAAAAAAATTAGCCAGGCGTGGTGGCGGGTGCCTGTAGTCCCAGCTACTCCAGAGGCTGAGGCAGGAGAATGGTGTGAACCCGGGAGGCAGAGCTGGCAGTGAGCCGAGATTGTGCCACTGCACTCCTGCCTGGGCGACAGAGCAAGACTCTGTCTCAAAAAAACAAATAAACAAACAAAAACAAACAAACAAACAAAAACCTATTTTGGTTTGTACAACCTGGAAGATCCCCAGAGTCTTCCTTGGCTCTATTTTTTGTCTCATTTTTTTTCTTTGACATTTCTCCTTTACATGACTCACAGTTGACACTGCCGTGGGCCTGAAGAGCTCAGTCATGTCCCAGGGCAATTCCTACTGGGGTGGGTGTAGGTTGCACTTCAGACAAGTTGCGAGGTGTGCTTCTGGACAAAAGCAGTCAAGGATGGCTGATAATGGGGATAATGGCCTGCTACAAAGAAGGATCTCATAACTGAGCAAGAAATCCATCCTTGCTGTAATCACCCAACTGGTTCTTCTTGCCTGCTGCCCAGAAAAGCCAAGACACCAAGAACAGCAGGAGTTACAGCAGAGAAAGTTTAATAATCACAGGGCCAGTCAAGTGAGAAGAACAGGAGATATTTCTCAAATCCACATCCCCAAGAATTTGGAGGCTAGGGTTTTTCAAGGATAGTTTGGCAAGCAGGGGACTAGGGAATGAGGAATGCTGAGTGGTTGGGTCAGGAATGAAATCATAGGGGATCGAAACTGTCTTCTGTGCTAAGTCAGCTCCTGGGTGTCAGTTGCTGGTCCAGGTGGCGCCAGTTGGTCCATACGGAATGCAAGGTCTGGAAAATGTCTCAAATACCAGTCTTTGACTGTACAATAGTGATGTTGTCCATGGGGGAATTGGGGAAGTTATAAATCTTGTGACCATTGGCTATATGATTTCTGAGTAATAAGCAGTTACAAAAAAAGGCAAGTTATAAAACAATGACTTGTTAGAGTTTAACTATATCCACATCTTAGAAGAAACAATGGCTGTTAGAGTTTAACTATGCCTTCATCTTAGCAGAATTCAGGCCCCTACCACAATTCTAACCTTGAGGTCTTTCATTAGTTATACAAAGGCAGTGTCAGTCAGTCCCTGAGCAAGAAGGGGGTTAGTTTCAGGAAGGGACTGTTATCAGCTTTATTTTATTCGTTTTATTTTTTATTTTTATTTTTTTGAGATGGAGTCTTGCTGTGTTGCCCAGGCTGGAGTGCAGTGGTGTGATCTTGGCTCACTGCAACCTCTGTCTCCTGGGTTCAAGTGATTCTCTTGCCTCAGCCTCCAAAGTAGCTGGGATTACAGGCGTGTGCCACCACGCCTGGCAAATTGTTGTATTTTTTTAGTAGAGACGGGGTTTCACCATGCTGGCCAGGCTGGTCTCGAACTCCTGACCTCAAGTGATCCACCTACCTCGGCCTCCCAAAGTGCTGGGATTATAGGCATGAGCCACCATGCCTGGCTTGCTTTGTTTTAAAGTTAACTATAAACTAAAGTCCTCATATAGTTGGCTTGGCCTATGTGCAGGAATGAGCAAAGACAGCTGTGAGCTTAGAAGCAAGATGGAGTCAGTTACGTGATATTTCTTTCACTGTCACAATTTTTGCAAAGGCAATTTCACAGCCAGCCAGCTGGAATGGGGGCAGTTGATGGAGGTGGCTTTGCCACGAGCTGAGTATGGGCCCAGTAATATATCTTTCATTTCCTGAGGCTATCAAGAATACTCACTTCTGGCCAGGCGCAGTGACTCACACCTGTAATCCTAGCACTTTGGGAGGCCTAGGCAGGTGCATTGCTTGAGTCCAGGAGTTCAAGACCAGCCTGGGCAGATCAGACATGGCAAAACCCCATCTCTACAAAAAATACAAAAATTAGCTGGGTGTGATGGTGGCATGTGCCTGTAGTCCCAGCTACTCGGGAGGCTGAGGTGGGAGGATGGCTTGAGCCTGGGAGGTGGAGGTCACAGTGAGCCGAGATTGTGCCACTGCACTCCAGCCTGGGTGACAGGGCCAGACTCTGTCTCAAAAAAAAAAAAAAAATTCACTTCTTTCTTCTTCTGTAACACCTTGTCAAATGCAAAGGGCTGTTTGTTAATGAGAGTCTTCAGCCTCTATAATTCTTGTAGCTCTATTCTAAGACAGAAATACTTAGCATGGACATAGTCACAAGGGAGAAGCAGCTTGGCAGCGAGGACTTCTGCACTTTATCTATCATGGTCTGTGGCCAGCTGGGTCAGAAGGGCTGGAGGGAGAAGAAAACCGAGGACAGAAGTCTTTGGTAGAAAAATAAAAAGCAGGCCGGGTGCGGTGGCTCACGGCTATAATCCCAGCACTTTGGGAGGCTGAGGTAGGTGGATCATGAGGTCAGGAGTTCAGGACCAGCCTGGCCAAGATGGTGAAACCCTGTCTCTACTAAAAATAGAAAAAATGAGCCAGGCATGGTGGTAGGCACCTGTAATCCAAGCAACTTGGGAAGCTGAGGCAGAGAATTGCTTTAACCTGGGAGGTGGAGGTTTTGTTGCAGTGAGCCTAGACCGCACCACTGCACTCCAGCCTGGGCGACAGACCAAGACTCTATCTCAAAAAATAAAAATAAAAAGCAAATACCAAGCAAATTGTCTTGATCATGGACAAGGAGAAGTGGGCCATGCACACCTGGGACCAGCTAGCTCATAAATCTATGATAAAAGTGTCAGATTTGAACTTGATTGTCAGTTGTATTTGAGATGACTGCCCCTCACTAGGGACAGGCAGGTGAGTTCAAATGAGGTTCTGGTGTTCTTCTTTGAACTCTGGGCATTTCTTTGAGTCTGAAAATATTAGAAATTCATGGCACTACCAGAGACCTGGGAGGGTTTCGTCAGTGATAGCATCCATCACACAAGCAAGAATGTTAATATGGTTGAGCACCGTGGCTTATGCCTGTAAACCCAGCACTTTGGGAGGCCAAGGTGGGAGGATCACTTGAGCCCAGGAGTTTGAGACCAGCCTGGGTAACCTAGAGAGACCCTGTCTCCACAAGAAAATAAAAAAATCAGCTGGGCATGGTGGTGCATGCCTGTAGTCCAAGCTACTTGGGTGGCTGAGGTGAGAGGATCACTTGAGCCTGGGAGGTCAAGGCTGTAGTGAGCTGTGATGGTGCCACTGCACTCCAGCCTGGGTGAACGAGTGAGACCTCATCGCTTAAAAAATAATAATAAAAAAAGAAGCTGAGGCCTTTGGGGAGGTGATTAGTGATGAGGGTGGAGCGCTCAGGCTGGGATTAGTGCTTATATAAAATAAGCCCAAGAGAGCTTGTTTGTCTCTTCTACTATGTGAGGACACAGTGAGAGGGCACCATCTAGGAAATGGGCCCTCGATAGACACCGAATCTGTCTGTGCCATGATCTTGGACTTCACAGCTTCTAGAAAATGTGGAAAATAAATATTTTTCCTTCCTTCCTTCCTTTTCTTTCTTTTGTTTTTTTGAGACGGAGTTTTGCTCTTGTTGCCCAGGCTGGAGTGCAAGGGTGTGATCTCAGCTCCCTGCAACCTCCAGCTCCTGGGTTCAAGCGATTCTCCTGTGTCAGCCTCCTGAGTAGCTGGGATTACAAGCATGCGCCACCATGCCCAGCTAATTTTTTGTATTTTCAGTAGAGGCAGGGTTTCACCATGTTTGTCAAGCTGGTCTCAAACTCCTGACCTTGTGATCCACCCACCTCGGCCTCCCAAAGTGTTGGAATTAGAGGCATGAGCTACAGTACCCAGCCAATATTTGTTGTTTATAAGCCATCCAGTTTATGGCATTTTGCTATAAGGAGCCTGAATGGACTAAGACAGAAGGAGAGGAATGCAATTGTATGAGAGCATATAACAAAGGAACTTGAACGTGACCTAAGCTGTCATGTGTCATGGAGAGAGGAAATCCTGAATTCCCCTTGCCTTACTCCTGAGGCCCACGCCAGCCATGTCCACACATGCCTGGGAACATGTCAATGGAAAACACACGCTTCCCAGTCAAAACTCCCTTCATTTAGTCTTACTGTGTGCCCAGGAACAATGGAGAGCTGTACCTCTACCCAAGCATACAAACTCACGTGATACAGAGGGCTTAACTTTTTTTTTTTTTTTTTTTTTTTTTTTTTGAGACGGAATCTTGCTCTATCACCCAGGCTGGAGTACAGTGGCGCAATCTTGGCTCGCTGCGACCTCCACCTCCTGGATTCAAGCGATTCTCCTGCCTCAGCCTCCCGAGTAGCTGGGACTACAGGTGCACACCACCACTCCTGGCTAATTTTTTGTGTGTTTTTAGTAGAGATGGCGTTTCACCATGTTGGTCAGGCTGGTCTCAAACTCCTGACCTCAAGTGATCCACCTGCCTTGGCCTCCCAAAGTGCTAGGATTACAGGCATGAGCCACTGCGCCCGGCCAGGACTTAACTTTTTAAACTTCATAATCAGCAGGGTGTGATGGCTCACACCAGTAATCCCAGCACTTTAGGAGACCAAGGTGGGTGGATTGTTTGAGCCCAGGAGTTTGAGAGCAGCCTGGGTAACATGATGAAACACTGTCTTTACAAAAAATACAAAAAATTAGCCAGGCGTGGTGGCGCACGACTGTTGTCCCAGCTGCTCAGGAGGCTGAGGCAGGCGAATCACTTGAACTTGGGAGGTGGAGAATGCAATGAGCTGTGATTGCGCCACTGCACACCAGCCTGGGCGACAGAGTGAGACCCTGTCTCAAAGTAATAAAATAAAATAAAACGAAACAAAATAAAAATTTCACAATCAAACCTGCCATGTAATGTATGAAGATATTCTCTAGATCTTCATGCTGATACTATGTACTTAGCATTATCTGTCCCATAACAATGTATCCCATGCTATTGGCAGGATACCTGGGATTCCTTGTGAACAAGGCTAACCCCACGCAAAACTGAGGCTGATAAATTTTCTCTTTGGGATCCCCCCTTCTTGGCAGATACTTTGCTGTGCTTGCCCCTGGAACAAGTTTAGTGCATTTGATTTTCTTCCCATCTTTCCATCAAATGTGCACCACAGTCCTCAGAGTTGGAAAGAAATATTCTGCTTTATACTGAGTTACTACTAATTTTATCATTCAGTCCTTCAGGCCTGCTTCCCAGTTCCAAAAGGATTGAGGCTGTTTGGAGATACTAATTCCTGCAATTTGGAACCTTCCTTTTTATTTATCTTCCAGTCTCTTTAAATCGTACTGTCTCTCCTTTAACAGTGGCACAACCAGGCGAAGGACCCAGATGTGTGGACCCCAGGCCTCCTCTGCTCTCTTTCATTGAGTTAAAAAGCTAGTTGGTTGGGTGTGGTGGCTCGCGCCTGTAATCCCAGCACTTTAGGAGACCGAAGCAGGTGGATCACCTGAGGTCAGGAGTTCGAGACCAGCCTGGCCAACATGGGGAAACTCTGTCTCTACTAAAAATACAAAAAATTAGCTGGGTGTGGTGGTGGGTGCCTTTAATCCCAGCTACTCCGGAGGCTGAGGCAGGAGAATCACTTGAACCCAGGAGGCAGAGGTTGCAGTGAGCTGAGGTTACGCCATTGCACTCCAGCCTGGGCAACAAGAGTGAAACTCCATCTGAAAGAAAGAAAGAAAAAGCTAGCTGACATACAATTATTCATATGTATTCTTTTTTTTTTAATTAAAAAAAATTTTTTTGAGATAGAGTCTCATTCTGTTGCCCAGGCTGGAGTGCAATGGCGCGACCTCGGCTCACTGCAACTTTGGCTCACTGCAACCTCTGCCTCCCTGGTTCAAGTGATTCTCTTGCCTCAGCCTCCTGAGTAGCTGGGATTACAGGCCTGTGCCACCACGCCTGGCTAATTTTTGTATTTTTAGTAGAGACGGGGTTTTGCCATGTTGGCCAGGCTGGTCTCGAACTCCTGACCCCAGGTGATCCGCCTGCCTTGGCCTCACAAAGTGCTAGGATTACAGGCAGGAGCCACTGTGCCTGGTCAAAAAAATTTTTTTCTTTATAGAGACAAGGTCTCACTGTGTTGCCCAGGCTGGTATCAAACTCCTGAGCTCAAGTGATCCTCCTGGCCTCGGCCTCCCAAACTGCTAGGCTTACAGGTGTGAGCCACCACACCCAGCCTGTACCTATTCATTTAAAAATTAATTGTATCCTGTCTCTAGCTTTCAGACATGACACTTATTTACTTATTCTTCCACTGGTTATTGCTCTTATTCAGAGAACCCTGAAGGATTGGTAATATCCTAAAACCAAGGACTGTCTCTGTTATGGCTGACTTATGTTCCCCCTCCCCCAAATTCATATGTGGAAGCCCTAACCCCCAGTACCGCAGAATGTGACTGTATTTAGAAATAGGGCTGTTAAAGACGTGATAAAGTTAAAATAGGGTCATGAGGCTGGGTCCAATTCCAAACTGACTGATGTCTTTAATTAATTAATTAATTTTGAGTCAGAGTCTCACTCTGTCGCCCAGGCTGGAGTGCAGTGGCGCAATCTCGGCTCACTGTGACCTCCACCTCCTGTGTTCAAGCAATTCTCGTGCCTCGGCCTCCTGAGTAGCTGGGACTACAGGCATGTGCCACCACAACTGGCTAATTTTTGTATTTTTAGTATAGACAGGGTCTCACTATGTTGCCCAGGCTGGTCTTGAACTCCTGGCCTCAAGTGGTCCTCCCAAATGCTGCCTCCCAAAATGCTGGGATTACAGGCCTGAGCCACCATGCCTGGCCAAGAAGAGGAAATTTAGACACAGAGAGACAGAAGGGATGTGTATGCATAGATAACAGAACATGTGAGGACACAGTGAGTAGGCGGCGGACTGCAAGCCAGGGAGAGAGGCCTCAGAAGAAATCAAACCTGCCAACACCTTGATCTTAGACTTCCAAGCCTTCAGCATTGTAAGAAAATAAATTTCTGTTGTTTAAGCCACCCAGTCTGTGGCACTTTGCTATGGCAGCCTGCGCAGACAAACACAGCCTCCAGTGCCTTAATTTCAGACCACTCCCTTTTTAGCCCAGAGGGAGGAACTACGATTTGACACGGGGGAGTGGGCTTTGCAAAGCTGTCCACCTCACACCCAAAGCACAGCCTGGTTTGGCAGACAGACCTAACAAGCCCAGGCCTGGGATGTGTCTCACGGGTGCAGCATTCTGTTTCTTTTTTCAGGGTGTCATTTCTGAGGGTTTCAAATCCTTCTACTCAGAAATGAGCTCGGGGACAGGCAACATCCTGGTGAGGCTCCAGACTTCTGCGGAGGACTCCACTGAGAGAGCTGTGGGAGTCTCAGGGTGGGTAAAAGGAAAGGACTCGGGGATGCACCCAGGAGGACTGTGGGAGAGGCGAGACAACAGGAGTTAGGGAGGGCAGAGGAAGGGACACACTCTCTCAAGCGAGAAACTGGCTTTCTTTCAACAGGCATAGCACGGAAGGGCATTTCATGAGGTCTAGAGGCATAGAAGGGGCCAGGTGTGGTGGCTCATGCCTGTAATCACAGCACTTAGGGAGGCCAAGGCAGGAGTGAGAGGTAACAGCGTGCTGGCAGTTCTCACAGCCCTCGCTCGCTCTCCGCGCCTCCTCTGCCTGGGCTCCCACTCTGGCGGCACTTGAGGAGCCCTTCAGCCCACCGCCGCACTGTGGGAGCCCCTTTCTGGGCTGGCCAAGGCGGGAGCCGGCTCCCTCAGCTTGCAGGGAAGTGTGGAGGGCGAGGCGAGAGCGGGAACCCGGGCTGCGCGCGGCGCTTGCGGGCCAGCTGGAGTTCCGGGTGGGCGTGGGCTTGGCGGGCCCCGCACTTGGAGCAGCCGGCAGGCCCTGCCGGCCCCGGGCAATGAGGGGCTTAGCGCCTGGGCCAGCGGCTGCGGAGGGTGTACTGGGTCCCCCAGCAGTGCCAGCCCACCGGCGCTGTGCTCGATTTCTCGCCGGGCCTTAGCTGCCTTCCCGCGGGGCAGGGCTCGGGACCTGCGGCCCGCCGTGCCTGAGCCTCCCACCCCCTCGGTGGGCTCCTGTGCGGCCCGAGCCTCCCGGATGAGCGCCGCCCCCTGCTCCACGGTGCCTAGTCCCATCGACCACCCAAGGGCTGAGGAGTGCGAGTGCATGGCGCGGGACTGGCAGGCAGCTCCACCTGCAGCCCCAGTGCGGGATCCACTGGGTGAAGCCAGTTGGGCTCCTGAGGCTGGTGGGGATGTGAACCTTTATGTCTAGCTCAGGGATTGTAAATACACCAATGGGCACTCTGTGTCTAGCTCAAGGTTTGTAAATACACCAATCAGCACCCTGTGTCTAGCTCAGGGTTTGTGAATGCACCAATCAACACTCTGTATCTAGCTACTCTGGTGGGGCGTTGGAGAACTTTGTGTGGATACTCTGTATCTAACTAATCTGATGGGGACGTGGAGAACCTTTGTGTCTAGCTCAGGGATTGTAAACGCACCAATCAGTGCCCTGTCAAAACAGACCACTTGGCTCTACCAATCAGCAGGACATGGGTGGGGCCAGATAAGAGAATAAAAGCAGGCTGCCCGAACTAGCAGTGGCAGCTGGCTGGGGTCCCTTTCCACGACGTGGCGGCTTTGTTCTTTTGCTCTTTGCAATAAATCTTGCTACTGGTCATTCTTTGGGTCCACACTGCTTTTATGAGCTGTGATACTCACCGCGAAGGTCTGTAGCTTCACTCCTGAAGCCAGTGAGACCACGAGCCCACTGGGAGGAACAAACAACTCCAGATGCGCCGCCTTAAGAGCTGTAACACTCACCACCAAGGTCTGCAGCTTCACTTCTGAGCCAGCGACACCACGAACCCACCAGAAGGAAAAAACTCCGAACACATCCGAACATCAGAAGGAACAAACTCCAGACGCGCCACCTTAAGAGCTGTAACACTCACCGCGAGGGTCCGCAGTTTCATTCTTGAAGTCAGTGAGACCAGGAACCCACCAATTCGGGACACAGGAGGATCACTTGAGCCCAGGAGTTCAAGACCAGCCTGGGCCATATGGCGAGACCCTGTCTTTAAAAAAAAAAAAAAAACATAGGAAACACTGAAAGGGAATGATGTCAGGTGAGTTGAGAACTAATGGTAATTCAGGGGTGGGCGTGGGTGTCTGGGCTTCCAGCCCTGTTCTGCTTCTCTTTATAAGCCAGTGGTATGGCCTGAATATTTGTGACCCTCCAAAATTCCCCTGTTGAAACCAGAGAACCAAGGTGATGGTATTAGAAGGTGATGGTGTTAGAAGGTGATGGTGTCATGAGGGCTCTGCCCTCGTGAATGGGAATAATGCCCTTAGAAAGGGGCTCCAGAGAGCTGTCGTTTTCTTTCGCCAGGTGAAGATACATAGAAAGTGCCATTTACAGGGAATGGGTGTTCATTAGATCCCAAATCTGCGGGCACCTTGATCTTGGATTTCCCAGTCTCCAGAACTGTAAGCAATAAATTCCTAGTCTTTTTATTTTTTGCTTTTTTTTTTTTTTTTTGACGGTCTCACTGCCACACAGGCTGGAGCACAGTGGCGCAGTCTCGGCTCACTGCAACCTCTCCCTCCTGGGTTCAAAGGGTTCTCATGCCTCAGCCTTCCAAGTAGCTGGGACTACAGGTGCATGCCACCACGCCTGGCTACTTTGTGTGTGTGTGTGTGTGTATATATATATATATATATTTTGTTTTTTGGTAGAGATGAAGTTTCACCATGTTTGCCAGGCTGATATCGAACTCCTGGCCTCAAGTGTTCCACCCGCCTCGGTCTCCCAAAGTGCTGAGATTACAAGCGTGAGCCACCACACCAGGCTCTATGATTTTTTTTTATTTTTATTGAGACAGGGTCTCACTTTGTCACCCAGGCTAGAGTGTGCTGGTATGATCACGGCTCACTGTAGCCTCAATCTTCTGGGTTCAGGTGATCTTCCTGCCTCAGCCTCCCCAGTAGCTGGGACCACAGGCTCATGCCACCATGGCTGGCTAATTTAATTTTTTTTTTTTTTTTTTTTTTTTGAGAGTGGAGTCTTGCTCTGTCGTCAGGCTGGAGTGCAGTGGCGCAATCTCGGCCCACTGCAACTTCTGTCTCCCGGGTTTAAGCGATTCTCCTGCCTCAGCCTCCCAAGTAGCTGGGATGACAGGCATGCACCACCACGCCCAGCTAATTTTTTTTGTATTTGTAGTAGAGACGGGGTTTCACCATGTTGGCCATGATGGTCTCGGTCCCTCACCTCGTGATCTGCCTGCCTCGGCCTTCCAAAGTGTTAAAAAATGTTTTATTTGTAGAGATGGAGTCTTGCTATGTTGCCCAGGCTGGTCTCGAACTCCCAGCCTCAAGCAATCCTTCTGCTTTGGCCTCCGAAAGTGCTGGGATTACAGGCATACACTACCAGATCCAGCCAAATTTCTATTATTTATAAATTATCCAGTCAAAGGTATTTTGTTACAGCAACCCAAGTAGACTAATACATTCAGGAAGCTAATTTAATCATAATTCATAATTATTATCCATGACATCTATTACTCAATTATTAATCATCCATTAATATTAATTATCTAGTAATCATTAACCATTGCATCTATTAATCATGTGAACCTAAATAACAGAGCTTTTCTAAAAGAAAAAGGTATTTACTCAGGAACAGAGCATTGCAATAGGAATGCAGTTGTCACAGTAAACTCTGTGTATATTCCGGGAGGCAAAGGGAGACAAAGCTTTTTTTGTTTTGTTTTGTTTTGTTTTTTGAGACGGAGTTTTGCTCTTGTGGCCCAGGCTGGAGTCTGCAGTGGCGCGATCTCAGCTCACTGCAGCCCCTGCCTCCCACGTTCAAGCGATTCTCCTGCCTCAGCCTCCCGAGTAGCTGGGATTACAGGCATGCGCCACCACACCCGGCTAATTTTGTATTTTTAGTAGAGGCGGGGTTTCTCCATGTTGGTCAGGCTGGTCTTGAACTCCCAACCTCAGTGATCTGCCCGCCTTGGCCTCCCAAAGTGCTGGGATTACAGGCTTTAGCCACCACTCCCGGCCTGTCAAAGGTTTTTAAACAAAAAATGAGGAGCAGTACATAATTGTTTTGAGATAATTATTCTTGGCTACAAAGATCAGTAACGGGTATGATGCCAGTTTGAAGTTGGATAGGCAATTGCTGGGAAGATGTTCTTGCAGAAGTATTTTTGGTGTATGCAAGGTTGTGGGTTTTGCAGAGTTGGAGTCTTTTGTAATAGTTTTTGTGATCAGGCACCCAACCCTGAGAATCTTCTCTTCATGGCCTTCCCCATCTCTATCTGTCAGGGTTTTCTTTTTTAAAAATTTTTATAATTTTTTTTTTATAAACAGAGTCTTGCTCTGTCACCCAGGCTGGAGTGCAGGGGCCAGATCATAGCTCACTGCAGCCTTGAACTGAGACTACAGGTGTGTGCTACCACATCCAACTAATTTTCTTCATCTTCTTTTGGGGGGGAGGGGGACAGGGTCTTGCTATGTTGTCCAGGGTGTTCTTGAACTCCCGTGTCAGGGTTTATTTATTTATTTTTTTCAGTTCCATTCTTTTTTGAGACAGGGTCTTGCTCTGTCTCCCAAGCTGGAATGTGCAGCAGTATGATCTCAGCTCACTGCAGCCTCAACCTCCCAGGCTCAGGTGATTCTCCCACCTCAGCCTCCTGAGAAACTGGGATTACAGGCACGCACCACCACACTAGGCTAATTGTATTTTTAGTAGAGACAGGCTTTTACTATGTTGCCCAGGCTGGTCTCGAACTCCTGAACTCAATATGCCCTCCTCGGCATCCCAGAGTGTAGGGATTACAGGCTTGAGCCACCGTGCCAGGCCTGGTGACTCCATTTTGACTCTGACAACTTTCACAACCTTTACCATTTCTTTTCTCCAGGCTTCTTGTATGATAAACTCATTCTTTAATTGAAAAAAATATTTACTGAGAGGAGACAGCCCCTTCTCTGCAGTGCTGCCTGTTGCACTCTTGCAACGTATTTTCATGCCTTCTCTAATAAATGCCTTTCTTTTCTTTTTTCTTTTTTTGAGATAGAGTCTCCCTCCATCGCCCAGGCTGGAATGCAGTGGCGCGATCTCGGCTCACTACAGCCTCTGCCTCCTGGGTTCACGCGATTCTCCCTCCTCAGCCTCCAGAGAAGCTAGGATTACAGCCATGCACCACCACCCCTAGCTAATTTTTGTATTTTTAGTGGAGATGGGGTTTCACCATGTTGGCCAGGCTGGTCTTGAACACCTGACCTCAAGTGATCCACTGGCCTTGGCCTCCCAAAGTGCTGGGATTACAGGTATGAGCCACCATGCCCAGACCTAATAAATGCCTTTCTTTACCTAAAAAAAAAAAAAAAAAATTAAAAAAAATGGGAAAAAAAATTTACTGACTACAATTGCTTTGCCAGGTACTTAGCAGTGGAGGAGGCAGTGCTTGCCATCTTGCAGCTTGAAGTCTGGGTGTGCAGAGAGGCGCTGGGCAAACACACCCATGCTGCGTGTTTGGGAAGGGGCAGTAGAGGGCGCTGTGGGCACACGGGGACTGAGAACTACTGGGTGGGGAGGCCTCGGGGAGCAAGCTAAGACCCTAAGGATGAAAAGGAGTGGGAGGGAGAGAACCGTGTCATGAAACCCCTAAAGTAATTGAGTGCCAGCACAGGACGCTGAAGAAGCACAGAGAGTCCGAGGCTGAGACAGCAAGTAGAGACCTCCTGGAGGAACCTTCTAGAAAAAGTTAAGGGTTTTAGACTCTTCCTAAGGGAAAACGGGAAGCTATGGGGGATTTTAAGAGAGGAGTGACTTGACGTTCTGTGCTTGTTGGGTGGATCATGAATTAATTGTAGGAGCCAGACTTGGAAGGCTCCTGCAGCAGTAATTCAAGCCAGAGATGATGGTGGCTTGGGAGAGTGTGACTTCTGTGGGGACTGAGAAGTGACAGGCTTAGAACTTCCAGGATATTCCAAGAGGTCTGCTATGGGAGTAAGGAAGAGGGAGGAGTGAAGGATGACTCTCGGATTTCTTTTTTTTGTTTGTTTTCTTTTCTTTTTTTCTTTTCTTTTTTTTTTTTTTTTTTGAGACCAAGTCTTGCTCTGTCACCCAGGCTGGAGTACAATGGCGTGATCTCAGCTCACGGCAACCTCTGACTCCCGGGTTCAAGCAATTCTCCTGCCTCAGCCTCCCAAGCAGCTGGGACTACAGGTGCTCACCCACCATGCCCGGCGAATTTTTGTATTTTTAGTAGACACGGGGTTTCGCCATGTTGGCCAGACCGGTCTCGAACTCCTGACCTCAGGTGATCTGCCCACCTTGGCCTCCCAAAGTGCTGGGATTGCAGGCATGAGCCATTGCACGCAGCCGACTCTCAGATTTCCAAGTAGACCGTGGAGAGCAAGGGAGAAGAGGACCTGGCCCAGCGCGTTGGCTCACACCTGAAATCTCAGCACTTTGGGAGGCTTTGGTGGGGAGAGGGGATTGTTTGAGGCTGGGAGTTCAAGTTTGAGACCAGCCTGGGCAACATGCGAGACTTCATCCCTACAAAACATAAAAATTAGCCAGGTGTGGTGGCATGTGCCTTTAGTTCCAGCTACTCAGGAGGCCAAGGAGGGAGGATCACTTGAGCGCAGGAGATTGAGGCTGCAGTGAGCTATCATGGCACCACAACTCTACAGCTTGGACAACAGAGCAAGATCTTGTTTCTGGGGGGGAAAAAAAAAAAGGTGAGACCTAGTCTCTACAATAATAATAATAATAATAATTTATAAAGTTAGCCTGGTGTGGTGGTGCGCACCAGTAGTCCCAGCCACTTGTGGGGCTGAGATGGGAGAACTGCTTGAGCCCAGGAGTTCAAGCCTGCAGTGAGCCGTAATTACACCACTGCACTCCAGCCTGGGCAATCAAGCAAGACCTTGTCTCTAAGAAAAAAAAAAAAAAAAAAAGGCCGGGTGCGGTGACTCAGCCTGTAATCCCAGCATGCACTTTGGGAGGCTGAGGCAGGTGGATCACGAGGTCGGGAGTTCAAGACCAGCCTGGCCAACATGGTGAAACCCCGTCTCTACTAAAAATACAAAAATAAGCTGGGCATGGTGGTGTGCACCTATAGTCCCAGCTACTTGGAAGGCTGAGGCAGGAGAATCACTTGAACCCGGGAGGCGGAGGTTGAAGTGAACCAAGATCATGCCACTGCATTCCAGGGTGGCAACAGAGCAAGACTCTGTCAAAGAAAAAAAAAAAAAAAAAAAGAAAAAAAAAGCCCCAAAACAGATCTGTCTAGGAGGCTTGCTAAGGGGAAGTGGAAGCAGTACAGCTCAATAGCATAAACCTCAAAGGGACAGGGTTAAAAAACAACAAAGACTATGGATAGGCCAGGTGCAGTGGCTCACTTCTGTAATCCCAGCACTTTGGGTAGCTGAGGCAGGAGGATGGCTTGAGCACAGGAGTCTAAGAGTAGCCTGGGCAACATGGCAAAAACCCCATCTCTACAAACAACAATAACAACAAAACACTAGAAAAATTAGCCGGGTTTTGTGGTGCACACCTATAGTCCCAGCTACTCAGGAGGCTGAGGTGGGAGGATCGCTTGAGTCCAGAAGGCTGAGGCTGCAATGAACCAAGATTGTACCACTGCACTTCAGCCTGGACAATAGAACAAGACCCTGTCTCAAAAAAAAAAAATAGTATGGAGAAGAAATAGTGACAATATCTGGAAACAGTATTGTCATGCCAAGGTATGGCAGATTGCATTATTGGTCATGATATTTGCTGTCCCTTCAGGAAGGTCCCCAGTGACAGCAGCCTTGGCCATCTGAATGAACCTCGAATGAAACCAGACATTAAAGGATAAATGTTGTAGTGAGACCATATCTCTAAAAAATTTTTTAAAAATTAGCCGGGCTTGGTGGCATGGGCCTGTAATCCCGGCGACTCAGGTGGCTGAAGTGGGAGGATCGTTTGAGGCCTGAACTCTTGAGACCAGCCTGGGCAACATAGCAAGACCATCTCTCTCTCTCCCCCCTCCCCCCTCCCCCTCCCCCCTTCCCTCTCCCCTCTCCCCTCTCTCACACAGACACACACACACACACACACACACACACACACACACACACACACACACGACAAATGTATCCTTCCAGTTGTATAAAATGTTCAGAGAGGCAAATCCATAGAGATATAAAGTAGGTTATTGGTTGCCAGGGGCTGGGGGAAAGGGAAAGCAGGAAGTGGCTGCTGATGGGTACAGAGTTTCTCTTCAGGGTGGTGAAAATGTGCTTGAGTTAGTGGTGATGGTCACCCAACATTGTGAATACATGAAAACCCACTGAGTTGTAGACTTCAAAACGGCAAATTTTGGCCGGGCACGGTGGCTCACGCCTGTAATCCTAGCACTTTTGGGAGGCCAAGGCAGGAGAATAACTTGAGGTCAGGAGCTCAAGATCAGCCTGACCAACATGGAGAAACCCTGTCTCTACCAAAAATCCAAAAATTAGCCGGGCCTGGTGGTGCACGCCTGTAGTCCCAGCTACTCAGGAGGCTGAGGCAGGAGAATCGCCTGAACCCGGGAGGCAGAAGTTGCAGTGAGCTGAGATCACGCCATTGCACTCCAGCTGGGTGACAGAGCCGGACTCCGTCTCAAAAACAACAACAAAAAAACCTACCAAACAAAAAACAAACAAAACGACGAGTTTTATAGTACGTGAATTATATCTCAATTTAACAAGTAAAATATATACAATTTTTATTTGCCAATAAAAATAAAAAATTATAGAACAGTGACATGCTTGTCATACTGAATTTATGGGAGTTTCTTAAATCTGCTACACATGTCGCCTCTGAATCTTTGCACATGCAGTTCATTCTGCTTAGTAACAAATGCTTCAATGCCACCTCTCCTCTTTTTCCTAATGGTAAAATTCAGGCTATACACTAATCTACAAAGAGAGAGCATTTCAGGTGAGAATTGTGTTATCAGCAATTTATTTAAAAAATTTTTTTTAAGACAGAGTATTGCTCTGTCGCCCAGGCTGGAGTTCAGTGTCACCGTTCTAGCTCACTGCAGCCTCAACCTCCTAGGCTCAAGCAATTCTGCCTGAGCCTCCCAAAGTGCTGGGATTATAGGCATGAGCCACCATGCTGGGCCCTCACAGGCACTGTGGTCCATGTTACTGCTAGATCCCTGGGAGTCCTGGGTTTCTCCCAAATGAGCAGACTGAGCCATGGCCCCAGAGTGTGATCTGGGCTTCACTGTGGAGATGTGGCCCTGCAGAGTGGCACGGCTTTGCAGCTGCACTCTTTGTAAAAGTCACTGGGGACGTAGGACTACAACCAGCGGGCCTGGGCAGTTGTCTGAAAAACCAGAGGGCTGACCTTGTCTTGTATGTCCTTTGAGTGGCATTTGTTACTAAGAAGCTCAAGGCCAGCACTCTGCTCCATAGACCAGCTCCTTCCCAGGTGGTACAACCCCAGGCCTGGGAATGTTACACTGGCTTTCCCAGCAACTCATAGCCAAAGTCAGGGAGATGAAAGGCATTGTTGCTTAGTGGCTTGTAGCTCTCTTGACATAATCAGTGGTCTTTCCTTTGGGGAAAACCCTATTCTCTGAGTGACACACAAGAACTGGCAGCACTAGCTGCTTAGTGAGGTGCATTTTGGGAAGACGGATCTGCCCCGGAATAGCTAAAGGAGGCAATCAGGGGCATTAAGTGAGGGACTTCCCAGGCAAAGGCTTGCTTTATGCCAGATCACTGGAGTCACCGAACCTATTACTCCTTTCCTTTCCTTCCCTTTCCCTTTCCCTCTCCCTTTCCCTTTCCCTCTCCCTTTCCCTTCCCCTTCTGCTTCTCTTCTTTTCTTTTCTTTTTTTTTTTTTTTTGAGACAGAGTCTTGCTGTGTCACCCAGGCTGGAGTGCAGTGGCGCGATCTTGGCTCACTGCAACCTCCGCCTCCTGGGTTCAAGCGATTCTCATGCCTCAGCCTCCTGAGTACCTGGGATTACAGGCACCTGCCATCACACCTGGCTAATTTTTGTGTTTTTAGTGGAGACGAGGTTTCGCCATGTTGACTGGTCTTAAACTCCTGACATCAGGTGATCCGCCTGCCTTGGCCTCCGAAAGTGCTGGGATTACAGGCGTGTGCCACCATGCCTGGCCCTATTACACCTTTTTAACCTTAAAACAATACTATGAGCTGGGCGCGGTGGCTCACGCCTGTAATCCTGGCACTTCAGGAGGCTGAGGCTAGGGGATCATTTGAGCCCAGGAATTTGAGGCCAGCCTGGGCAACATGGCAAGACCCCGTCTCTACAGAAAATACAAAAATCAACTGGGCATGGTGGCTCAGGCCTGTAATCCCAGCTACTTGGGAGGCCGAGGCACAAGAATCCCTTAAACCTGGGAGGTGGAGGTTTCAGTGAGCTGATACTGCACCAGTGTACTCCAGCCTGGGTGACAGAGCGAGCGAGACCCTGTCTAAAAAAAAAACCAACAAAAAACCCCAACACTGTGAGTTAAGTGCCATTTACCACATTTCAAAGAATAGAACTCTAACAGCTAACATTTCAATTATTTATTATTTAAAAAAAAATTTTTTTTTTCTTTGAGACAGAGTTCTAGTCTTATTGCTCAGGCTGGAGTGCAATGGCACGATCTCGGCTCACTGCAACCTCCGCCTCCTGGGTTCAAGTGATTCTCCTGCCTCAGCCTCCCGAGTAGCTGGGATTACAGGCATGCGCCACCATGCCCAGCTTATTTTGTATTTTTAATGGAGATGGGGTTTCTCCATGTTGGTCAGGCTGGTCTTGAACATCTGACCTCAGGTGATCTGCTGTCTCGGCCTCCCAAAGTGCTGGGATTACAGGCATGAGCCACCGCACCCAGCAAAAAGTTTTATTTTTAGATACAGGGTCTTGTTCTGTCTTCCAGGCTGGAGTGCAGTGGTGCAATCATAGCTCACTGTAGTCTTCAACTCCTGGGCTCAAACGATCTTTCTACCTCAGCCTCCCAGGTAGCTGAGACTACAGGTGTGCTCCCCCCACCCACACACACCTAGCTGATTTTTAATTTAATTTGATTTTTTGTAGAGATGGGGTCTTACTATGTTGCTCAGACTGGTCTCGAACTCCTGGGCTCAAGTGATCCATCTCTGCTTCCCAACGTGCTGGGATTGCAGGTGTGAGCCACTGCCCCCAGCCCACCTAATATTTCAGTTCTGTCTAAAATCTCCAGCTCTGTACTCTGGACTGAACATTCACTGCCTCAGTTAATCCTCCATGCAATGAATGAGGCACTGTTGTCAACATCATTCTTCTGTAGGAAAAGAATTCAGGCCTGGTGAGCTCAATCTCTTTCCCAAGGCCAAACAGCCAGCAGCTATCTCACCAAGCAGCTTGACACCAGCGCGCTCACTTGTAGCCACAACACGCCATAGCTTCTGCTCTGCTATTCAGCGGAAACTCAGATCATCCTAAACTTGGCCAAAGTTGAATAAGAATTGGCTGGGGCTGCATTTGAACATCTTTTTTCCTCCCAGCTTTATTAAAGCATAACTTAAAAATAAAAATTGTATATACTTAAGATATACAAGGTGATTTCTTTCTTTCTTTTTTGAGATGGCGTCTCGCTCTGTTGCCCAGGCTGGAGTACAATGGCGTGATCTCGGCTCACTGCAACCTCCGCCTCCCAGGTTCAAGCAATTCTCCTGCCTCAGCCTCCCGAGTAGCTGGGACTACAGGTGCGCCACCATGCCTGGCCAACTTTTGTATTTTTAGTAGAGATGGAGTTTCACTATGTTGGCCAGGCTGGTCTCAAACTCCTGACCTCGTGATCCACCCGTCTCGGCCTCCCAAAGTGCTGGGATTACAGGCATGAGCCACCACGCCCAGCCTTTTTTTTTTTCTTTCTTTCTTTTTTAAATGAGACAGGATCGATCTCTGTAGCCCAGGCTGGAGTGCAGTGGTGTGATCACGACTTTACTGCAGCCTCAAACTCCCAGGCTCAAAGTGATCCTCCCGCCTCAGCCTTCCAAATAGCTGGGACTCTAGGCGTGCACCACCATATCCTGTCAATTTTTAAATTTCTTTTTTTGTGGAAATGGGGTCTCATTGTGTTGCCCAGGCTGATCTTGAACTCCTGGGCTCAAGCAATCCTCCCACCTTGGCTTCCCAAATTGCTGGGATTATAAGTGTGAGTCATTGTGCCTAACCTACAATATGATTTTTAAAATACATTGTGAAATGATGATCACAATCAAACTAATTGACACATTCATCACCCCATACAGTCACCTGTTTATGTGTGTGGTGAAAATATGTAAGGCCTACTCTGTTAGCAAATTTCCAGTATATAATACAGTATTGTTAACTACAGTCAGTCACCAAGTTTTACATGAGGTCTGCAGAACCTATTCATCCTATAGCTGCAAGTTTGTATCCTTTGACCAATATCTTCCCATGTCCCTCCTTCCCCCTGAATCCCTGTGGCCACCCTTCTCTCTATGTAAATTTGGTTTCATCAAAAGTCATTTTACATGTATTCAACAAGGGTAGGATGAGTGTCTACTATAGGGAAGATATTGTGCTCAAAATGTGGAATCTGAAGATGGAAAGCCACAGTTTCTGCCCAACAGAAGGTTTAGCATGGTGGAAAGACAGTTGAGTAAACATTTACCATCGAGCTCATGGAAGGGAGGTACTGAATTCAATAGGATCCCACACAGCCTAGAGTTTGCCTCAGAAGTCTTCACAAAGGAATTCATGCTGGAGAAAAACTGAAGAAGACCTGTCAGAAATCACCTGATTTGAAAAGAAAAAATGTTGCAGTAGAAAGGGTGGGGAGTGGGGAAAGCAAAGTCAGGCTGGGCACAGTGGCTTATGCCTGTAATCCTAGGACTTTTGGAGGCCAAGTGGGGAGGATCACTTGAGCCCAGGGTTTCAAGACTAGCCTTGGCAACATAGTGAGACCACATCTCTACAGAAAATTAAAAAAAAAAAATTAGCCAAATGTGGTAGCAGGCATTTATGGTCCCAGCTACTCAGGAGGCTGAGATGGGAGGGTCGCTTGATCCCGGGAGGTTGAGGCTACAGTGATCTATGATGGAACCATTGCACTCGGGAGCCTGGGTGACATAGTGAGACTCTGTCTCAACAAAAAAAAAACAAAAAGCAAAATCACCCTTTTAACCAGATAACCTTGCAAGCTTATTAGCCTTTGAATTTAAGGAAAAGCTTGGTAAATGATTGCAGAATCATTTATATCCCCTGATATTATTTTATAAACCATCTCTAATTTTCAAATCAACCACAGCTTTTTCATTTATGGAATTAATCTAAAGCTGTTCCAAGCCTTAAAATGAATTTAAGGCCGGGTTCAGTGACTCACACCTGTAATCTCAACACCGAGGTTGGAGGATCACTTGAGCCCTGGAGTTCAAGGTTACAGTGAGATCTGCCCAAGCTACTGCATTCCAGCCTGGGTGATACAGTGAGACCCTGCTTCTAAAAAATTAAAAAATAAAAGAATTCAAGTATAAATATCTTTAGCAGGAAAGAAAACCTAGCAAGTTTCATTAGCACTGGGAGCGTTATCTTTCTTCTCCTTGGGTGTCAGAAGCGTGAGAACAGTAAATACTATGTAATTCAAAAATACATTTGCTTCAATTTTCTTTGGCCTTCAAATCCAGCTAACATTGAGCTGATCAGAAGTTAACTTCCATTCTTAAAGTGGAAGCACATCTTTTGATCTGATGTTTTCTTCTAAAAAAGGGGTTTGGCTGGGCGGACAGTGGCTCATGCCTGTAATCCCAGCACTTTGGGAGGCTGAGGTGGAAGGATTACCTGAGGCCAAGAGTTCAAGACCAGCCTGAGAAACAGGGCAAGACCCTCTCTCCAAAAAAAAAAAAAAAAAAAAAAATTAGCTGGCCATGGTGGTGTGGGCCTGTAGCCCCAGCTACTTAGGAGACTGAGGTGGGAGGATAGCTTGAGTCCAGGAAGTTGAGGCGTCAGCCAGCTGTGATCGCGCCACTGCACTCCAGCGTGGGTGACAGACCAAAACTCTATCTCTAAAAAGGGGGGCTTAATATGCTTTTTTTTTTTTGGTTTGAGACAGAGTCTCCCTCTGTCGCCCAGGCTGGAGTGCAACAGCATGATCTTGGCTCACTGCAACCTCTGTCTCCCAGGTTCCAGTGATTCTCGTGCCTCAGCCTCCCAAGTAGCTGGGATTACAGGTTCACACCACTCTGTCTGGCTAATTTTTGTATTTTTAGTAGAGATGGAGTTTTACCATGTTGGCCAGGCTGATCTCTAACTCCTGACCTCAGGTGATCTGCCCACCTTGGCCTCCCAAAGTGCTGGGATTACAGGTGTGAGCTACTGCCCCCGTCTAATCTTCTTTTTATCCGGATGAGGGACTAGTGTATTAAAAGCATAGAAAATGGAGAATATGATTTATTTTTTAAAAATTCAAAGATTTATATATTTCTGGAATGTCAAGTTCAGGAGAGGAGATAAAACTGGGCTGTAACTGAGGATAACTTTGAGGAACATTTTATACCTCATTAAAAAGTTGAAATTTCACCCTGGTTGGCTGGTAGGTAACTATGGAAAACTTTTGGCAAGAGTCTGAAATGATCAATTTTATCTACTTATAAAGCTCCTCTCAATGGCAGCCCAGAGGACGGATTGGAGAGGACCAGGAAGATCATAAACAGTCAGTATCAGGCTGGGCCAGGTGGCTCATGCCTGTAATTCCAGCACTTTGGGGGGCTGAGGGAGGTGGATCACCTGAGGTCAGGAGTTCGAGACCAGCCTGGCCAACATGGTGAAACCCCGTCTCTACTAAAAATACAAAATTAGTCAGGCGTGGTGGTGCTTGCCTGTGGCCCCAGTTACTCGGGAGGCTGGGAGAATCGCTTGGACCCAGGAGGCAGAGGTTGCAGTGAGCCAAGATCGCACCACTGCACTCCAGCCTGGGCGACAGAGTGAGACTCTGTTTAAAAAAAAAAAAAAAAAGTATCAATTACAGAGTTACTGTCTCTGAGCTCCAAACGCACCATCCTGTGCCCTGCTTTGTGATGCTGGGACAAGCAAGCCACATTTCTGCTTTGCCAGATGGTTCTATGTTAGGCTCTGGCAAGACAGTTTGCTAGGAGACTGCAGAAGTAGGGTAATCAACTCGTCCCACTTTCCCCAGATCTTTCCCATTTTTAGCACTGAAAGTTCTGCATCCCGGAACCCCTTCCACGGGGGCTGGTCACCTCCAGGAGAAGGGACTTTTGCTTCCTGTCTGCCTGCTTTTTTCGTGAGTGTTACCCCAGCAACACTTCACTTCAGAAGCAGCATCAGCAATTCCTTCCTGTGGCAACCACGGTAAAAGTTCGTGCCCAGTTTCCTCCTCTGTCTCTTCTCCTAACTGACTTGGGCTCCCTCGTGTGGTCCCCCATGGAATCATATGCCCCTTCCTCTTGGGAACTGTGAGTAACAAACTGTCTTTTCCATAGCAATCATCTCCTCATCTGTTACCTCAAAATTTCTTTCATTTTCTTTTTTTTCTTTTCGAGACGGAGTTTTGCTCTTGTTGCCCAGGCTGGAGTGCAATGGCACGATCTTGGCTCACTACAACCTCTGCCTCCCAGGTTCAAGCAATTCTCCTGCCTCAGCTTCCTGAGTAGCTGGGATTACAGGCACCCACCACCACATCCAGCTAATTTTTGTATTTTTAGTACAGACGGGGTTTTACCATGTTGGCCAGGCTGGTCTTGAACTCCTGACCTCAGGTGATCCACCTGCCTTTGCCTCCCAAAGTGCTGGGATTATGGGCATGAGCCACTGCGCCTGGCCTCTCTTTTTTTTCCTTTAGAGACAATGTCTAGCTCTGTCACCCAGGTTGAAGTGCAGTGGTACAATCTCGGCTCACTGTGGTCTCCACTGCATGGGCTCAAGAGATCCTTCCACCTTAGCCTCCTGAGTAGCTGGGACTACAGGCATGCACCAACATGCCTGGCTAATTTTTGTATGTTTTGTAGAGATGTGGATTCACTGTGTTACCCAGACTGGTCTTGAACTCCTGGGCTCAAGCAATCCTTCTGCCTCAGCCTCCCAAAATGGTGGGATTACAGACAGGAACCACTATGCCCAGCCTCAAATTTTCTATTAGTATTACATCTTTTTTTTTTTTTTTTTTTTTGAAACTGAGTCATGCTCTGTTGCCCAGGCTGGAGTGCAGTGGCACGATCTCAGCTCACTGCAAGCTCTGCCTGCCGGGTTCACTTCATTCTCCTGCCTCAGCCTCCCGAGTAGCTGGGACTACAGGTGTGTGCTGCCACGCCCGGCTATTTTTTTTTTTTTTTGTATTTTTTAGTAGAGACAGGGTTTCACCATGTTAGCCAGGATGGTCTCGATCTCCTGACCTTGTGATCTGCCCACCTTAGCCTCCCAAAGTGCTGGGACCGCGCCTGGTCTACGTGATATTTTAAGACAGGAGGGTAAGCACTGAAAACCATTTGGCAATTAAGTATTGATTATTTGGGTGAGAGTGGTGAAGTTACTATTTTAAAAATAGCTTTCCAGCTTCTACAGTACTCCAGGGCACAGTAGGCAGGCCTTGGGAGTAGATGCAGGGCATCCGTTCTCCATATCCACGGTGGAGGGGCAGGGCCCAGTTACCACTGATTTTGCAGAAGATTAGTCGAGCTGAAGTACCAGAGGCAAGCTTGTTCAAGGGCTGTGGCTGGAGGGTTAGATGCTTGGCTGATGAAAAATTGATGCCACAAGAATTCAGGAAAATGGGACTTAGTAGTCTAAGACAGGGATTCCCAACCCCCAGGCTATGGACTGATATGGGTCCATGGCCTGTTAGGAACTGGGCTGCACGGCAGGAGTGAGCAGCAGGTGAGCCAGGGAAGCTGAGCTCCGCCTCCTGTCAGATCAGCGGTGGCATTAGATTCTCATAGGAGCGTGAACCGTACTGTGAACGGTGCAGGCAAGGGACCTAGGTTGCTCGCTCCTTATGAGAAGCTATTGATAAATGTAATGTCATTGAATCATCCCAAAACCATCCCCCCATTCCCACCTCACCCACCCTACCCATGGAAAAATTGTCATCCACAAAACTGGTCCCTGGTGCCAAAAAGGTTGGGGATCGGTGCTCTAAGATGTCAGGGTTTAAAGAATCAATTAATTTGGCTGGGTGCAGTGGCTCACACTTGTAATCCCAGCACTTTGGGAGGCCGAGGCAGGTGGATCACAAGGTCAGGAGTTCGAGACTACTGCGGCCAACCTGGCGAAACCCCGTCTCTACTAAAAATACAAAAATTAGCCAGGCCTGGTGGCAGGCGCCTGTAATCCCAGCTACTCTGGAGGCTGAGGCAGAAGAATCACTTGAACCTGGGAGGCAGAGGTTGTTGTGGGCCTGAAGAGGGTTTTCTTTCTAAATGGTAAGGCAAAACTTTATGTGGAGAAGACTCTAGATGTTTCTAGATGTTTGCCCTTCACTTCCTGCCGGAGACGTGGATGTGCAACCTGGAGATGCAGGAGTTATTTTGCAACGAGGAGGAAGAAAGACACAGGGTTGGATGATGAAGCAGGAGCAGAGGAGCACATCTTATTTTTATTTTTATTTTATTTTTTATTTTTGTTGTTAAAAAAGACAGAGTCTCACTCTATCACCCAGGCTGGAATGCAGTGGCATGGTTATAGCTGAGTTCAGCATCGAACTCCTGGGCTCAAGTGATCCTCCCACCTTGGCCTCCCAAAGTGCTGGGATTATAGGAGTGAGCCGCTGCGCTGGGCCTGGGAGCCTATTTTATCAGCCTATGGTTGTAAAATAAAACATATATACAGAAAATGACACCAAATTGTTGGGTGTGGAGGTATGTGCCTATAGTCTCAGCTACTTGGGAGGCTGAGGTGGGAAGATCACTTGAGCAGAGGCAGTTGAGGTTGCAGTGAGCTATGACAGTGCCACTGCACTCCAGCCTGTGGAACAGAGTGAGATCCTGTCTCCAGAAAAAGAAAGAAAAAAGGAAGGAAGGAAGCCAGCTACACCAAACGAAAGTCTACCTTAATGAGATAAGACAACAGCCTTTTAACTTCCACTTGCTTCAAGAACAGAACATTGCTGGGCACCCCAGGAACCCCGCCGTGTTCCCCATTGCAGTCCTCTCCCTGCTCCCCTGGGTAGCCACTGTGCTGTCTTTTTTTTTTTTTTGACGGAATCTTGCTCTGTCACCTAGGCTGGGTGACAGTGGCGTGATCTCGGCTCACTGCAACCTCTGCCTCCCGGATTCAAGCAATTCTTTTGCCTCAGCCTCCTGAGTTGCTGGGACTACAGGTACGTGCCACCAGGCCTGGCTAATTTTTGTATTTTTAGTAGAGCGGGGTTTCACCATGTTGGCCAGGTTGGTCTTGAACTCCTGACCTCGTGATCTGTCCACCTTGGCCTCCAAAGTGCTGGGATTACAGGAGTGAGCCACCACTCTCAGCCTGTGCTGTCTTTCATAGCAATCACATTTCCCAGTTCCTTCTGGTTGTCACCCCAATGTGCACCCCTATTATGTTTTGTGCCCTCCAAAGTTTCTACATTGAAGCCCTAACCGCTTGTGTTATGTTTAGCTGTCTTTGGAGCTGATTCTCTAAGGAAGTATTAATAAAGTTAAATGGACATTCTTTAGGGACCCACAGAAAACCTCTGATTCCTAGAGGCCTGGGTTTTAAAAAAAATGTATTTTTTTATTTTTATTTTTCAGAGACATGGTGTCACTCTGTTGCCCAGGTTGGAGTGCAGTGGTGCAATCATAGTTCACTGCAGCCTTGACCTCCTGGGCCCAAGAGATCCTCTTGCCTCAGCCTCCCAAGTAGGTGGGACAACAGATGCATGTCGCCACGCCGGCTAATTTTGTTTTTTATTTTTTAGAGATGGGGTTTTGCTGTGTTGCCCAGGCTGGTCTTGAACTCCTGGCCTTGAGTGAGCCTTCCATAAGGACTTGGTTTTTAGGCTCACCTGAGCCAGAAAAATGGTTCCAGGCAGCCTTCCTCTGGACCTTGAAAAATAGGCATAAAATTAATTTCTTATAGGTTTCAGCTAGTGTTCATCAGGTTAAAAAAAATTTTTTTTTGTTATTGCAGCCAAAAGCATTCCTTCCTGATAACAGCTTATAAAAACTGTCCATCAGCCAGGCGTGGTGGCTCACACCTGTAATTCCAGCACTTTGGGAGGCCAAGGTGGGCAGATCACAAGGTCAGGGGTTCGAGACCAGCCTGGCTAACATGGTGAAACTCCGTCTGTACTAAAAATACAAAAATTAGCCGGGCATGGTGGCACGTGCCTGTAGTCCCAGCTGCTCAGGAGACTGAGGCAGGAGAACCACTTGAACCTGGGAGGTGGAGGTTGTCGTGAGCCGAGATCGAGCCACTGCACTCCAGCCTGGGCAACAGAGCAAGACTTTGTCCCAAAAAACAAAAAACAAACAACCTGTCCATCCAGGCAGCCTGATTCAGGCCTGGGTTAACCATTGAATGTGTTTGCCTTTCATAAACCTCAGCCTCATCTCTGTTCTGACCACGTCCTCACTGGCTCTATTAAGGGACACATATCCAGAACTGGTCACACTAATTCTAGTATGGTCTCGGTGTGAGTGGGATGGCTCATCTTTGATGAATTTCCTGATCTGAGCCGGAATCTTTGAGCACAGTGGCTCTCCTTTCCTTTCCTTCCACCTAATAGCTGAGGCCTTGGGCAGGCAGCTTCCACTCTCTGCGCCTCAGTTTACTCATCTTTAAAGTGGGGTTAATAACTTCGCTTTGGGATTGGCTTGGTCAACACCCTTCCAACCCCCTTCAAGCATGACTCCCTATAATGGTGGGATTGAAAAGCCCCCTTTGCAGCTAGATGTGGCTTTGTTTCTGTGTCCGCACTAAAACCGCGTAAATGGAAATGTTTGCACAAGTTCCAGTAATTCACATTGCAAGGGAGATGCCATGCCCTTCTTCCTTCCTTGCTTTCATTGCCTGGAATTTACATGTGATGTCTAGAGCTCAAGCAATTGTCTTGGGTCATGAGGCAATGTGCTAGACGTAACAGACAGTAAGTAGAAGTCAAGGTAATTCGACTTCCTGCCCCTAGGCTTTTTGCTTTATTTATTTTTATTTTAGTTTATTTTATTTTTTTCAGACGGAGTTTCACTCTTGTTGCCCAGGCTGGAGTGCGATGTCATGATCTCAGCTCACCACAACCTCTGCCTCCTGAGTTCAAGTGATTCTCCTGCCTCAGGCTCCCGAGTAGCTGGGATTACAGGCATGCACCATCACACTCGGCTAATTTTGTATTTTTCGTAGAGACGGGGTTTCTCCATGTAGGTCAGGCTGGTCTCCGACTCCCGACCTCAGGTGACCCGCCCGCCTCGGCCTCCCAAAGTGCTGGGATTACAGGTGTGAGCCACCGTGTTTTATTTTTAGGAACAGCTCTAATAAGATAGAATTCACATATTATAAAATCCACCAATTTAAAAGATACGATTACTTAGTTTTAGCATTGAATTGGGTCATTCTTGCATTGCTATAAAGAAATACCTGAGACTGGGTAATTTGTAAAGAGGTTTAATTGGCTCACAGTTCCGCAGGTTGAACAGGAAGCATGGCAGCGTCTGCTTCTGGGGAGGCCTCAGGAAACTTACAATCACGGCAGAAGGCAAAGGGGTTGCCAGCGCTTTACATGGCCAGAGCAGGAGGAAGAGAGATGGGGGAGGTGCTACACATACACACTTTTAAACAAGCAGATCTCAAAATAATAACTCACTATCACGAGAACAGGACTGAGGGGATGGTGCTAACCCATTCATGAGAACTCCACCCCCCGATCCAATCGTCTGCCACCAGGCCCTTCCTCCAACACTGGGTATTACAACTGGACACGAGATTTGGGTGGGGACACAGATTCAAACCATATCAGGCATATTTCCAGAGTTGTGCAACCATTACCACAGTCAATTCCAGAACATTTTCATCACTCCAACAAGAAATTTTTTTTTTTTTTGAGACGGAGTCTGGCTCTGTTGCCCAGGTTGGAGTGTGGTGGCATGATCTTGGCTCACTGCAACCTCTGCCTCCTGGGTTCAAGTGATTCTCCTGCCTCAGCCTCCCAAGTAGCTGGGATTACAGGCACCCCCCACCATACCTGGCTAATTTTTGTATTTTTGGTAGAGACAGAGTTTCACCAGGTTAGCCAGGCTGGTCTTGAACTCCTGAACTCAGGTGATCTGCCTGCCTCGGCCTCCCAAAGTGCTGGGATTACAGGCGTGAGCCACCATGTCTGGGCTCCAACAAGAAATTCTGTATCTGTATCCATTCAGTCACTCCCTAATCCCCCAAGTCGTTCAGTCCTAGGTAACCACGAATGTAGTTTCCATCTCTGTATATTGGCCTATTCCAGATATTTCATATAAATGGAATGATATATTGTGTGGTCTTTTGCCTCTTCTTCTGCTTGGCATGTCTTTGTGGCTCAGTCATGTTGTAGTATGGATCAGTACTTCATTCCTTTTTGTGGCTGACTAATATCCCATTGTGTGGGTGTACCACATTTTAGTTTCTAACCAATTAAGCATATCCTGAAAAATGCCATTCTGACAAAAAGAACTACTCACGGTGGCTCACGCCTATAATTCTGATACTTTGGGAGACTAAAGTAGGTGGATTGCTTGAATCCAGGAGTTGGAAACCAGCCTGGGCAACATGGTGAGACCCTGTCTCTACAAAAATTACAACAATTAGCTGGGTGCGGTGATGCGCCCCTGTAGTCCCAGCTATTTGGGAGGCTGAGGTGGGAGGATCACTTAAGCCCAGGAGGTCGAGGCTGCAGTGAGCCATAATTGCGCCACTGCACTGTAGCCTGGATGACAGAGTGAGACCCTGTATGAAAAAATAAAAACAAACAACAACAACAACAACAAAAGTGCACAGACAGTTCTGGGTCAGATCTTGGCACACAGTATTATCGGGATGTGATTACTATTAGGGATTGTTTTTATTTTCTGAAAATTTTCTTTTTTCTCTTTTAGTTTGAGACTGTTTTACTCTGTTGCCCAGGCTGGACTGCAGTGGCATGATCTCGGCTCACTACAACCTCCACCTCCTGGGTTCAAGCGATTCTCCTGCCTCAGCTTCCCGAGTAGCTGGGATACAGCTGCGTGCTACCACGCCCGGCCAAGTTTTGTTTTTTTTGAGACAGAGTCTTGCTCTGTTGTCCAGGCTAGAGTGTGGTGACGTGATCTCGGCTCACTGCAACCTCCACCTCCCAGGTTCAAGCAATTCTGCTTTAGCCCCCTGACTAGATGGGATTACAGGCACCTGCCACCATGCCCGGCTAATTTTTTGTATTTTTAGTAGAGACAGGGTTTCACCATGTTGGCCAGGCTGGTCTTGAACTCCTGACCTCAAATGATTAACCTGCCTTGGCCTCCCAAAGTGCTGGAATTACAGGTGTGAGCCACTGCACCCTGTACCTCCACCACCTCCTGAGTACCTAGGACTACAGGAGCGTGCCACTACACCTGGCTATTTTTTTAATTTTCAATTTTTTTTTTTTTTGTAGAGAAGGGGATCTCACTATGTTGCCCAGGCTGGTCTCAAACTCCTGGTCTCAAGCCCCTCAGACTTCTGCCTCGGCTTCCCAAAGTGCTGGGGTTACCGGCTGGGATTTCAGAGCCCTGAAACATCCTTATAACAATATTATTGACTTATGATTATAAAAGTAATTCATGGTAGTTGTTGAACATTTGGAAACTACGCACCAAACAAAAACAAAAAACACCCAAGTGGAAAATAAAAATCATTGTTAATTTCATTCCGATTGAGACGAATTTAGTATGTCCAAGAAAAATGAGAATGAAAGATGACGGGGGATATCCCAGGATCCACAGAGCTGTGTCGTTGATCCCAGACTGTACTGTTTATGGGGTGGATCCTGCCAGCGTCCCTGTGGGGGCAGCCTTCACAAAGAGCAGGGCGCTGTGCTCTCCCTCCCACCCCACTCCCTATGCGTGGAAGGGCTGAAGGATGGGTTTCCCACAAGAGAGCAGCTACTCCTTCGGGAGGGTAGGAATCGGGGCGCGGGGAGAACGCAGCAAGCCCACGCTCCCTCCCAGACCTTGCCAGCTCTGCCTTGAAGTCTCCTCGGACTCCTCCAAACCTCTGCAGACTCCGAAGGTGTTGGTCGTTGGCCGAAGGGCGGAGGTGTAATTCTTCCAATCCTACCCTGTGCCAGGGCTCTGCGCCTGGGCGGAAGTGTAATTCTTCCAATCTCACCCTGCGCTGGGGCTCTGCGAAGCCCTGACCCTAGTCACCAAGGGTTTCCCACCAGTCCCAGGCAGCCCTGCAGGAGTCAGTTTTATAAGACCTAGACCCACAAGAGACGTCCTCCAAGCCCGCCTGTTAAAGGAGTCACTGTTTCTGAAGAGCCAGCTCTCAGTGATTTCACATCTGGGAGGCTCCAGGGTTTCAGGAAGTGTGAGTCATGATAGAAAGTTTGTGCAGATCTAAATTATACCGAGAAAGACAAGAATAAGACTGGGCATGCTTCCCTAATTTTTTTTTTTAAATCAGGGTGAGGTGGGGGCCCTGTGCCTTAAACTGGGGTTGTATAGGTTGTGCACTGCACAAATTTGTTTGACCCAGGAGGCATGTGGAGGCTGAAATGCAACCTGTGCCCTTTCACCAGCCACACATCCTGGTGTGGAGCTGTGTCTACCCAGAGGAAGGGAGGACAGCCTTTTCCTAATTTGCACAAAGGCATGTAACAGGGGAGCTCAAGGGTCCTGAACTGGCAGTTCCAGTAGCCTTCTCTGACTTCTGGCTGGACCTACGTCCTAAGTAGCACCCATAGGTCCACGTAAGGTCTGAGACCTGAAGAAATAAAACAGCCAACAGAATGGAATCAGACCACACTTTGAGACTGTGGTAGGCTGAATAATGTGGCCTCCAAAGTTTCCATGTCCTGGCTGGGTGCAGTGTCTCATGCCTGTAATGCCAGCAGTTGGGAGGTCGAGGTGGGAGAATCACTTGAGTCCAGGAGTTCAAGAGCAGCCTGGGCAACATAGTGAGATCCTGTCTCTACTAAATAAATAAATAAGTCATGTGTGGTGGCACGCATCTATGGTCTCAGCTACTTGGGAGGCTGAAGTGGGAGGATCACTTGAGCTTGGGAGTTTGAGGCTGCTGTGAACTGTGACCGCACCACTGCACTCCAGCCTGGGCAACAGAGGGAAACCCTGTCTCAAAAACAAAACACAACAAAAAAGTTTGGGCACGGTGACTCACACCTGTAAGCCCAGCACTTTGGGAGGCCGAGGCAGGCGGATCACCTGAGGTCAGGATTTCGAGACCAGCCTGGCCAACATGGTAAAACCCCATCTGTACTAAAAATACAAAAATTAGTCAGGCATGGTGGTGGGTGCCTGTAGTCCCAGCTACTTGGGAGGCTGAGGCACGAGAATTGCTTGAATCCGGGAGGAGGAGTTTGCAGTGAGCTGAAATTGCACCACTGCACTCCACCCTGGGCAGCAGAGTGAGACTCAGTCTCAAAAAAAACATGGCTGGGCACAGTGGCTCATGCCTGTAATCCCAGCATTTTGGGAGACCGAGGCAGACTTGAGGTCAGGAGTTTGAGACCAGCCTAGTCAACATGGTAAAACCCCATCTCTACTAAAAAACAAAAATTAGCTGGGTGTGGTGGCAGGTTCCTATAATTCCAGCTACTTGGGAGTCTGAGGCATGAGAATCCCTTGAACCCAGAGGTGGAGGTTGCAGTGAGCTGAGATTGTGCCACTGAGCTCCAGCCTGGGTGACAGGGGGAGACTTCATCTCAAACAACAACAACAACAAACAACAACAACAACAACAACAAAACAAAACCAAAAAACAAAAGAAAAGAAAAAGTTTCTCTTGCCCCACAAGGCTTGGCTAAGTATTAATAATAATTAAGAAGGTTTATACATCCTAATCCCTAGAACCTGTGAACGTTCCCTTATATGGCAAAATGGACTCTCAGATGTGATTAAGTTTGTTCAGTTGGGGAAATGATCCTGGGTTACCTGGGTGGGTCCTGAATAGAATCACAAAGATCCTTACAAGAGGGACACAGGAGAAGTTGGTCAGAGGGATGTCGATGTGACAATGGAAGCAAACATTAGAGGGATGCGGGTTTGTTTGTTTGTTTGTTTTTTGAGACGAAGTGCAGTGGTGTGATCTCAGCTCTTTGCAACCTCCGCCTCCTGGGTTCAAGCAATTCTCCTGCCTCAACCTCCTGAGTAGCTGGGATTGCAGGTGCTCACCATTACGTCTGGCTAATTTTTATATTTTTAGTGGAGATGGGGTTTTGTCATGTTGGCTAGGCTGGTCTTGAACTCCTGACCTCAGGTGATCCACCCGCCTTGGTCTTCCTAAGTGCTGGAATTACAGGCATGAGCCACCTCACCCAGCCGAGGGCCACTTTTGGAGAAGGAGGAGGGGGCCACGAGCCAGGGGATACGGGTGGCTAAAAAGACAAGGACATAAGGTCTTCCCTCAGTGCCTCCAGAAAGAATCAGCCCTGCCAACCACTTGACTTTAGCCCAGGGAAGCTGATTGCTGGCTTCTGACCTCCAGAACTGTAAGAGAATAAATCTGTGTTATTTCCTTTCTTTTCTCTTTCTTGTTTGCTTGCCCAGGGAAGCTGATTGTTGGCTTCTGACCTCCAGAACAGTAAGAGAATAAACTTCCTAACTTCCTTCCTTCCTTCCTTCCTTCCTTCCTTCCTTCCTTCCTTCCTTCCTTCCTCTCTTTCTCTCTCTCTCTCTCATTCTTTCTTTCGTCTCAAATCCCTGGGCTCAAGTGATCCACCCACCTCAGCCTCCCAAAGTGCTGGGATTATAGGTGCGAGCCACCTTGCCCAGCCAATCTGTGTTGATTTGGGGTTTGTGGGAGTTTTGCAGCATGGCCACTCAGTATGGAGTGCTTGGATCTGAGCTTCTCTGGTCCCTTGGCCTAGTAAGGCTCAAGATAGCTTTGCCCTGTCCTAAGTGTCTTACTTCTGTTAAAACAGTTTATTCTCATGACAACCTCTAGGAGGTAGGCATTGTCATATCTCAGTTTTATGTGTGTGGTCACAGAATCAGAGAGGTTAAGTGATTTGATTAAGGTCACGCAGCTAGTAAGTGAGGGAGCCAGAATATAAATCTAGACCATTTGAATCTGGATCAGAAGTTCTCCACGTTTGATCTCACTATAATCTTGTAAGTGAGCCGGGTGTGAAGGCTCACCTGGTACCTGTAATCCCAGCACCTTGGGAGGCCAAGGCAGGAGGATCACTTGAGCCCAGGAGTTCAAGGTTGCAGTGAGCCGAGATCACACCACTGCACTTCAGCCTGGCCAACAGAGTGAGACCCTGTCTTTAAAAAAAAAAAAAAAAAAAAAAAAAAAGGCCAGGCTTGGTGGCTCACGCCTGTAATCCCAGCACTTTGGGAGGCTGAGGTGGGTGGATCAACTAGGTCAGGAGTTTGAGACCAGCCTGGCAAACATGGTGAAACCCCGTCTCTACTAAAAATAAAAATTAGCCGGGCATGGTGGCATGTGCCTGTAATCCCATCTACTTGGGAGGATGAGGCTGGATAATTGCTTGAACCTGGGAGGTGGAGGTTGTAGTGAGCCGAGATCAAGCCACTGCACTCTAGCCTGGGTGACAGAGCAAGACTCCATCTCGGGAAAAAAAAAAAAAAATTCTTGCAAGTGGAGAGAGAATTGCAACCTTTGTGGCACCTTTAGACACTTCCAAAGCGTTTGTGTTTCATAGAGAATGCTTTTCTTTTTGATGTAAGTCTATTTCTTAACACATTAGAAAGAAAGAGAGTTTCCCGTGGAGGAGCTTTGTCATTGTCAGGAAATGCTGCATTTCAAGTGGTTTCACAGCTAGCATAACGTTGTAAAAGCAAAAATATATTCAAATTTATTTGACATTGCAGAGGCCCAAAATGGTGCTGATCAAGATGTCTGGTACAGTTCTTTTCACAGGGTGCTCTGATTTCATCAGCCAGCATTCCTAATTTAAAATAAGGAAAACAAAGGCAAAGTCCCCAGCTTCCCAAATCTGTACGATTATTCCTTTGTTTTCAATTCTGTGATGGAGATGATTTTTTTTTTCCCCTGAAGAAACGCAGATCTCCTTATTGGTGGATCTTTTTCTCTGCAAGAGGCTTTGCTTCTAATTTATTAGGTATTGATTCATATAATAAAAATCTTCCTTTTAAAAAACAAAGTACTACATTTCTTTGTTAAAAAAAAAAAAAAAACCCCAGGAAGTTCTTAAAATAGGAGTTCCTGAAATTCAGCGAAACACACAAATTGTGTTATTTTAAGGCAAGCCACTTGTAACCACATGTAAGTCAAGAAATAGAATTTGCCAGCTGTTCATAAGCCTCTCCACGTGCCCTAGCCCAGGCGCCCAGGCCCAGCCCCTCCCTTCTCTCTACCAAAATTAACCCTCAGCCTGACTTTTTTTTTTTTTTTTTTTTAAGATAGAGTCTCACTCTGTCATCCAGGCTGGAGTGAGGTGGCATGAGCTCGGCTCACTGCTACCTCCACTTCCCAGGTTCAAGTGATTCTCATGCCTCAGCCTCACCAGTAGCGAGATTACAGATGTGCACCACCACACTCAGGTAATTTTTTTGTATTTTTAGTAGAGATGGGGTTTCGCCATGTTGACCAGGCTGATCTTGAATTCCTGACCTCAGGTGATCCGCCCGCCTGGACCTCCCAAAGTGCTGGGATTACAGGCGTGAGCCACCGTGCCTGGCCAGCCTGACTTTTATAGCAATCATCTCTGTGTTTCTTTATAGTAATTAGTTATCCAAATGTGTGTCCATAGTTTAGTTTTGCCCTTTACAACTTCTAAAATGTTATTATTATGCCTCTTTTTTCTTATTCAGAGAATGTTGAATTCTCAAAGAAAAAAAGAGAATTTTGAATTGTAGTGACATCAGCATACGTTTTGAAGTATGTGAATATATATGCATATCTGAATATATATGTGCATATATAAAATTTTAAAATATCAATACTATCACTAGTAATATGATGACTAAATATAGTTTAAGATTTTCTTATGGTGCTTTTTTTTCCAGGAGGATATACCCCATTAGGGATTTATGTCAAATTAATATATCTTAAATTACTTTAAGACATTGTTTTAGCCTGGGCAACATAATGAGACCCCATCTCTATAAAAAGTAAAAAATTAGCTGGGCGTGGTCACACACGTCTGCAGTCCCAGCTACTCTGGAGGTTGAGGTGGGAGGATCGCTTGAGCCCAGGAAGTGGAGGCTGCAGTGAGCTGTGATCATACCACTGCACTCCATCCTGGGTGACAGAACAAGACCCTGTCTCAAGAAAACAAAAAACCAAAACCATTGTTTTGTGGGTGATTGAGTCCCAATCGCAAAAATTGTTTTGACATTCCATTTACTTGGAAAATATAAACCAATGAACATATGTATTCATTTTCCTCTCTATTGAGCAAAAGGTACATCCTGTTCATACCAATTTGCACCTTGGTTTTTTCACTTAACTACATCTTGGAGGTGACTATATATGTGTGTACACATGGGCCGGGTGTGGTGGCTCACGCCTGTAATCCCAGGACCTTTGGGAGGCTGAGGTGGGCGGATCACTTGAGGTCAGGAGTTCAAGACCAGCCTGGTAAAAATGACAAAACCCCATCTTTACTAAAAATACAAAAATTAGCAGGGCGTCATGGTACGTGCCTGTAGTCCCAGCTACTAGGGAGGTTGAGGCAGGAGAATGGCTTGTATCCTGGGAGGTGCAAGTTACAGTGAGCTGAGATCGTGCCATTGCACTCCAGCCTGGGCGGCAGAGCAAGACTGTCTCAAAACAAAACAAAACAAACAAATAGTCAAAAAAACAAAACAAAAAAACACGTGTGTACACACTTGTACATACACACACATCACATATATATGTAATCTTAATATATCTTATTTTCACAGCTGTACAGTGCTCTGTATTTGTGGATATAGCATAGTTGAATTAAGCAGCACCCTCTTCATGGCTATTGCAATAGTTTCCAGTTTTTTGCTATCATGCGTAGGGCTCCAGTGAAGAGGCACGTTCATATGAAGTTTCCTATTTCTGTCTGTGTCTTTGGACCTAATTCCTAGAAGTAGGATTGCTGAGTCAAAGGGCAAATTCACTAGATATTGCCAAATTCTCCTCCATGGAGGTTTTATCTTTTTATATTCCATCAGTAAAATGGAAGAGTCCCTGTTTCCCCACAGCGTTGCCAACAAGAGGGCTGTCCAACATTTGGATTTTTGCTAATCTGTTAGGTGAGAAATAGGATCTCAGGGCAGTTTTAATTGTGTTTCTTTTATTATGAGTGAGGCTGAGCTTTAGTTTATTTTTTATTTTTTGAGACAGGCTCTTGCTTTGCCAGTCAGGCTGGAGTGGAGTGGCACAATCTCGGCTGGCTCATTGCCACCTTCGTCTCCCAGGCTCAAGCGATTCTCCTGCCTCAGCCTCCTGAGTAGCTGGGATTACAGGTGCATGCCACCATGCCTGGCTGCACCATGTTGCCTGGCTGCAACATGGCATGCACCATGCCATGTTGGCCAGGCTGGTCTTGAACTCCTGACCTCAGGTGATCTGCTTGCCTCAGCCTCTCAAAATTCTGGGATTACAGGTGTGATATTTTATTTTTTATTTTTTGAGACAGGGTCTTACTCGGTCACACAGGCTGGAGTGCAGTGGTGCAATCATAGCTCACTGCAGCCTTGAACTCCTGGGCTCCAGCAGTCCTCCCATCCTCCCACCTCAGCATCCCGAGTAGCTGGGATCACAGGTGTGTGCCACCACACTCAGCTAATTTATTTTATTTTATTTAGAGACAAGGTCTTGTCATCTTGCTCAGGCTGGTCTTAAACTCCTGGGATCAATCAATCCCCTCACCTTCCCTTCGAAAGTACTGGGATTACAGGGATGAGCCACTGTGTCTGGCTATTTTTATAAATTTAGGTGGCATTTGCATTTTTTAACGTGAACTCTCTGTTTATGTATCTTGCCCGCTTTCAATAGGTTTCTTGTTTTTTTTCCCTTAATTTTTAGACACTTTATATTTTAGGGATTTTAACTCTTTCTCTTCTGTGATATAAGTGGTAAATATTTTTCTTATTTTGTCATCTGTAGTTTTTGGTTGTGTATGGCTTATTTTGTGGCCACGCAAAAGGTTTTTGTTTTTTTTTTGTTTGGTCATTTAACAAAATTCTCTTTTATGGCTTCTGGATCTTGAGTAATAGTTTGGAAAATTTACACCCTCCCCGGTAATGAGGGAACTCACCAGTGTTTTATTATCTGTGAGGCTGTGTTTTTTCATTTAGATCTTTGATATGTTTAGGATTTAATCTGGTATATGGGGTGGGAAATGCATTCAAGCTTCTTTGTTTTCACGTGGTCATCTAGTTGTTTCTACACTACTAAATTAAAACCTTTTCTAAAGTCCCTTCCTGAATTAGAAATTACTATATCATCATATAAATCTCCATCAGCAATTGCTTCTGTCTTTGGATTTTCTAACCTTCTTTTGATCTGTCTGCTTATTTATGCATCAGTAACACATTTTAAAATATTGTTTTTATTTACTTTTTTTTTTTTAGCCCCAACCATGGCAAGGGCACATATTGTTTTATTTTTATTGTATTATTTTTATTATTTTTAATTTTTCTGATACGGAGTTTTGTTCTTGTCACCCAGGCTGGAGTGCAATGGTGCAAACTCAGCTCACTGCAACCTCTGCCTCCCGGGTTCAAGGGATTCTCCTGCCTCAGCCTCTCGAGTAGCAGGGATTACAGGTGCCCACCACCATGCCCAGTTAATTTTTGTATTTTTAGTAGAGATGGGGTTTCATCATGTTGTCCAGGATGGTCTCAAACTCCTGACCTCAGGTGATCCACCCGCCTCAGCCTCCCAAAGTGCTGGGATTATAGGCATGAGCTACCACGCCTGGCCACTTATATCGTTTTAAGTATTTGGTAGAGCTACTGCCTAAGTTGGTGGCAGCCACGGCTGCTACTGCTTCTTTCTAGCTCTGGGGCAAAAAAAGAAAACACACACACACACACACACACAAACACACACACAAAACCCTTGATGATATCTGTATTGGGATTGCAATAAATTTGTAAACAAACTCAGAGGCAATTGAGTTCATGATGCTGGCAGCCTGCTTCTATCCTTGGAATTCTGGTGCCATCTAGTCGTCATTATGTGCAACAACAACTTTCTGAATTTCAAAAAGAAAATCTGGGAGGTAAAAGCAGTAAACATTTATTGTCTCACACACTTTTTGTGGGTCAAGTATTTGAGAGCAGCTTATCCACATGGTTCTGGTTCGAAGGCACTGGCCTGGGGTTCAGTCATCAGAAGGGTTTAAAGGAACTGGAGAATGCCCTTCCAAGGGGGCTCACTCACACTCCTCTGGGTCCACTTGCTCTAGGGGAAGCTAGGCCACATGATGGGGACTGTGGGGAGGGCCAGATGGTGAGCAAGTTAACGCAGAGAGTGAGGTGGAAGCTGTAATGCTAGATAATTTTAGACTTGCAGAAAAGTGCAGATAGTACAGAGAGGTCCCACATATCTCTCATCCTGCTCCCCCTATTGTTATTAGCATAGCACAATGATCAAAACTAGGAAATTAACATTGGTATCACAGTATCAACTAAACTACCAATCTTATTTGAATGTTAACACTTTTTCTATTGATGTCCTTTTTTTTTCCTTTTTTCTGTTCCAGACTCCCATATTGTGTTCAGTTGTTGTGTCTCTTCTAGACAGGAACATTTCCTCTGTATTTGCTTGTGTTTCATGACTTTGACACTTTGCTTTTTTAAGAGGTAGGGTCTCTTTCTGTCGCCCAGGCTGGAGTGCAGTGGTGCGATCATAGCTCACTGCAACCTTCAACTCCTGGACTCAGAGGATCCTCCTGCCTCAGCCTCTTGAGTAGCTAGGACTACAGCCACATGCCATGGTGCCCGGCTAATTTTTTTTGTCAGGATGGGGTCTCACTGTGTTGCACATGCTGATCTTGAATTATTGGCCTCAAGCAATCCTCCTGCCTCAACCTCTCAAAGCTTTGGGATTATAGGTGTGAGCCACCATGCCCAACTGACTTTGACACTTTTGAATGGTACTGATCAGTTAGTTTATAGGATATTCCTCAATTTGGGCTTGTCTGACATTTTCTCATGACTGGACTAAAGTTATGAGTTTTTGCCAAGAACGCCACAGAAATGATGTTGTGTCCTTCTCAGTGCATGATATCAGGAGGCACCTGATGTCAGTGTATCTTATTGCTGGTGATGCTGACCTTGATCACTTAAATTGCTGTATGCTGCACATCTCCACTGTAAAGTTACTATTTTCCCCTTGGTAATTAAAAACTATCTTGAAGGAGATTTTTTGAGACTATACAAGTCTTTTTCCTTCTCAAACTTTTGCCCACAAATTTTAGCATCCATTGGTGGATCTTGTCTGCAACAGTTATTGCTGTGACATTTGACTAATGGTAATTTTTCATATTCCTTTCTCCTTTTACATTTATAAATTGTAAATCTACTGAAAGATAGAACCATCCCTTCTCCTCATGTATTTATTTTTTTATTTCGATCCATGCAGAAGTGTGATTTATTTATTTATTTATTATTTTTCAGGTGGAGTCTTACTCTGTCACCCAGGCTGGAGTGTAGTGTTGTGATCTCTGCTCACTGCAACCTCTGCCTCCTGGGTTCAAGTGATTCTCATGCCTCAGCCTCCTGAGTAGCTGGGATTACAGGTGTGTGCCACCACACCTGGCTAATTTTTTTTTTTTTTTTTTTTTTTTAGTACAGACAGGGTTTCACCATGTTGGCCAGGCAGGTCTCAAACTCCTGATCTCAAGTGATCCACCCGCTTTGGCCTCCCAAAGTGCTGGGATTACAGGTGTGAGTCACTGCACCCGGCCGAGAAGTGTGGATATTTATTTTATTCTATGGATTAAAACCTGATATTGAGAGACTTACATTTCGACAGTCTGCTGGGTATGAAATGGTATGCCGTTGTGGGTTTTCCCCTTCTCTTTGTGGAGAACAGAGTCTTGCTATGTTGCCCAGGTGGGTCTTGAACTCCTGGGCTCAAGCGATCCTCCCACCTCGGCCTCCCTAAGTGTTGGGATTACTGGTGTGAGCCACCGTACCTGGCCTCATTGTGTGTTAATTAGAATATTCTGAATACTGATGAGTTTGGGCATCTTTGGCCTTTCCTACTGTGGCCTCTATGAAGTGCTTTTAAAAAATCCTGCTCTTGCCTCTCCAGGTCAGGATGTTAGGCTCACTGGACAGAGAAGAGTCTATTTTTTTGGGAAGTTGGCATGAAATACTTTAAGAACCTGTTAATAAGGTAAATGCAACTTCTAGGCTTTGCATAACCGTCTATATGCTGTTGAGGGCTGTTGTTGTTTGAGTTCTCTGGAAGCAGACACTAAGATGCAGTTTGGGGTGCAAGAGACTTATTAGGGGTTGACGCCTGTGGAAGGGAGAGGGGAGCCAGGGTTGAGCAGATGGAGAATTTGAATTAGACGTGGCACAACCTTGGCCATGGTCAACCCTGCAAGAGCTCTGCAGCATAGATAGCTGCTGTGGTCTCAATGTGTCCCCCACAATTCGTGTGTTGGAACCTTAATCTCCAATCCAACAGTGTTGGGAGGTGAGACTTTTGGGGTGTGTTTAGGTCATGAAGGCTCCACCTTCGTGAATGGATTAATGGTATTATAAAAGGGCTTGATGAAGGGAGTTTATCCTTTTTTGCCCTCCGCCTTCTACCAGTGTTACTCCCCTCTGGAGGACACAGTGTTCAAGGCACCATCTTGGAAGCACAGATAAGACCCTCATTAGACACTGAGTCTGCTAGCGCCTTGATCTTGGACTTCTCAGCCTCCAGAACCATGAGAAAATAAATGTCTGTTCTTTGTAAATTACCCAGTCTCAGGTATTCTGTTTTAGCCGTACAAATTTATGAAGAGAATAGCTTATTAGACTTGTTATCTGTTTGGCTCAGATTGCTGGGCCTTATATTCCTTACTGGGGCTTTCCCCGGAGAGGTGTGCATTTGGTCAAGGCAGCTCTCTGCAATTGAGGCTGGTCCTGAAGGACTTGACAGCAGAAAGTTGTCTGCTGACAGCACTCCCAGTGGCTGAAGCAGCAAATCCTGCTTGGAAGAGGGATCTGGACAGGGTATCTCTGTATCCACCGTTAGTCTCAAACTTATATTGGCACTGCAAACCTCTCCTCTGAATTCTGCACTTGAATGTTTAATGGGCTCTCAAATTACTTGTATCCAAAGCTGAGATCCTGATCTTCCGTCCCAAACCTGCTTATCCCGCAGGCTTCCCCGTCTCAGTTAACAGCACCTGCATCTTTCCCTTTGCTTAGGCTGAAATCTTTGGAGTCATCTTTGACAGACTCCTCTCTTTCTTCCGTATGTCATGTCTGATATGTCGGCAAATCCCATTGGCTTTATCTGTGAAGTATTCCACATGCTAACACCTGGGCCAGGACACAGATCACCTCTTCCCTGGGATATTGCAATAGTTTTCTAACTGGACTCTCTGCTTCTATCCCTTCCCTGCGAAGTCATTCTCCTGTCGAAATGCAAATCAGATCCTGTTTCTTCTCTGCTTATTACTGGCAGTGGCTTCACAGTCACTACGAGTAAAACCTTCACAGCCGGCAGCGTGGCTTCTTCTCTCCTCTTTGACCTCTGCCTTGTCCTTACATCTTCTCTCTCTTATAAGGACCCGGTGATTAGATTGGGCACACTAGATAATTCGGGATAATCTCTCCATCTCAAGATCCTTAATTTCGGCCAGTCCAGTGGCTCATGCCTGTAGTCCCAGCACTTTGGGAGGCCAAGGTGGGTAAATTGCTGAGCCTGGGAGGTCGAGGCTGCAGTGAACCAGGATGGTACCACTGCACTTCAGCCTGGGTGACAAAGCAAGACTTTGTCTCAAAAAAAAAAAAAAAAATCCTTAGCTTCATATGTGCAACATCCCTATTGCCATGTAAGGGAAACTGCAGTATATTCCCAGGTTCTGGGGGTTAGGATGTGAACATCTTTGGGGACCGTTATTCAGCCTACCCCAGAGGTTGAGTGTGGACTTCTTGGCAAAAAATTCACCTTGTCTTGTGCATCCTTCAGACCCTCCAAGATACAGTATAGTATGGTTAAAAATGTGAACTGGCTGAATTCAAATCCTGGCTTTGACAAGAATCCATTCTTTTCTGTCCTGCAATCATGTCGCCATATCTCAATAAAGGATCAATAAATTCCTCAGTGATATTTCATTGCTATGCTTACCCCTTGTTATAGAGTGCTAAGACTATAAATTTACGCAGCCACTCAGAAAAGAAAGCTTGGTGTCTAAAGTACTCTCTGATGAAAAATGTAATAGACAAATACTACTGCACAGGGGTACATCAACTCACCTTCAGAAAGGGGATTGGGTCCATAAATAATTTTAAAGTTCCAACTTTTGGCCCTGGGGGAGCAATCTTTGCATGAAAATTTTTGCAAGTTACAGTCCTATGGTGCTTTGCCTTCTCTACATTATAATGGTGCTATATTCAAGATCCAGAACCAACCACATCTGCCACGTGTATCTGAGAGTTTGTGGGGAAATCACTTCTCTTTACTTTTCTGATTAAATTCCCAGCCACACAAATCTTGCCAGTCATGGTAGAGAAATATTGGACCATTAAAGACCAGGTTAAAATGCTAAATACTTCAAAGTTCTCTGATAAAACAAAACAAACAAAAAAACCAAAAACCAATATGGTTTTTTCTATCCTTCCTTTCTTTTTTTGTAGGAGTGAGAACCAGTACTGCAGTAAACATTTTCTTAATTCCAAATGATTTAATGATCTGGATGGTATATTTTTGGTCGCTTATCTCTTCCTTATTCTGGGTTTTGTAGGTTTGTTTTTTTTTTTTCCTATATCAGGGATCATAATCCATTTCTTTTGACCATGGGTCTTGGGGTAATTACTTTACAGCTTGGGAATTTAGTTAATCTGAGCAGAGCTCTGGGTCTTCTTTTCTTAATCTTCATAATCTTTCCTAACATGGGCCCTGACATCCAACAGCCTGTTAATTCTAAGGTAATAACTCCTTTTTAGGTAGCTTCTAAGTTCCTGCTTTAAATCCCATTTAATTGGACAAGATGTTGTAAATTCACTTACTTCTTTGTAACAGACACACAACAGAAGCTGAATCAGGCTGATTAAAAATACAAAGAGTTTATTTTTTTTAAAAGAGCTCCTTAACAAACCATTGAGAGTCTAAGCCCCCCAGAACAATGTTCAAAACATGACAATGAAATGGTCTGATGAGCCAGGTGCAGTGGCTCAAGCCTATAATCCCAGCACTTTGGGAGGTCGAGGCGAGTGGATCACCTGAGGTCGGGAGTTCCAGACCAGCCTGGCCAACATGGCGAAACCTCGTCTCCACTAAAAATACAAAATTAGCCAGGTGTGGTGGTGTGCGCCTATAGTCCCAGCTACTCAGGAGGCTGAGGCAGCAGAATCGCTTAAAGGTGGGAGGTGGAGGTTTCAGTGAGCTGAGATCACGCCCCTGCACTCTAGCCTGGGTGACAGTGAGACTCTGTCTCAAAAATAAAATAAAATAAAATAGTGAATTCTCTAAACACAAAAAGGTGTCCATGTGCTAAGTACCCCTCCACCCCCTGCGCAAAAGAGAGACATATCTATACATTTTATTTAAGGCTGTCTCTTTTGGAAGATCTATAATTAAGATGATAAAGTCTTTCACAGGAAATATCCAGGGCAACTGCATGCATGCAATTATAATTAATGACAGAATAGTCTCTTGCATTTCTAATCAATCAATTAATTATGTATTCAGCACCCTGGCGTCAGGACTAGTTATAGAAGTGGTGACTATAGCAGCCACTTTTTTATATTTGCTAATTGCTTATTTTTAAAAATAAATTTTTTATTTATTTCTTTATTTTGAGACCAGGTCTTGCTATTTTGCTCAGGCTGTTCTTGAACTTGGGCTCAAGTGATCCTCCTGCCTTTTATGTAGGTGGGGATTACAGGTGCGTGCCACCACATCCCGCTACTAATTATTTCTTTAACACATTTCTGCGGCCTTTTATGAAGACCTCTGATGGAAATATGGCTGAATTGACAGTAGATTTTTTTTTCATCTGGACAAAGATCAAGTGCAATTACTGCAGTTGTGCCAACAAAGAGCGTTCTCCATCCTTTCCCTCTGTGTCTTTAGCTCTTTGGTTAAAAACCTGGGTTGGCTGGAATCCCCCATTCTAAAGAGCAAGTGAGGAGCAAATAGATTGATCTCTGCCACCTGTTTTTCATTTTCCCTCCTAGGTCCACCCTTTACCTTTCTCCACTCTACTATGTGCCCAGGAGGCTGGCCTGTGTAGATTACATCAGTGGACTCACCTCTTGGCTTTGGATGAGGTCAGTGAATGGGAGGCTTCAGCAGAGGATGAAAGGGTAGTTGCAATGATGTCAGAGCATTCATTCCTCCAGCCCCTCTCTGCCAGGCTGTCTTGGGTCTTGCTGTATCCTGGGCTTTGGTAACCATTTTCTCCTCAACTCCTTCTGGTCTAGGAGGAGGGGCAATGGCTATCGGTGCTGCTAGCTTCAAATAGTTTGCTATCCCTTGTTGGTTTCCCTTAACCCTGTCCATACATTTCTGTAAATACTCTCTTTATTAAATTATTCTTGCTGGGCATGGTGGCTCATGCCTGTAATCCTAGCACTTTGGGAGACTGAGGCAGTCAGATCACTTGAGGTCAGGAGTTCGAGACCAGCCTGGCCAACATGGCGAAACCTCATCTCTACTAAAAATACCAAGATTAGCTGGATGTGGTGGCAGGTGCCTGTAGTCCCAGATACTCGGGAGGCTGGGGTGAGAGAATCGCTTGAACCTGGGAGGCGGAGATTGCAGTGAGCCAAGATTGCGCCACTGCACTTCAGCCTGGGTGACAGAGTGAGACCCCGTCTCAAAAAATTTTTTTTAAATAAATAAAAATTAGAAAAAAATAAATAAATTATTCTTCATTTCCCCTTTGAAGGTGCATCCCCAGTAAACTATCGCAAGAACAAAAAACCAAACACCGCATATTCTCACTCATAGGTGGGAATTGAACAATGAGAACACATGGACACAGGAAGGGGAACATCACACTCTGGGGACTGTTGTGGGGTGGGGTCGGGGGGAGGGATAGCACTGGGAGATATACCTAATGCTAGATGACGAGTTAGTGGGTGCAGTGCACCAGCATGTCACATGTATACATATGTAACTAACCTGCACATTGTGCACATGTACCCTAAAACTTAAAGTATAATAATAAAAAAAAAACTACAATCCTCAAAAAACAAAAAAAAAGAAGGTGCATCTCGGTTTTGTCAAAATTCTCACCAATAGAAACACCAATATGACCCAAGTAAATGTCCATTCTTTTAAATATGAATTAATTCGATAAGCATTTATCAGTATTTATACAAAAAATGTTGAATCATGTCAATAGAGAATATTTACCTTGGCATTTTCCCATTTAAACAGATTCTCTAGAAAAAAGTTAAAGTAACAATCAAAAAAGAAAAAAAAACAAAAGAAACAAGAGAAGACTTCTCTCATAGCTAGCTCTCAATATATATTTCTTATCAAAGCACCTGGGAAATATTAATCACTTTATTGTGCACATAAGGACTTTGTTGCTGAGAAATCATCTTTTTCAATTCTGTAACGTTCCAAAATTGTTTCTGTGCTTCTTGGTGGTGGAGACCATATCATGTTCATTTTAAATAACAGCTTTATTGAGATATAAGTAACATAAAATGCATACTTTTATAAAAGTGTACAATTTAGTGGTTTTTAGTATATTCATAAGGTTATGGAACCGTCATCACTATCCAGATTTAGAAAATTTTAATCATCCAGGGAAAAACATTCGGTCTGTCATTATTGAGTGTGATTTTAGCTGTGGGTTTTCTTTTCACACAGGGTCTCACTTTGAGGCCCAGCCTGGAATGCAATGGCACAAACATGTCTCACTGCAGCCTCAACTTCTGCACTCAAGCAATCCTCCCACCTCGGCCTCTCACCTCAGCCTCCTGAGTAGCTGAGACCACAAGTGCATGCCACCATGCCTGGCTATTTTCTTTTAATATATTTTTGTAGAGATGGAGTCTCACCATGCCACCCAGGGCTCAAATGACCCTCCTGCCTCTGCCTCCCAAAGTGCTGGAATTACAGGCATGAGCCACTGCATCTGGACAGTTCTTCATATATGATCTTTATCATGTTGGGGGAAGTTCCCCTGTGTTCTTAATTTGTTGAGTATTCTTATCATGAAACACTGTTGGATTTTGTCAAATGATTTTTCTGCATCAACTGATATGATCTTGGGTTTTTTTCCTTCATAATATTAATGTGGTGTATTACATTAATTGATATTTCTATGTTTAACAACTCTTGCATTCTGGTGGTAAATCCCACTTGATCATAGTGAATAGTTATTTTAATATGCTGCTGAATTTGGTTTGCTAGTATTTTGTTGAGGATATTGACGTCTATCTTCCTTAGGGATGTTGGCTTGTAGTTTTCTTTTCTTTTAGTATCTTTGTCTGGCTGTTGTATCAGCGTAATGCTGGCCTCTTAGAATGAATGAGGTAGTCCTCCCTCTTCTTCAATTTTCGAAAGAATTTGAGAAGAGTTGGTGTTAATTCTTCTTTAACTGTTAGGTAGAATTCCCCAATGAAGGCTTCTGGTCCTGAGATTTTCTTTGGAGGGGTTTAATAAAGTGTTTTTAAAAAAAGTATTGATTCAATCTCCTTACTAGTTATAGGTCTATTTAGATTTTCTGTTTCTTCTTGCATCAGTTTTGGTAGACTGTGTGTTTCTAGGAATTTATCCATTTTATCTAGGTTATCCAATTTGTTGGTGTACAACTGTTCATAATATTCTCTAATAATCCCCTTTATCTCTGTAAAATTGGTAGTAATGCTCTCACTCTCCCTTCTCATTTTAGTAATTTGAGTTTTCTTTCTTTATTTTCTTAATCTAACTACAGGTTTGTCAATTCTGTTGATTTTTTTTCAAAGAACCAATTTTAGGTTTGTTGATTTTTCTCTATTGCATTTATTCTGTATTTTGTGTATCTCTGGTCTAATCATTATTATTTCCTTTCCTATGCTAACTTTAGGTTTAGCCCGCTTTTCTTTTTCCAGAGTCTTAAGGTGTAAAGTTAGGTTATTAATTTGAGAACTTTTCTCCTTTTAATGTAGTCATTCATAGCTATAAATTTCCCTCTAGTAATGCTTTCCCTGCATCCCATAAGTTTTAGTATGTTGCATTTTAATTTTAATTTGTCTCAAGGCATTTTCTAATTTCTCTTGTGCTGTCTTTTTTGACCCTTGGCTGTTTAAGAGTTTGAATAATAACAACTTAGTTTCAATAGAGTACAAACACTGCTCTTATTCATTTCTCTTCTTTCTCCTTTATATTGTTATTCTCATAAGTTATATCTTTACACACTGAATTCTCATTAACATAGACAATAGAACAATAACATAATTATTGTTCTATGTATTTGTCTTTTACATCACAAAGGAAAAGAGAAGAATTACAATAAATTGTATTTTGTATTTACCTGTGTAGTTAACTTTACCAGTGTTCTTTATTTCTTCTAATGGCTTCAAGTTCCTGTCTAATATCCTTTTATCTCAGCCTGAAGAGTCCCTTTGACATTTCTTGTAGGGCAGGTCAACTGGTAATGAATTCCTTCAGTTTTTATGCTTCTCCTTTATTAATTTCTCCTTTATTTTTGAAGGACAGTTTTGCTAGATACAGAATTCTTGGTTGAGTTTTTTTCTTTTAGAACTTTAAATGTGTCATACCATTGCCCTCTGGCCTCTGTGGTTTCTGTTTAGAAATCAACTGTTCATCTTATTGAGCATCTATCATATGTGATGATTCACTTGTAAATCTACCTGTAAATTTCTTTGACTTTATATTGCTTGAAGTGTGTTGAGTTTACATGTAGTTAAGATAAAATTTGTTGAGCTTAGGTGTAGCTTCTTGTCTTTCATCAGATTTGGGAAGTTTCAGCCACTATTTCTTTAATTTTTTCCTGCTCCTTTCTTCTCCTTCCAGAATTCCTATGATGCATATGTTGGTACACTTGATGGTGTCCTACAGATCCCTGGGACTCTGTTCATTTTCTTCATTCTTTTTTTCGTTCTGCTCCTTAGACTGAATAATTTTGATGGCCTTAAATTTAAGTTCACGGATCCTTTCTTCTTCTTGCTCAAGTCTGCTGTCGAATACCTCTAGTGAATTTTCCACTTATTGTACTTTTCAGCTCCAGAATTTCTGTTTGGTTCCTTTCTATATCTTTATAGGTATTCAGGGGTATTCTCACTTTATTCACACGTAATTTTCAGGTTTTCTTTAGTTCTTTATTCATGGTTTCCTTTACTCATTGAGCATGTTTAAAAGTTGACTTAATGTTTTTCACTAGTAATTGCAACGTCAGGGATTCCTCGAGTGTGGTCTCTATCAGATTTTTTTTTCCTGTGAATGGGCCATATTTTCCTATTTATTTGTATGCTTAGTAATTTTTTTGAGAGCTGGATACTGTCAATATTATAATGTGGTAATTCTGAAAAAATGATTCTCTAACTCCTCAGAGACTGCTGATTTTTGCTCATTGAGGATTAGAGCATCCATTTGTGACTTTCTCAAATTTTTTTTTGCAGAGTGTTTATTCCTTTTGTGTGTGATCATTGAAAATTCTGTTTGGCTATCTCTGTAGTTAGACCTATCAAAGATTTCCTTAAATGTCTGAGTCCAAAGAGTAGGGAGGAAAGTGTTCTGTCCCTTTAGAGCTTCTGCTGCTGCTGCTGGAGAAGCTACTGCAGTAGAGAGAGCCAAAACCAAGGCAAGAGTCTGTGCCAGTCCCTTGGAGCCAAGCAAAATGCACAGCCCCACATTCTTTGAGGAAATATATTTAGCCCTTGTCTACTATCTCCAATATGTGGGCCATCTGTTTGCTTAAATTTGATATTGTTTTTGCTGATTGTTAGTCACATTTCTTGCATCTTAGAATGTCTCATAATTTTTAATTGTATTAAGCCTTATTGTTTTAGGTGACCTTTTTTCTGTATTAGACAGTTGTGCAGTTGATCACCTTAATCTGAGCTGGTACTGAGTGTGGTCAGAGCTTATTTGCAAAGTTTGCAAGATTTAGTCTATCTCCATTTGCTCACATTTGCTCACATTCTTAGGGCATGGCTGTTGATGGCATTCATATAAAAGCCTTATGGTACTTTGCTTCTTTGTTATGTAAAAATTGGGAATTTTCATACTATTTTAAAGAGCTTTTCAGCTTAATTCTTTAGCTGTGCCTGCATGTAGCATAAGAATCTGGGTATTAGTATTTGAGGACTCTCAAATCTCCAATTTTGTCACTATATCCCATTATCACTACATCATGTGATTACCAAAATTCTTGGTGGTTTCTCTGAAATCTGGCAGCAGACCTTTCCCACAATAACATCTGAGTTTTCACGCCTGTAATCCTAGCACTTTAGGAGGCTGAGGTGGGCAGATCACCTGAGGTCAGGAGTTCGAGACCAGCCTGGCCAACATGGCAAAACCCCATCTCTACTAAAAATACAAAAATTAGCCAGGTGTGGTGGTGGGTGCCTGTAATCCCAGCTACTCGGGAGGCTGAGTCAGGAGAATCACTTGAACCTGGGAGGTGAAGACTGCAGTGAGCCGAGATCGCACCATTGCACTCCAGCCTGGGTGACAGGGCAAGATTCTGTCTCAAAAACAAAAACAAAAACAAAAACAGAAAATACACATGTATGTATATTTCCTTTTTTCCTTCTGGGATTCTAATTACATGTATAACAGCCCATTTGATAGTATTTAACAGGTAAAGGAAGCTCTGTTCCTTTCAAAAAAATTCAATATTTTATTTATCTCTTTTGCTCTATTTAAAAAATTGAAATTGTGTATATTTAATATGTACAGCATGATTTTTTGATATACATACACATGGTAAACTGATTACTGCAGTGAGCTAATTAGTATGTCCATCTGTCTACATAGTTAGCATTTTTTTGGTGATGAGTACACTTAAGATGTACTCTCAGCAAATTTCAAGTATACAATACAGTATTATTAACAATAGTCCCCATGCTGTACATTAAATTTCTAGAACTTATCCATCCTACATAACTGAAACTTTGTACACTTTGACCTAGATCCCTCTGCCTACTCCTGTTCCTTGTAACCATCATTCTACTTTCTGCATCTATGAATTTGACTTTTTTAGATTCCACATAAGAGTGAGATCATTCAGTGTTTGTCTTTTGGCATCTGGCTTATTTCCCTTAGTAGAATGTCCTCTAGGATCATCCATGTTGTCACAAATGGCAGGATTTCCTTATTTTTCTAAAAGATGAACTATATTTTATTATATATATGTATATAATATATATGTCTCATAATTTCTTTATCCATTTATCTGTTGAGGGACACTTAGATTGTTTCCATATCTTGGCTATTGTAAATAATGTTGCAATGAATGTGAAAGTGCAGATATCTCTTTGAGATACTGATTTCTTTTTCTTTGGATATATACTCCGAAGTGGGATTGCTAGATCTAAGGTAGCTCTATTTTTAATTTTTTGAAGAACTTCAGTACTGTTTTCCATAATGGCTAATTTACATTCCCACTAACAATGTACAAGGGTCCTTCTTCTCTACACCCTCAGCAATGCTTGTCATCTTTTGTCTTTATGATGATAGTCACCTTTTGCTCCATTTTGGATAGTTTCTGTTGCTATTTCTTCTAATTCACTGATCTTTTCTTCTCCATTGTGTAACCTATTGTTAATCCCATCCAGTGACTTAATTGTTTTTTTTTTTTTTTTGAGATGGAGTCTCATTCTTTCACCCAGGCTGGAGTGCAGTGGCACCATCTCAGCTCACTGCAACCTCTGCTTCCTGGGTTCAAGCAATTCTCCCACCTCAGCCTCCCAGATAGCTGGAACTATAGACGCCCACCACACCTGGCTAATTTTTGTATTTTTAGTAGAGATGGGGTTTCACCATGTTGGCCAGGGCTGGTCTTGAACTCTTGACCTCATGATTTGCCCACCTTGGCCTCCCAAAGTGTTGTGATTACAGGCATGAGCCACTGCGCCTGGCTAAGCCAGTCATATCTTGAACATTGTCCGTCTTTGAGCTCTGGGAATTGTTTAGTTCACCATTTTCTGGTTTTTAAATGCCCAATCCTATGGAATTTCACCCTATGAATGCACAATTTAGTGTCCTATGAAGACTCTAGGGGGTCTCCATGTAGATGTTTGCAGCTTTTTTTCCTACACATCTTTCTATTCTCTTTCATTGGCTTCTGGGCCATTAATATATAGTCTCAATTTATGTCATGCCAGTTCATCTCAATCTTTCTTTCTCTCTTTAGTGTAATATTTTTGTCAATCCTTTCTATTTCTTTCGGTATCCATAATTCCTTTCTTATTGTCATTCCATGACTCTGAACTGGAAAACATATTAATTGAATCTGGTCTCCATTTCCCTTCTCCCATAGTTACACTATAGAAGTCTTGTGTAGCTGAATAAGCAACTAGGTAGATTGGCATCAGTCATAAATGTTTCATTGGCAATAATCCGAATCCCTGCTATGATTCTGCCCAACAGCCCTCTTCTGTTTCATCTTCCAACTCTTCCTGCCATTATCCACTGCTGTGCTTTCAAATATTCTCAATTACTCTCAGGTCTCTATGCTTCTCTATCTCTTTTCAAATATGCTTGTCTCCTGCTTCTTAAGAGAAGTTGAAGCCATCTTCAGCCTCTCCTAGTTGAGAAATCCCTCTATTTCCTTACACAATTCAGATTAATCCTGACTTTACACTCATTCTTTTTTCCTAAATTTATGTTAATGAGTGATATATTCCTCTTTAAAATTAAGATTAATTCCTTTACTTATGCCATGGATTATACTCTTTTTAAACTAATGATAGGCCTCAATCTAACAAATGTAAATATGTTTACTTAAATTCAACACATTCTGATCTGCCAGATCTTACCCGTAAGTATTTATTTATTTATTTATTTTAGAGACAGGATCTCTCTCTGTTGCTCATGTTGGAGTGTAGTAGTGTGATCATAGCTCACTGCAGCCTTGAACTCCTGGGCTCAAGTGATCCACCTCAGCCTCCAAGTAGCTAGGAACACAGGCATGTACCACTGTACTTGGCTAAGTTTTCAATTTTTAAAAATTTTATAGACCAGGCTAGTCTTGAACTCCTGGGTTCAAGCAATCCTCCTGCCTTAGCCTCCCAAAGTGCTGGGATTATAGACATAAGCCAACCTCACCCAGCCTTCTATGAGTATTTAAATTCTCCCTTAACCTCATCAATCCCTGGGTACCCCTTTATAATGATATTTACTGAGAGAGTGGTCCACACTCCCTCCCTCCATTTCCTCACCCCCACACACTCTTGGTCCATAGTAGGTTGGTTCCCACCACACCACCTCATCTCATTTATTTTACCTCTTATAATGGGTTCTAGGTCAACACTTGCTACCTTGTTTATATGTCCCACATGCTCTATCTTTGGAATGCCTCTCCTCTCTTTTTTTTTCTACTAAATCTTTAATAGGTAGAATTCATCAGGTTTTTAGGAACCCAAAAATTCTCTTCTAAGAAATATACCCCTTAGAGTTTTTTTTAAATATAGCCAGAATCATGTGTTTATTCTCCAATCCCTCACTTTTTAGGCCTCATAATTATTTGACCTCACCCCTATAGGGAGTTCAGAAAACTTTTTCTCCAGCTACCTCTGGCAGCATCTTGGGATGTTCTCTGTAAACACTCATAATTAATTTGGATAAGTTAATTATGCTAAGAAAAAATGTGTACAGATTTTTCTTGGAGACACTATCACTGATGCTAGAAATAACATAATAATCACAGCTCTAGAGAGAGATGAGGTCAAGGCAATGAAAACTAAAGGCTTAGCTTTCTCTCTCAGGACAAATCTGGTAAACATTAGGTACAACATCCTGGAATGGAGGTTACTTAGGTGAGTGGAGTTTTTATTTCAGACTTAAAAATCGTCTGGGAAAGAAAAGGGGTGAATATTTAGACATGGGAATCTATACAATGTCTGGACCATTAATGCTTTTTCATGAGACTATACCAGAGTCATAATAGAGCCCATTTTCACTGTGAAGAGATATTCTCTGGTCTTTGCAGATTATTTACTTTTCTTACCCATTTTCCTGCAATGTCTCCTTAACTCTTTCCCTGTATAAGTTCTGTCTGAATTTCCACCTCTGTTCCTTGATTTGTTCTTTGATTTTTAGCCCATCCTTCTGCAGAATGTTTGTTCTTAACCTGAGATTCTTTAAGCATGGGGACAAGATTAATTCAAATTAAAATAGAGAAAATTGTAGGCCTGGTGCACAAGCTATCTTAAATAAATGTTAGTGTCTTTTGTTTCCACTGGACCTTGTCAAGGTGAGACTGCACTTGGGCAATTCATTATACTGAACATTTTTGTGTATGCACTGCGTGAAAATTTCAAGGCATTGTCCAGAATTTTATTAGAATTGGTGCAGCAGAAAATTACATGTTATTAAGGATTCTGACCTTCAAATCCACATAATACTCTTTGGAATAAACACCAGACTCAACTACAGAAGAAGGCGTGTTTACTAGTGAATTTTCTCAGCTGGACCCTCCCTTGTAATAGCTACGTGGATCTGAGAATTGGATTCTGAGATGTGATACTGACCCTATAATCACATACCTGATGTAGACCCTACCTTCTGCTCTGTGTTCCAGGGGAGCGATAAAAACCTTGAAAGAATATATGCAGTTCAGGGCAGTGGTTACCACAGAGGTCAATGCTGGCAAAGGTTTAGTGAGTTAATGAAATCTCACTGAACCTCAGGGTACATGGATCTTGGGGAGGCATCTCCCCTCTTTTTGCTCAAGCCAAGAGTCCACATAGGATTAGCCATCAGGTTTGTGGCCAAATGCGCCTCTGCTATTTCTTTCTGTGTGTGAGAAAAGAGAGTTCCATCTCTTCCTAATTTTTTTCTTTTTGCCCTGAAATTTGTCTGTATGATTTGATTTGGCCATCCAATTGTATATTTCCCAAATCATTCATCTGTTTTTCTAGATCCTTAATATTGATCAATTATATTCTAATTTGCTGAATTTCCAACTTATAAATAACTTTTCTGGACAATGTTCTGAACCATTGATATGTGTGACTATTCTTTTTTTGTGCTACACACTTTAATTGCTGTATTAGGTTTTAGGAAATTAGGTAGGAAATTAATCCAGTTCTTTTTTAAATAAATGGCTAAGTTTCTGTATGTTGAAAACTTTTCATTTAAAAAAGTGGGAAAATGACTTGGATTTTCTTGAGCAATGTAGTTAAAATTTGTTGCAAATTGTATAGCTCCTAAAATAGTCCCTTGCAATTTTGATTCATAATGAATTGAATCTACAAATTTATTTGAGGAAATTTCAAATCTTGAGAGCACATTATGTCTTTCCATCCAAGAACATGGAATTTCATTCTACTAATTCAAGATTTATTTTCCACTTTTTGATTGAGAATGCTCATATTTCTGGCATATTACTGATCTAGATTACTCCTAAGATTTTCAAAGTGTTTATACACAGTGTATTCTTTTATTTATGTTATATTTGGGCAAATTACTATCTTATTACTTCTAAATATTTTAGTTGTTTCTTTGAATGTAACATAAAAATCATCTAACTTTCCCAAAGAGGGATAAACTTTACCTTCCATTTTATTGACCAGGTGAGAAAAATATTGAATAATTGTGGTGCCTGTGGTCACGTTAGTCTTTTTCCCCAATGAAATGAGATTAATTCTTTTTTGTTTGTTCGTTTTGTTTTTCAATTGTTTTATTTTTGTAGAGACAGGGTTTTGCTGTGTTGCCCAGGCTGGTCTCGAACTCCTGGACTCAAGCGATCTTCTTGCCTAAGCCTCCCAAAGTGCTGGAATTATAGGCGTGAGCCATTGCACCCGGCCAAGATGAGATTATATCTAATGTTCATTTTGATATTAATCATGTGTATTCCTGGACTATATCTTTGTTAATGTTTTATTATTAAGGTACTCTGCCTAATTCAGTTTGGGTCCTTGGTCCAAAATTTGTTTTGGATTATAGAAAGATCATGCTTGACAAAGAGTATTTGATAGAATCAAGTGCAACATAGGACACTGAACACTTGTCTCTCAAGAAGACCAAATTTTTACACAAACAAAACAAAGCAAAACCCCCAAATCAAGCAAGGATATGTAGTTTCGAATAACGCAATTAGCTTAATGCACTAGATATTTTTAACTATCAAGGAGAGATTCTGCTTCCCATGTTAATAAATCTATTAAGGTAAAGAACACATTGAAATAATTTTTGACACGGAAATAATGACTCTGTTCAGTAGTTCATTCATTTATTCATGTGATAAATATTGACTGACTGCTTAACAGTATGTTGTTCTAAACCTTAGTTATGGGCTGAAAACAGGGTAGACAAGATGTCTGCCTTCATGACCTTCATCTTTCCATTGGAGGAAATGGTCTTCCTTCAATAGAAATAAGATAATCCAGTAAGATAATTTCTGTTGTTATAGGTACCAAGAAAGATATACTAGGTGGTGAGGAGAAAAAACCTTCATGGATGGGATTTTTATGTGTGACAATAGCATAGGGGTCCCAGGAAGGAGATTTGAAAGAAATTAAGTACATTTCATTTCACTTGAAGAAATTCATGTGTTCCTTCCATTTTTCTCCAGGTTCCTGGATCTGAGCAAAAGCATCATCTCTCAGTCACTGAGGGAATGCTATCTATTGATGTAGCAATGGGTGTGATTATCTTTACACAGACTGGAATAGGGATTGTGGGGAATTTTCGTTACTCCTTTGTTATTATATCTGTTCTCTTTTTAGGAGACACAGATTGAGACCGTTAGAGCAAATAACCAACCATCTTGTGTTAGCCAATACATCAATCCTTCTTTGTGGAGGAATCCCTCAGAAGATGGCAGCTTTTGGGTTGCAATACTTCCTGGATGATGTTGGATGTAAACTTGTCTTTTATTGTCACAGAGTGGCCTGGGGAAATTCTCTCAACACCATCTGTCTTTTAGGTGGCTTCCAGGCCTTAAGTATCAACCCCACAAACTCCAGGTGGGCAGAACTCAAATTCAAACCCCCCAAACATATTAATTCTCCCTGTATTGTGAGCTGGGTGTTTCACTTGCTGGTAAATCTCATTGTTCCCATGAGAATGACTAGCCAATGGAGTAGCAGAAATATCACTGTGAAATCAAACCTTGGATATTGTTCTCATCTATTAGTTGATACAATTACAAAATCAATGTGTTCAGTTATTTTCTCCTGTATTGATGTTTTTTGCTTGGGAATCATGGCATGGGGCCAGTGGCTCCAAGATATTTTTTCCCTCACCGGTACAAGTGGCAAGTCTGATACATTCATGGCACTAAACAGTGCTCGCAAATATCCCCAGAGACCAGAGCCACAAAATCTATTCTGATACTTGTGAGCACTTTTGCCTTATTTTTTTCTTTCTCTTCTGCTTTTGAAATGTGTGCTTTTTCTTTTTGACAATCCACAGGTGTGGCTTATGAAAACCAGCATTCTTCTAGTATCTGGTTTTCCAACCATCAGCCCCCTTTTGCTCTTAAAAAGTGACACCCATGTTTCCAGCCTCTGGTCCTCCTGCTGAGGAAGTTGTAGAGCCTACCCAGTTGCTGACAGCGTTTTATACTCTAGTCATTCATCCACTCATCTCATACTGTGAAGAAGTACCTTCCCTGTGTCACTCCTATTCAGTAGTAAACAGAAAGGTATCTACTTCCTTAAAGTCTGTGGGGGAATCCAGACATCAAAGAAACAATTACAGAACCAATGATAGTTGTAGTTGCATAGGTTGCTGCAATGAGGAGCTCAGGGTAGTTTGTTTCAGGACCATGGAAAGCTCCCCTTTGTTAAATAAACTTTACAGTTTAGCCAATGGTTTAGCCATTGGTTTGGGCTGAGCCCCTGCATGAGGCTCAACAGACCAAACAAAAATGGAGTTACTCCTGCTGAAGTTCCATGCCACCAAGCTGAAACTAGGTTATTTATCTGATCTTCCAATAATTCGAGAGAGAGAGAGAGAGAGAGAGAGAGAGAGAGAGAGAGAGAGAGAGGGAGATGATAGCCAAATCTCCAAGCAGGCCAGTTTATTTCATTTCATTTCATTTCATTTCATTTCATTTCATTTCATTATTTCATTTCATTTCATTTTATTTTATTTTTAAGTCAGAGTCTCACTCTGTTGCCCAGGCTGGAGGGCAATGGTGTGATCTTGGCTCACTGCAACCTCTCTATCCCAGGTTCAAGCGATTCTCATGCTTCAGCCTCCCGAATAGCTGGGATTACAGACATGCGCCACCACCCACGACTAATTTTTGTATTTTTGGTAGAGACGGGATTTCACCATATTGGCCAGGCTGGTCTCAAACTCTTGTCCTCAGGTGATCTGCCCACCTCAGCCTCCCAAAGTGCTGGGATTACAGGCATGAGCCACTGCACCCGGCCTGACCAGTTTTAGCTGGCATGATATTGAAACCCCCTCTGCTTTAACCTTTACAGGGGAAGTAACTTTGAAATGGCCAAGGCACTTTCTGCTCTCTGTGTCTGTTTTCCTCAGCCCTTTTCTGTCTGTAAAACCACCCTGCTCTGCTCAGCTCCTCTACTCATTCTATTTTGTAGAATAAAGTGCTGCTTGATTCTAGAATCACAAATAAAATAAATTAAGGTCTTTAAAGTAAATGTGTTGTAATTTCGTTTTTTGACATCTTTGTATCTGCAGGTTGGGCTGCTCCCTAAATATTTTAGAGGTTAACCAGCCATAGCAGGCACTTTAGGCAAATGGAAACCATTGTTTGAACAACATTTGCAGAAAGGAACAAAGGACATGCAAAGAATGAAAGGAAATTCTGTGTGCTATGCCTTGTGTTCCAACAACAAGAGAATTGAGCAGGAGCTGAGGTTACTGAGTTAGGATGCCGTGACCATCTGCCATGTTTTATCGATTAGGTTAGGAATTTGTACCCAACAGTAATTTTGGGTAATTTAAGGACTTTATCAAAGAGACAGGAGACATTTAAAAAATTGTCTAGTTTACCTAACAATTATGAGCATAGTTTATTGAATTGAGTAAGCGTAAACATGGGAAAAAACATCTGTGTCAGAGCCATCATCCCCTCTCGCCTAGTTTACTTCAAACATCTTCAAAACAACTGTTGATGTTTTGATCTTTTGAAGATGTTTGAAGTAAACTAGGTGAGACGGGATGATGGCTCTGATACAGATGATGAAAATCAGCATGAAGGAGAGCGTTGTACTTGCACAATAATTCCTTGGGAAAGAAGTATGCAGTAAACATAGCAAGTGTTTCGTAAAGGTCTTTTTTTCTTTTGTACTTTAAAAAAAATTTTTAGAGATAGGGTCTCATGCTGTCACACAGGCTGGAATGTAGTTGTGTGATCATGGCTCACTGTGGCCTTGAACTCCTGGGCTCAAGTGATCCTCCCACTTGGCCTCCTGCGTAGCTGGGATTACAGTGGTGTACCACCACACCTGGCTAATTTTTATGTTTTTTTTTTGTTTTTTTTTTTTTTTTTTAAATTTATTTTTTTATTGATAATTCTTGGGTGTTTCTCACAGAGGGGGATTTGGCAGGGTCATGGGACAATAGTGGAGGGAAGGTCAGCAGATAAACAAGTGAACAAAGGTCTCTGGTTTTCCTAGGCAGAGGACCCTGCGGCCTTCCGCAGTGTTTGTGTCCCTGATTACTTGAGATTAGGGATTGGTGATGACTCTTAACGAGCACGCTGCCTTCAAGCATCTGTTTAACAAAGCACATCTTGCACCGCCCTTAATCCATTTAACCCTGAGTGGACACAGCACATGTTTCAGAGAGCACAGGGTTGGGGGTAAGGTCACAGATCAACAGGATCCCAAGGCAGAGGAATTTTTCTTAGTGCAGAACAAAATGAAAAGTCTCCCATGTCTACTTCTTTCTACACAGACACGGCAACCATCCGATTTCTCAATCTTTTCCCCACCTTTCCTGCCTTTCTATTCCACAAAGCCGCCATTGTCATCCTGGCCCGTTCTCAATGAGCTGTTGGGCACACCTCCCGGACGGGGCGGCTGGCCGGGCGGGGGGGCTGACCCCCCCCACCTCCCTCCCGGAGGGGGCGGCTGGCCGGGCGGGGGGCCGACACCCCCACCTCCCTCCCAGACGGGGCGGCTGGCCGGGCAGAGGGGCTCCTCACTTCCCAGTAGGGGCGGCCGGGCAGAGGCGCCCCTCACCTCCCGGACGGGGCGGCTGGCCGGGCGGGGGGGCTGACCCCCCCCACCTCCCTCCCGGACGGGGCGGCTGGCCGGGCGGGGGGCTGACACCCCCACCTCCCTCCCGGACGGGGCGGCTGGCCGGGCAGAGGGGCTCCTCACTTCCCAGTAGGGGCGGCTGGGCAGAGGCGCCCCTCACCTCCCGGACGGGGCGGCTGGCCGGGCGGAGGGCTGACCCCCCCACCTCCCTCCCGGACGGGGCGGCTGGCCAGGCGGGGGGCTTACCCCCCCACCTCCCTCCCGGACGGGGCGGCTGGCCGGGTGGGGGGGCTGACCCCCCCATCTCCCTCCCGGACGGGGTGGCTGGCCGGGCTGAGGGGCTCCTCACTTCCCAGTAGGGGTGGCCGGGCAGAGGCACCCCTCACCTCCCGGACGGGGCGGCTGGCCGGGCGGGGGGCTGACCCCCCCACCTCCCTCCCGGACGGCACGGCTGGCCAGGTGGGGGGCTGACCCCCCCACCTCCCTCCCGGATGGCACGGCTGGCCGGTCGGGGGGGCTGACCCCCCACCTCCCTCCCAGATGGGGCGGCTGGCCGGGCGGGGGGTTGACCCCCCCCACCTCCCTCCCGGACGGGGTGGCTGCCGGGCGGAGATGCTCCTCACTTCCCAGATGGGGTGGCTGCCGGGCGGAGAGGCTCCTCACTTCTCAGACGGGGCGGCTGCCGGGCGGAGGGGCTCCTCACTTCTCAGACGGGGTGGTTGCCAGGCAGAGGGTCTCCTCACTTCTCAGACGGGGCGGCCGGGCAGAGACGCTCCTCACCTCCCAGACGGGGTCTCGGCCGGGCAAAGGCACTCCTCACATCCCAGATGGGGCGGCGGGGCAGAGGCGCTCCCCACATCTCAGACGATGGGCGGCCAGGCAGAGACGCTCCTCACTTCCTAGATGTGATGGCGGCTGGGAAGAGGCGCTCCTCACTTCCTAGATGGGATGGCGGCCGGGCGGAGACGCTCCTCACTTTCCAGACTGGGCAGCCAGGCAGAGGGGCTCCTCACATCCCAGACGATGGGCGGCCAGGCAGAGACGCTCCTCACTTCCCAGACGGGGTGGCGGCCGGGCAGAGGCTGCAATCTCGGCACTTTGGGAGGCCAAGGCAGGCGGCTGGGAGGTGTAGGTTGTAGTGAGCCGAGATCACGCCACTGCACTCCAGCCTGGGCACCATTGAGCACTGAGTGAACGAGACTCCGTCTGCAATCCCGGCACCTCGGGAGGCTGAGGTTGGCGGGATCACTCGCGGTTAGGGGCTGGAGACCTGCCCGGCCAACACAGCGAAACCCCGTCTCCACCAAAACCAGTCAGGCGTGGCGGCGCGTGCCTGCAATGGCAGGCACTGGGCAGGCTGAGGCAGGAGAATCAGGCAGGGAGGTTGCAGTGAGCCGAGATGGCAGCAGTACAGTCCAGCTTCGGCTCCGCATGAGAGGGAGACCGTGGGGAGAGGGAGACAGAGGGAGAGGGCTGTTTTTTTTTTTAGAGATGGGGTCTAGCTATGTTGCCCAGGCTGGTCTCCAACTCTTGGCCTCAAACAGTCCTCCTGCCTCAGCCTCCCAAAGTGTTGGGATTACAGGCATCAGCCACTTTGCCCTCATAAAGGGTTGTTTGAGAAAGGTTAGTATGGGTAATGACTCACAAGTCTCTCACATGAGCAACTGGATTGGTCATGGTGGTGTTTATTGACACTGACAAACTGAAGAGGCTGTGGTTTGGGTGTAAAGGTAAGAGCACACTCTATTTAGCACATGTAGTTTGCTCTGTCTTTAAGGCACCTGCATCATACATGTGGCTAGTCATGTATCATATACACATATGTATGGGTAAAGCTCAGATGGAAGGTTTGCTTTGAGAAGGCTGTCAACAACATATATTAGTAAGAGAACTGTGAAAGTTGTCAGAATCGAAACGGAGTCACTAATGTTAAGAAAACTGACATATCATGGGCCAGGAATAGTGGCTCACACTTGTAATTCCAGCACTTTGGGAGGCCGAGGTGGGAGGATTGCTTGAGACCAGGAGTTCAAGATCAGCCTGGGCAACATAGTGAGACCCCCCCATCTCTACAAAACATAAAAAAAATAGCTGGGTGTGGTGGCAGGTGCCTGCAGTTTCAGCTACTTGGGAAGCTGAGGCAGGAGGATTGCTTGAGCCCAGGAGTTTGAGGCCGCAGTGAGCCATGATCACACCACTGTACTCCAACCTGGGTGGCAGAGTGAGATCCTGTCCCAAAAGAAGAAAAATGAAAACTCTGACAAATCAAGCATGGGGAGAACATGAAGAGAAGGTTTTCATGCTTGTATGCCTGATCACAAAAACTGTCACAAAAGACTACAAAAACCACAACTTTGCACAAAGTCCACCATAACCTTATACAAATAATACTTCTGCAAGGACATCTGCTCAACAATTCCCTGTCCAGTCTCAGACTTGTTATTGATCTTTGTAGCCAAGGATAATTATTTCAAAACAATTATGTAATCCTCCTCATTTTTTCATTTAAAAACCCTTGTCTTCCTTTATCTCCCTGAATTTGCACATATTTCACTATGGTATACAGATTCCCATTGCAATGCTCTATTGCTAAACAAATATCTTTTCTTTCAGAGAGACTCTTTCTGTTTGTTAAATAGGTTGACATATATGGTGTTTGAAACAGGACCTGAAAAAGTTCACTAGCAGAAGAAATGGTGACCAGGCATAGTGTCTCACACCTGTAATCCCAGCACTCTGGGAGGCTGAGGCGGGCAGATCACCTGAGGTTGGGAGGTCCAGACCAGCCTGGCCAACATGGTGAAACCCCGTCTATACTAAAAATACAAAAATTAGCCGGGTGTGGTGGCGAGCACCTGTAATCCCAGCTACTCGAGAGGTGGAGGCCGGAGAATCGCTTGAACCCGGGAGGCGGACATTGCAGTGAGGCGAGATCACGTAGCTGCACTCCAGCCTGGGTGACAGAATGAGACTCAGTCTCAATAAAAAGAAACAACAACAACAAAAACAACCAAAACAAAAAGAAGGAAATGGTGATACTTGGAACCAGTGAGCAGTATTTACTGAGTCACTTCCCTGGCTCACCTTTTCTGCCCTGGTGATGGGCAAATTACAAGTGATCCTCCCTCCTTCTGTTGGAGGCTTTTTGACTTTATTTGGGGTCTTGTTTGGATAAGGTCATTTTTATGAAAGACCATACATCCCTCCTGAAATAAGACTTTTTGTCTTTTCTGGTAAGTCCTTCCGGGTATAGAGACAAGTATCTTTCTGCATTGAATACTCTAGGTTTCTAAAGTATTTACATCCTGTCTGCGAGGTACATCTTCTCTGGTCTGTGCACCTTCTCTGGTTTAATATTTTGTTTGATCTGCACACCTGGGTTAAAATATTTGGAACATTCTTATCTTGGTTTCCTTCTATTTGGTTTGACTCTTTTTCCTTGCTTGTTTCTGAAAATCTTACAGGAGCAAAAGTAAATATTCTAAATGATGGATGCACGAGGGCTACTTTACAGCTACCAGGGCAGACACCACCATCTAAAACACTGGTCTAAACTCCTGAATTTGTCCGGGTGCGGTGGCTCAGGCCTATCATTCCAGCACTAGGAAGCCGAGGTGGGTGGATCACCTGAGGTCAGGAGTTCGGACTAGCCTGGGCAACATGGTGAAACCCCGTCTCTACTAAAAACACAAAAATTAGCTGGGCATGGTGGCGCAAGCCTGTAATCCCAACCACTCGGGAGGCTGAGGCTGGAGAATCACTTGAATCCAGGAGGTGGAGGTTGCAGTGAGCCAACATGGCGCTGTTGCACTCCAGCCTGGGCAACAGAGCAAGACTACATATCAAAAAAATAATAAAATAAAAAAATAATAATTTTTAAAAAACTTCTGAATTCCCTTACAGGACTTAGAAGATTTTCTTTGCTCCCAGGAGATGAATAAGAAACAAAATGGCATTCTCAAGACTATACTTTCAGGGATCATTTCTATAGTTTGTTACTAGAGAAGTTTCTCTGAACGTGTAGAGCACCGAGGCATGGGCAAGGACTTCATGTCCAAAACACCAAAAGCAATGGCAACAAAAGCCAAAATTGACAAATGGGATCTAATTAAACTAAAGAGCTTCTGCACAGCAAAAGAAACTACCATCAGAGTGAACAGGCAGCCTACAAAATGGGAGAAAATTTTCGCAACCTACTCATCTGACAAAGGGCTAATATCCAGAATCTACAATGAACTCAAACAAATTTACAAGAAAAAAACAAACAACCCCATCAAAAAATGGGCGAAGGACATGAACAGACACTTCTCAAAAGAAGACATTTGTACAGCCAAAAAACACATGAAAAAATGCTCATCATCATTGGCCATCAGAGAAATGCAAATCAAAACCACAATGAGATACCATCTCACACCAGTTAGAATGGCGATCATTAAAAAGTCCGGAAACAACAGGTGCTGGAGAGGATGTGGAGAAATAGGAACACTTTTACACTGTTGGTGGGACTGTAAACTAGTTCAACCATCGTGGAAGTCAGTGTGGCGATTCCTCAGGGATCTAGAACTAGAAATACCATTTGACCCAGCCATCCCATTACTGGGTATATACCCAAATGACTATAAATCATGCTGCTATAAAGACACATGCACACGTATGTTTATTGTGGCATTATTCACAATAGCAAAGACTTGGAACCAACCCAAATGTCCAACAATGATAGACTGGATTAAGAAAATGTGGCACATATACACCATGGAATACTATGCAGCCATAAAAAATGATGAGTTCATGTCCTTTGTAGGGACATGGATGAAATTGGAAATCATCATTCTCAGTAACCTATCGGAAGAACAAAAAACCAAACACCGCATATTCTCACTCATAGGTGGGAATTGAACAATGAGATGGCACATGGACACAGGATGGGGAATATCACACTCTGGGGACTGTGGTGGGGTGGGGGGAGGGGGGAGGGATAGCATTGGGAGATATACCTAATGCTAGATGATGAGTTAGTGGGTGCAGCGCACCAGCATGGCACATGTATACATATGTAACTAACCTGCACAATGTGTACATGTACCCTAAAACTTAAAGTATAAAAAAAAAAAGAAAGAAAGAAACAAAATGGCATTCTCAAACATGAATAAGGCATGCCAGATTTTCTGGGACCCACTATAGTTGGCACATATTATGGCCTGTTCTTGTGCACATTTTTACATTGATGGGCAAATTACAGCAAGGAAAATTCAGAGCTTAGATGGTCATTGTTAAAAAAAAATCTGCAACTATAGAGTTAACATGTAGAGTCTTCTAAGCTATCTCTCTAATTTTTTCTCTGCCTACTTGGAATCTGCTGACCTTTCTGCTGGTGTTGAGATAAAACTCACTGCTTATGGCATTCCAATCAAGATTTTTAAAAGAAGAAGTTTTAAAGGGCTTTTGAATTAATAGCTTTAAAATTACAACTCCGTGGTAACCAACAACCGAGACACCTTTTAGAAATACAAATTTAGGCTGGGTGTGATGGCTCATGCCTGTAATCTTAGCACTTTGGGAGGCCAAGGTGGGCAGATTGCTTGAGGCCAGGAGTTTGAGACCAGCCTGGCCAACATGGCAAAACCTGTCTCTACCAAAAATACAAAAATTAGCCAGTGTGGTGGCCCATGCCTGTAATCCCAGGTACTTGGGAAGCTGAGGCATGAGATTCACTTGAACTCGGAAGGCAGAGATTGCAGTGAGCAGAGATTGCATCACTGCACTCAAGCCTGGGTGACAGAGTGAGACTCTGTATCAAAAATAAATAAATAAATAAATTTGGAGTTGTCTGACTAACAATTGTGTATGATGATAAAACACTTATTTGAAAAATTAGTAATCTAAAAGAAAAAGGAATAGATAAATGTTTTTAAAGCTTAGGCTCTCAGATCAAACAAGATAGAAAGGAACCAATAAGTAGGAGAGAGGAATGTGAGAAAAGGTAGGAATATGAAGATGTATTTTTCGTAAGGGAGGTTAAAAAATAGAAGAATAATTTTGTATGAGAAAGAATCTTTTCATGGTAAATTTTTGTCCTAAAGTAAAATGACTGGTTATTTAAGAAAAAGGAAGTATAGGACAAAGTAGAAAGTCCAAGCATGTTGTCAATAGTCTAAATAAATTGTGATAAAGTTCATGAAAAGAAAATTTATTTGGCTGGGCATGGTGGCTCACACCTATAATCCCAGCACTTTGGGAGGCCAAGGCAGGTGGATCACCTGAGGTCAGGAGTTCGAGATCAGCCTGGCCAACATGACGAAACCCTGTCTCTACTAAAAAAATACAAAAATTAGCTGATTGTGGTGGTGAATGCCTGTAATTCCAGCTACTCAGGGGCCTGATTGAGGAGAATCGCTGGAACCCAGGAGACAGAGGTTTCAGTGAGCCAAGAGCACACCACTGCACTCCAGCCTGGGCAACAGAGTGAGACTGTGTCTCAATAGAAAAAAAAAAAGAATTTTGTGTGGGATCAACTTGGCTGTAATTTAGTCTTTCTAAAGACTGAAGTTTGATATTGATACAGTTTGGTTCTGTGTCCCCACCCAAATCTCATCTTGAATTGTTATCCCCATGTGTTGTGGAGGGACCTGGTTCATGGGGGTGGGTTTACCCCACGCTGTTCTCATGATAGTGAGTGAGTTCTCACACAATCTGATGGTTTAAAAGTGTGGCACTTTCTTTATCTCTCTCTCCTGCAGCCATGCAAGACGTGCCTTGCTTCCCCTTCACCTTCTGCCATGATTGTAAGTTTCCTGACACCTCCCTGGCTATGCAGAACTGTAAGTCAATTGAACCTTTTTTTTAAAAAAAAATAAATTACCCAGTCTCAAGTAGTTCTTTATAGCAGTGTGGAAATGGACTAATACAGATATTAAAAATGCTGGCTGGGCATGGTGGCTCATGCCTGTAATCCCAGCACTTTGGGAGGATCACTTGAGGTCAGGAGTTCGAGACCAGCCTAGCCAACATTGCGAAACCCTCCCTCTAGTAAAAATACAAAAATTAGCTGGGCATGGTAGTGGGTGCCTGTAGTCCCAGCTACTCAAGAGGCTGAGGCGGGAAAATTGCTTGAACCCAGGAGGTGGAGGTTGCAGTGAGCTGAGATGGCACCACTGCACTCTAGCTTGGATGACAGAGCAAGACTCTGTCTAAACAAAAAAAAAAAACAAAAAAAAAAGAAAGAAAAAAAGAAAAAAAAGCACTAATGCAAAACTAAAAAAATTTAGTCCTCTATGTTAGAATAAGTTTTTCTTAAAGTATTGATTTGCTCTATATAAAATTACAAGAGGTTCTGGTTTTTAATTCTGAAATCTGTTTAACAACCATCTTTCTATATTATTTCTATTTCTTCCTGAGATATAATTAACCTCCCTAATTTCAGGTTCGAAATGCTATCTTTTTCATTCAGAATGTGATTTTATTCTCAAGGTAAATTGTTTTCTTTTTGGAACTTCTCAGATTTATTTATGAGAAGTTCATCCTTCGCTGTATCTCACTGCATGTGATGTGATGGTCATACATCATTGCCTTCTGTTCTTTCTCCCCTTGAAATGGTATATCATTTTTGCTTGGCTGAGGTGATAACTTTCTCATTCAACCTTTTTTTTTAAATTGCTGTAACTTCCCTCACCCCCCACCCCCGGTTTTAATCCTACTGTTATGGCCCAATGCTGAAATGTTTATCTTGCAGGTCAAGAAAAGCAATGTTTTCTTCCAGTATAACTTGATTCTGTACTCTTGGCTTTTCTTGATGTGTCTGAATTGCTTCGTGTAACCGGGAAACTTCCCATGCTGTTACTAAGAGCTATGTTTTCCCCCCTGCTCAAGGTACTAGTTTTCTTATTTACATTCCTCTATAATATAGTGTTTACTCATAGCCTTGGACAAACTCTTCCTGTGTCTGATAAAATTCAAGTACCCTTTTCATTAGATTTGACTTCCAGCTTGCCTAAACATGCTTCCCATAAGGAAAAACAATTAGAATACAAGAAGTTTTTAATTTAGCTTTTTGTAACTGGTCTTAAACAAAACCCCAAAGATTTTACATTTTATCAAGACAATTCCTACGTTGTCTTTATTAGGTTTTTGATTACTTAGAAAAACTGAGCTTTGAAAGGGTTAAAGTTTTCATATCCATGAAATTTTCTGTATTGTTTTTGAAGCCTTTTGATTATCACTCTGGTTAAATGAATAACCATGATTTTACAGTGATGTGTGATTCTGTTTTGATAAATTGGGAGCCTTTATGGCTAGTCTAAGTTTTTGTTACTTACAGTAATTGTTTTGAATTCTTCTCTAAAAACATTTATAATCAGCCATGGTTCAAAATTGCTTTTCAAGAAAGCAACTCTAACACGTACCCTTGAACAGACTTTTTTTTTTTTTGGTGACAGGGTCTCACTCTGTCACCCAATTTGAGTGCAGTGCCATGATAATAGCTTACTACAGCTATGAACTCCTGTGATCAAGTAATCTACCCATCTCAGACTCCCGAGTGGCTGGGACTATAGGTGTCCACAGCTGTGGTTGGCTGGTTTTATTATTTTTATTTTTTTGTAGAGAGGGGGGTCTCACTATGTTGTCTAGGCTAGACTTGAACTCCTGGCCTCAAGTTATTCTCCTGCTGTGGCTTCCCAAAGTACTGGGATTACAGGTGTGAGCCACTGCACCAGGCTTGAACACAGATTTCTGACAGCTTTAAGATCAATGGATTAAATAAAAATTTCAAGAACTCTAATAAAGAAACTGATGGACTCATAAAACTATTAATTGGTCCCTCTCCCTCTCCCTCTCCCTCTCCCTCTGTCTCCCTCTCCCTCTCCCTCTCCCTCTCCCTCTCCCTCTCCCTCTCCCTCTCCCTCTCCCTCTCCGTCTCCCTCTCGCTCTCCGTCTCCCTCTCGCTCTCCGTCTCCCTCTCGCTCTCCCTCTCCCCACGGTCTCCCTCTCATGCGGAGCCGAAGCTGGACTGTACTGCTGCCATCTCGGCTCACTGCATCCTCCCTGCCTGATTCTCCTGCCTCAGTCTGCCGAGTGCCTGCGATTGCAGGCACGCGCCGCCACGCCTGACTGGTTTTGGTGGAGACAGGGTTTCGCTGTGTTGGCCGGGCCGGTCTCCAGCCCCTAACCGCGAGTGATCCGCCAACCTCGGCCTCCCGAGGTGCCGGGATTGCAGACGGAGTCTCGTTCACTCAGTGCTCAATGGTGCCCATGCTGGAGTGCAGTGGCGTGATCTCGGCTCACTACAACCTACACCTCCCAGCCGCCTGCCTTGGCCTCCCAAAGTGCCGAGATTGCAGCCTCTGCCCGGCCGCCACCCCGTCTGGGAAGTGAGGAGTGTCTCTGCCTGGCCGCCCATCGTCTGGGATGTGAGGAGCCCCTCTGCCTGGCTGCCCAGTCTGGAAAGTGAGGAGCGTCTCCGCCCGGCCGCCATCCCATCTAGGAAGTGAGGAGCACCTCTTCCCAGCCGCCATCACATCTAGGAAGTGAGGAGCGTCTCTGCCCGGCCGCCCATAGTCTGAGATGTGGGGAGCGCCTCTGCCCCGCCGCCCCATCTGGGATGTGAGGAGCGCCTCTGCCCGGCCGAGACCCCGTCTGGGAGGTGAGGAGCGTCTCTGCCCGGCCGCCCCGTCTGAGAAGTGAGGAGACCCTCTGCCTGGCAACCACCCCGTCTGAGAAGTGAGGAGCCCCTCCGCCCGGCAGCTGCCCCGTCTGAGAAGTGAGGAGCCTCTCCGCCCGGCAGCCACCCCATCTGGGAAGTGAGGAGCATCTCCGCCCAGCAGCCACCCCGTCCGGGAGGGAGGTGGGGGGGGGTCAGCCCCCCACCCGGCCAGCCACCCCATCCGGGAGGGAGGTGGGGGGTCAGCCCCCCCGCCCGGCCAGCTGTGCCATCCGGGAGGGAGGTGGGGGGGTCAGCCCCCCGCCCGGCCAGCCGCCCCGTCCGGGAGGTGAGGGGCGCCTCTGCCCGGCCGCCCCTACTGGGAAGTGAGGAGCCCCTCAGCCCGGCCAGCCACCCCGTCCGGGAGGGAGATGGGGGGGTCAGCCCCCCCACCCGGCCAGCCGCCCCGTCCGGGAGGGAGGTGGGGGGGTCAGCCCCCCGCCTGGCCAGCCGCCCCGTCCGGGAGGGAGGTGGGGGGGTCAGCCCTCCGCCCGGCCAGCCGCCCCGTCTGGGAGGTGAGGGGCGCCTCTGCCCGGCCGCCCCTACTGGGAAGTGAGGAGCCCCTCTGCCCGGCCAGCCGCCCCGTCCGGGAGGGAGGTGGGGGGGTCAGCCCCCCGCCCGGCCAGCCGCCCTGTCCGGGAGGGAGGTGGGGGGGTCAGCCCTCCGCCCGGCCAGCCGCCCCGTCTGGGAGGTGAGGGGCGCCTCTGCCCGGCCGCCCCTACTGGGAAGTGAGGAGCTCCTCTGCCCGGCCAGCCGCCCCGTCCGGGAGGGAGGTGGGGGGGTCGGCCCCCCGCCCGACCAGCCGCCCCATCCGGGAGGGAGGTGGGGGGGTCAGCCCCCCGCCCGGCCAGCCGCCCTGTCTGGGAGGGAGGTGGGGGTGTCAGCCCCACGCCCAGCCAGCCGCCTCGTCCGGGAGGGAGGTGGGGGGGTCAGCCCCCCGCCCGGCCAGCCGCCCCGTCCGGGAGGGAGGTGGGGGGGGTCAGCCCCCCTGCCCGGCCAGTGGCCCCGTCCGGGAGGTGAGGGGCGCCTCTGCCCGGCCACCCCTACTGGGAAGTGAGGAGCCCCTCTGCCCGGCCAGCCGCCCCGTCCGGGAGGGAGGTGGGGGTGTCAGCCCCCCGCCCGGCCAGCCGCCCCGTCCAGGAGGGAGGTGGGGGGGGTCAGCCCCCCCCGCCCGGCCAGCCGCCCCGTCCGGGAGGTGAGGGGCGCCTCTGCCCAGCCACCACCCCGTCTGGGAGGTGTGCCCAACAGCTCATTGAGAACGGGCCAGGATGACAATGGCGGCCTTGTGGAATAGAAAGGCGGGAAAGGCGGGGAAAAGATTGAGAAATCGGATGGTTGCCGTGTCTGTGTAGAAAGAAGTAGACATGGGAGACTTTTCATTTTGTTCTGCACTAAGAAAAATTCCTCTGTCTTGGGATCCTGTTGATCTGTGACCTTACCCCCAACCCTGTGCTCTCTGAAACATGTGCTGTGTCCACTCAGGGTTAAATGGATTAAGGGCGGTGCAAGATGTGCTTTGTTAAACAGATGCTTGAAGGCAGCATGCTCGTTAAGAGTCATCACCAATCCCTAATCTCAAGTAATCAGGGACACAAACACTGCGGAAGGCCGCAGGGTCCTCTGCCTAGGAAAACCAGAGACCTTTGTTCACTTGTTTATCTGCTGACCTTCCCTCCACTATTGTCCCATGACCCTGCCAAATCCCCCTCTGTGAGAAACACCCAAGAATTATCAATAAAAAAATAAATTAAAAAAAAAAAAAAAAAAAAAAAAAAAAACTATTAATTGGGATCAAGAACAACAAAAAATTAATTACATAAAATTAAGTAACTGATAAAGATAATGTTTTATAACTTTTATTTAAAACATCCTTTACTTAAATGTTTTGTTTCCCAGATTTAAGGACATTTTATTTCATAAGGTATAGTTTACAACAATTTGTAAATAAGTATATTGTACTTTTGTCAACAAACATGGAAGCATTTGCTTTTTCTCTCTACTTGATTTCTCCAAAATTCAGAAACCACTTGTGAGTATTCTTGTTTTCATTTACATAAGTTTAATAAAGACCTGCTTTCTTTATAACCAGATTGCAATTTGAAACATTGGCTCTATTACCAAGGTTTTTGACTGAAATGCCACATTTAAGAATGTACACTAGATGCCTAGCTTCAGGAGTTCCCAGTCTTACAATGAGTGATTAAAAATGGTCACTTCCTGGCAGGCCCAACAACCTTAAGATTCTTAGTAAAATCTAACATCTGCCTAGGTTTGGCTTCCTAATCTCAAAAGGTTTTTAAATCTGAGATGTTTTTTCTGCTTCCACTTCCTGGGTTCAAGTGATTCTCCTGCCTCAGCCTCCCAAGTAGCTGAGATTACAGGTGTGTGCCACCATGCCCAGCTAATTTTTTGTATTTTAGTAGAGACAGGGTTTCACCATGTTGGCCAGGCTGGTCTGGAATTCCTGACCTCCAGTGATCCACTCACCTTGGTCTCCCAAAGTGCTGAGATTACAGGCATCAGCCACCATGCCCTGCCAAATCTGAGATTTTTATATTATCAATGTAGAGGGAAAAACTTTGTTTCAAAGAAAAACTATAATACACCCATTATTAGATTAGACTGTAGCCCTGTGCATTAGTTTCAAGTTTTTGTCATCTACCTATAGACTAGACCCATTCATGAATTCTCCTAATTTTTTTCAATATTTGGCTACAACTCTCCAACTGAAAACAAAATCTGCTCTATTCCTAAAGCCCTATAAGCTGAAACTAGATGAATTTTCAGGAACAAGCCTCATGCCTGATGTATGGACCATACAAAAAGTTCACCAAACCACCCAATGTCATGCCCAGACATTCAAACTACCAGTCAGGAGGAGAAGTTGATGTTGTTATGTTGTAAACAGCTTTCCCCAAGGCTCCCCTTAATGTTACCGTTTTCACTTATCAGGATAATGGTGTAATTAGTCCACACTCACACTGCTATAAAGACATACCTGAGACTGGGTAATTTATAAAGAAGAGGTTTAATCAGCTCATGGTTCTGTGGGCTGTACAGGCTTCTGTTTCTGGGGAGGCCTCCGGAAACTTACAATCATGGTGGAAGGTGAAGGGGAAGCAGGCACATCTTCACATGGCTGGAGAGAGAGAGAGAGAGGGCGTAGGTGGGGAGGTGCTACACATTTTTCACGAGAACAGCAAGGGGGACAGGGGGAAGTCCGCCACCTCCCACCAGGCCCTTCCTCCAACACTGGGAATTACAATTTGACATGAGATTTGGGTGGGGACACAGAGCCAAACCATGTTATGGTGTAAATGAAATTTTACGTTCAACAGCTTCTGCTGGTAACTTAAGAAATCTTTTTTTTTTTTTTTTTTTTTTGAGACGGAGTCTCGTTCTGTCGCCCAGGCGGGAGTGCTGTGGCGCGATCTCCGCTCACTGCAAGCTCCGCCTTCCGGGTTCACGCCATTCTCCTGCCTCAGCCTCCCGAGTAGCTGGGACTACAGGTGCCCACCACTGCGCCCGGCTAATTTTTTGTATTTTTAGTAGAGACGGGGTTTCCCCGTGGTCTCGATCTCCTGACCTCGTGATCCGCCCGCCTCGGCCTCCCAAAGTGCTGGGATTACAGGCGTGAGCCACCGCGCCTGGCAGAAATCTTAACCTAAGAAATCCTTTAGCATCTATTGGTTAAATAAGAAAAGGTCTGTACTATTGCTAATACTATTACATGCTGTACCTGGATAGATTCCTCTGGGAAAGTTGAGACGCATATACACAAAATAAGAAAACAGGCCACATGGTTACAATAGGTCTCATCTAATTTTCTATGGTCACTTGATATATTCAATTAGTTGTCTTTAAGCCTAGGTTCATGTCTCAAGACCATTATGCAAACTGGGATTGTCATACTGCAGTTAGTTTTACTTTGTTTTTGTCCCTTTTAAAAACTTTGTATTTGTTACTTGTTAATTTTGCAGAATACAACTCCTAATAAAATAATGCTAGCCAAGCACTTTCAGATGATTACCAAAAAACTACAGAACAGACAAAATAGAATTTAGTAATGGATTCCACGTAGACTTGGCATAACAGCCACTCCTTTGAAATCTCCCTTGTTGTTTAAATGTGGCTCAAAGGGTTTTCACACTGATTCCTAGTCACCAATCACTTCCCTCAATGTGGGTCAAGACCAGCAACTGCAACAGGTTCATGTCAGCATTAAGGGACATAAAAATTTAACTACAGGATGATTGATCAGTGATGTTTTTGGAGAAAGATCTTGAATGAAAGAGGGAAATGTGAAAGTTTCCAGAATCAAAATGGAATCACTAATGTTAAACAAATCCTGACAAATAGAGTTGGATGAAGAGGGCTATGAAGAGGGGATTCTCAGCTTGTATGCCTGATAACAGAAAAGACTTTGCAAAACTCACAATCGAGCTGGGCAAGATGTCGTGCATCTACAGTCCCAGGTATTTGGGAGGTGAGGCATGAGGATCACTTGAGTTGTGTCTAAACAAAACAAAACAAAACCAAAACCTTGCACAAAGGCCGTTGTAATCTTACACAAAAGAATACTTCTGCAAGGACATCTGCCCAACAACTGCCTGTCCGACCTCAGACTGACATCACACTTGTTATTGCCCATGAGGTTGAGGCTGCAGTGAGCCATGATAGTGCCACTGCACTCCAGCCTGAGTGACAGTGTAACATCTTTTTTCAAAAGATAAAAAAAAAAAAAGATTTATGAAAGTTCCAGGCTATTATTTACCTAACCTTATGTCTTTTTTCCCATACATTTTATTTCAGTGCAACATTCACAAAGGAGAGAGTTCAAATCGTAAGTGTACAGACCTTCACATTTTCATAATTTGAATACTCTCCTGAAAACAAAATCCAGATTAAGAAACAGAGTAATACCAACATCCCAGGGTCTACTTTCATGCCATAATAAAGTCACTAATCCCAAAGGTTACCACTATCCAAATCTCTAAAACTGTAGATTAGTTTCATTGTGTTTGAGCTTTGTATAAATGGAATCACACAGTACATATACTCATTGTGCCTGACTTCTATGGCTCAACATTATGTCCTGAAACTCATACATACTATTGCATGTAGTTGAAATTTTTAGTTTCTTTCTTTTTATTTATTTATTTATTTATTTATTTATTTATTTATTTATTTATTTTGAGACAGAGCTTTGCTCTTTTGCCCAGCCTGGAGTGCAGTAGTGCAATCTCGGCTCACTTCAACCTCTGCCTCCCAGGTTCAAGTGATTCTCCTGTCTCAGACTCCCGAGTAACTGGGACTACAGGCATTCGCCATCACGCCCAGCTAATTTTGGTACTTTTAGTAGAGATGGGGTTTCGCTATGTTGGCCAGGCTGATCTCGAATTCCTAACCTTAGATGATCTGCCCGCCTCAGTCTTCCAAAGTGCTGGGATTACATGCATGAGCCACCATGCCCAGCCAGTTTTTATTTTCATATCACTGTATTTTTCCACTGTCATAACAGCACTGTTTTTGTGTATGTCTTTGGGACACTTAGGCACAACTTTTTTGAGAATACAGTTTTGTCTTTACTTCAGTTTTGTAATCTCTACTCTTTCCCATTGGTCTATTTGTCTAACTCTGTGCCATTGCTACATTATCTTAATTATAAAGGCTTTTAAATAAGCCCTCCAGCTCTGTTCTTTTCTTCAGTTTCTCTTCAATGAACTTTTCTTCATCTCTGATCTTTCCATTTCCATTTTGGAATCAGCCTATACATTTTCACAAACAATCCTGCTGGAATTTTCACTGGGGTTGCATTTAATGTATATATCTATTTGGAAGGATTGATATTTTTTAAAAATTGAGTATTTCAATCTTTTTTTTTTTTTTATTTGCCCAGGCTGGAGTGCAGTGGCACAATCTCAGCTCACTGCAACCTCCACCTCTTGGGTTCAAGCGATTCCTCAGCCTCCTGAGTAGCTGGGATTACAAGTGGCTGCCACCATGCCCATCTAACTTTTGTATTTTTAGTAGAGACATGGTTTCATCATGTTGGCCAGGTTGGTCTTGAACTCTTGACCTCAGGTGATCCGCCCACCTTAGCCTCCCAAAGCGCTGGGATTACAGGTGTGAGCCACAGCATCCAGCCAAATTGAGTATTTCAATCTATAAACAGTGTATCCCTTGCTGATTTAGGTCTTATTTAATTTTTTTCCAGGAACAATTTGTGTTTTGTTTTTGTTTTGAGACAAGGTCTTGCTGTGCTGCCCAGGCTAGAGTGCAGTGGCACGGCTCACTGCAATCTCGATCTCCCAGGCTACAGGTGTGTGCCATCATGCCTGGCTAATTTTTATAACATTTTTGGGGTTTGACCATGTTGCTGAGGCTGGTCTAGAATCTGGGCTCAAGTGATCCTCCCACCTCAGGCTCCCAAAGTCTTTTTTTTGAGACAGGGTCACACTCTGTCACCTAGGCTGGAGTACAGAGGCGTGATGATGGTTCACTGCAGCCTGACCTCCTGGGCCCAAGTGATCCTCCCAATTTAGCCTCCTGAGTAGCTGGGACTACAGGGGCACACCATCATGCCCAGCTAAATATTTTTTGTAGAGACATGGGTCTCACTATGTTACCCAAGCTGGTCTTGAATTCCTGCCCTCAAGCAAGCCTCCCTCCTCAGCCTCTCAAAGTTCTAGGGTTACAGGCATGAGCCACTGGGCTAGGCTAGTGTAGAAGTTTTCTACACCATTTATTAGATTTTTTTCTAGATACTTGATATTTTAAATGGCACCACTTTAAAATTTTCATTTTATATTTCTTTGTTGGTAGTATTTAGAAATTACATAGAAATAATATTTCTTTTTTGTATTTGTACTTTATATTTAAATCCAGTGACATTGCTAAATTATATAATACATTGCTGTAGATTCATTTTTATTTTCTATTTTTGCCATGATGTCATCTGTGAGGAACAACAGGTTGTCTATTTTCATTCCATTGATACGCCTTTTATTCATATGTTTTGCTTTAATGCATTGAATGGAGCCTCAAATAAAGTGGTGAGAATGGGTATCCTTGCTTAATTCTGATCTCAGAAGAAGAGCTTTCAATTTTTCACTATTAATTATAATAATTCATCATTAATTATGATTTGCTAAAGTTCTTTGTAAATCTTATGATTAAAATGAACTTTTAAATCATTTTTAAAAATCTTATGATTTGCTAAAGTGCTTTTTAAAGTTCTTTAGCAAATCATATTAGATGATATTTATAAAAATAGGGAAGCTTTTTTTGTTCTTAGTTTGCTGTGTTTTAAGTACTGACTTCTATCAAGTGGTTTTTCTGAGTCTACCAAGACGATTGTATTTTCTGTTAATATACTAGAATTATACTGATTGATTTTCAATGTTACGCTACCCTTGCATTTCTTAAATAAACCCTACTTGGTTGTGATATATTATACTTCTTATATTTTTCTTGATTTGCTATTATTTTGGTAAAGATTTTTGTACTTATGTTTATAAGATACAAATTGAAGTATCCTTGTCAGGTTTTAATATCAGAATGACTGGACTTTTAGAATGAGTTGGGAAATGTTTCCATTTTTTTCTATTCTCTGGATGAGTTTGTCTAAGGCTGATGATATTTCTTAAATGTTTAGAAGGATTCATTAGTGAAGCGATTTAGACTTGGAATTTTCTTTTGGGAGAATTAAAAAAATACTAGTCCTTTTTTTTAAATAGATTAAGGATAATTCAGAATTTCTATTTCTTCTTATGTCAATTTGTACAAGTTTTATTCCTCAAGAAAATTGGACATTTAACTAAATTGTCAAATGTCAAAAAGTTTTTATTGTTTTACCTTAATTCTCTTTTTTTAAAATTTTATTATTATTATACTTTAAGTTTTAGGGTACATGCGCACAATGTGCAGGTTTGTTACGTATGTATACGTGTGCCATGTTGGTGTGCTGCACCCATTAACTCGTCATTTAGCATTAGGTATATCTCCTAATGCTATCCCTCCCCCCTCCCCCCACCCCACAACAGTCCCCAATGTGTGATGTTCCCCTTCCTGTGTCCATGTGTTCTCATTATTCAATTCCCACCTATGAGTCAGAACATGCGGTGTTTGGTTTTTTGTCCTTGTGATAGTTTGCTGAGAATGATGGTTTCCAGTTTCATCCATGTCCCTACAAAGGACATGAACTCATCATTTTTTATGGCTGCATAGTATTCCATGGTGTATATGTGCCACATTTTCTTAATCCAGTCTATCGTTGTTGGACATTTGGGTTGGTTCCAAGTCCTTGCTATTGTGAATAGTGCCGCAATAAACATACATGTGCATGTGTCTTTATAGCAGCATGATGTATAATCCTTTGGGTATATACCCAGTAATGGGATGGCTGGATCAAATGGTATTTCTAGTTCTAGATCCCTGAGGAATCGCCACACTGACTTCCACAATGGTTGAACTAGTTTACAGTCCCACCAACAGTGTAAAAGTGTTCCTATTTCTCCACATCCTCTCCAGCACCTGTTGTTTCCTGACTTTTTAATGATCGCCATTCTAACTGGTGTGGGATGGTATCTCACTGTGGTTTTGATTTGCATTTCTCTGATGGCCAATGATGATGAGCATTTTTTCATGTGTTTTTTGGCTGCATAAATGTCTTCTTTTGAGAAGTGTCTGTTCATATCCTTTGCCCACTTTTTGATGGGGTTGTTTGTTTTTTTCTTGTAAATTTGTTTGAGTTCATTGTAGATTCTGGATATTAGCCCTTTGTCAGATGAGTAGGTTGCGAAAATTTTCTCCCATTTTGTAGGCTGCCTGTTCACTCTGATGGTAGTTTCTTTTGCTGTGCAGAAGCTCTTTAGTTTAATTAGATCCCATTTGTCAATTTTGGCTTTTGTTGCCATTGCTTTTGGTGTTTTAGACATGAAGTCCTTGCCCATGCTTATGTCCTGAATAGTATTGCCTAGGTTTTCTTCTAGGGTTTTTATGGTTTTAGGTCTAACATTTAAGTCTTTAATCCATCTTGAATTAATTTTTGTATAAGGTGTAAGGAAGGGATCCAGTTTCAGCTTTCTACATATGGCTAGCCAGTTTTCCCAGCACCATTTATTAAATAGGGAATCCTTTCCCCATTGCTTGTTTTTGTCAGGTTTGTCAAAGATCAGATGGTTGTAGATATGCGGCATTATTTCTGAGGGCTTATAATGTCTACAGAGTCTGTATTCAGACCTCATTTATCATTTCTGATATTAGTAATTCCTTCTATCCCTCCCTCTCTCCCTCCCTTTCTTCCTGCCTTCCTTTTCCTCTCTCCCTCTTACACTCCTCTCTCTCTCATACATTTTGCTAGAGGTTTTTAAATTATATATATATTTTAAAAGAACCAAATTCCGATATTGCATTATCTATTGTATATTTGTTTTATATTTTACTGACTTCTGCTTTTATATGTGGTACTTCCTTTTATACATTCTTTGGCTTGATTTGTTCTTTTACTAGCTGCTTGTGATGGGAGTATCAGGTATTAGGGCAGTGCTAAACTTATAAGGTGAGTTTTGAAGCATTCCTTTATCTTTAATTTTTTGGAAGAGTTTGAGAATAATTCATGTTAATTCTTTTTTAAATGTTTCATGGAATTCAGCTGTGAGGCCATCTGGTCCTGGGATTCCCTTTGTAGGGTTTTGATTCCTGATTTGATCTCCATACTTGTTATTAGTCTATTCAGGCTCTATTTCTTCATTATTCGGTCGTGGCAGATTATATGTTTCTAGAAATTTATCTATTTTTTCTGTTAGCCAGTTTGTTTGCATATAATTGTTCATAGTTGTCTCTTCTAATCCTTTTGTTTGTGGCATTTCTTGTAATGTCTACTCTTTTATTTGTGATTTTATTTTTTGAGTTTTCTCTCTTTTTTTTCCTTAGTCTAGCTAAAGATTTGTCAATTTTGACTTACAGAAAAGCCAACTCTTAATTTTATTAACCCTTTTTTGGTCATGAGTTCACTTATTTCTGCTCTGATCTTTAATGTTTCCTTCTTTATGCTAATTTTAGGTCCAGTTTTTTTTGTTTGTTTGTTTGTTTTTCTCTCCGTAGGCCTTGAGGTACATTGTTAGGTTATTTATTGGTGACATTTTTTTCTTTTTTTAAAATGTAAGCATTTATAGTATAAACTTCCCTCTTGTAAGCACTTTTGCTGCATCCAATAACTTCTGGTATGCTGTGTTTCCGTTTGTATTTCTCTCTCCCTTCCCCCACCCCTCTCTCTCTCTTTCTATATATATACGTATATATATATTTTGTTTGTTTGTTTTTGAGACAGCATCTTGCTCTGTCACCTAGGCTGGAGTGTAGTGGTGCAGTGGCATGATCTTGGCTCACTGCAGCATCCTCCTCCTGGGTTCAAGTGATTCTCGTGCCTCAGCCTCCCAAGTAGTTGGGACTAAAGGCATGCAACACCACGCCCGGCAAATTTTTGTATTTTTAGTAGAGATGAGGTTTCACCATGTTGGCCAGGCTAGTTTCAAACTCCTGGCCTCACGTGATCTAGCCACCTTGGCCTCCCAAACTGCTGGGATTACAGGCATGAGCCACCGTGCCTGGCCATCTCAATATATATTCTGATTTCCCTTTTGATTTCTTCTTTGACCCACTGGTTGTTCAGTAGTGTATGAGTTTCCACATATTTGTACATTTTCCAAATTTCTTTCTGTTATTTCTAGTTTTATTTCATTGTCGTCGGAAAAGATACTTGACATGATTTCAATCTTCTTGAATTTGTTTAGACTTGTTTTGTGACCTAACGTGTGACCTATTCCAAAGAATGTTCCATGTGCACTTGAGAAGAATGTGTATTCTGCTGCTGTTAGGTGAAATGTTCCATATATGTTTATTATGCCTAATTTGGTGTCTACTGTTGTTAAAGTCCCCTATTTTCTTATTGATTTTCTGTCTGTTTTATCTATCAATGGTTGAAAGTAGAGTATTGAAGTCCTCTACTATTATTGTATTGTTATCTCTTTCTCTTTTCAGTTCTCTTAACATTTGCTTCATATATTTGGGTGCTCCATTGTTGGGCACATATATATTTATAATTATTATATCTTCTTATTGAATTGACCCCTTTATAACTATACAATAATGTTTCTTTATGTCTTGTGACAGTTTTTTGACTTAAAGTTTATTTAGTCTCATATAGGCATAGCTGCCCTTGTTCTCTGTTTTTTTCAATTTTAATTAAAAAATTTTAATAGACATGGGTGTTGCTATGTTACCCAGGCTGACCTTGAACTCCTGAGCTCAAGCAATCCTCCCACATCAGACTCCTGAGTAGCTGGGACTACAGGAATATACCACTGCACCCATCAACCACTGGTGTCTTCTGGTTACCATTTGTATGAAATATCTTTTCCAATTCTTCAATTTCAGCCTATGTGTGTCCTTACAACTGAGTCTGTTGTAGGCAGAATATTATTGGATCTTGTTTTTTTTTATCCATTCAACCACTGTATGTGTTTTGATTGGCAAATTTAATCCATTTGCATTTAAAGTAATTATTCATTACTACTGCCATTTGTTAATTGTTTTCTATTTTGTAGTTCCTTTGTTCTATTTTTCTCCCTTGCTGTTTTCCTTTGTTATTTGATGATATTTTGTAGTGATATGCTTTGATTCCTTTCTCTTTGTCTTTTTTTGTATTTACTGTAGGTATTTTTCTTTGTAGTTACTATAAGGATTACCTAAAACATCTTATAATTGTAGTAGCCTATTTTAAGCTGATAACAATTTAACTTCAACTGCATACAAAAATTCTACACTCTTTGGCCAGTTGCAGTGGCTCACGCCTGTAATCCCAGCACTTTGGGAGGCCGAGGCGGGCAGATCACGAGGTCAGGAGATCGAGACCATCCTGGCTAATGCAGTGAAACCCCGTCTCTACTAAAAATATAAAAAATTGTCCGGGTGTGATGGTGGGCACCTGTGGTCCCAAGCTACTTGGGAGGCCGAGGCAGGAGAATGGCATGAACCCAGGAGGCAGAGCTTGCAGTGAGCCGAGATTGCACCACTGCACTGCAGCCTGGGCATCAGAGCGAGACTCTGTCTCAAAAAAAAAAAAAAATTCTACACTTTCTTCTCTCCTCATATTTTACATTATTGATGTCATAATTTGTACCTTTTTTATTTTTTTTGAGACAGAGTCTCACCCTATCACCCAGACTGGAGTGTAGTGGCATGATCTCAGCTCACTGCAACCTCTGTCTCCAGGGTTCAAGTGATTCTCCTGCCTTAGCCTCCTGAGTAGCTGGGACTACAGGCAAATGCCACCACACCCAATTAATTTTTGTATTTTTAGTAGAGAAGGGATTTTACCATGTTGGCCAGGCTTGTCTTGAACTCTTGACCTCAAGTGATCTGCCCAACTCGGCCTTCCAAAGTATAATTTGTATCTTGTATATATCATGTACCCATAGGCAAATTGTTGTAGTTATAGTCATTTTTAATCCTTTTAGCTTGTTTTGTTTTGTTTGGGACAGAGTCTCACTGTCACCCAGGCTAGGGTACACTGACATGAACATAGCTCACTGCAGCCTCAAACTCCTGGGCTCGAGTTATCCTCATGCCTCAGCCTCCTGAGTAGTTAGGACTACAGCTCTGCACCACCATGCCCAGCTAAATTTTTTTAAATTAAAAAATTTTGTTTGTTTTGTAGAATTAAGGTCTCACTATGTTGCCCATGCTGGTCTCAACTCCTGGCCTCAAGCAATTCTCCCACATTGGCCTCTCAAAGTTTTGGAATTGCAGGTGTGAGCCACTGCACCTGGCCTGTCTTTTAACTTTTAAATGACCTGTCTTCAAGCTCATTAATTCTTTATTCTGCTTAAGTCTGCTCTTCAGGCATTCTATGGAATTTTTCAGTCTGTTATTGTGTTCTTTAGTTCCAGAATTTTTGTTTGCAAAAATTTGCTATGTTTTCTATCTCTTTTTTGAACTTCTAATTTTGTTCCTATATCATTTTCCTGATTTTGTTTAGTGTTTATCTGTATTCTCTTGTTTGCTCACTGAGTTTCTTTAAAACAGTCATTTTGAATTCTTTGCCAGGCATTTTGTAAATGTTCATTTCTTTAGAGTTGGTTACTGATGGTTTATTTTGATTTGTGTTGGTGTCATGTTTTCTTAATTATTCATGATCTTTGTGAACTTGCTTTGGTGTTGAACATTTGAAGAAGTAGGCATCCCTTCTAGTCTTTACAGACTAGCTTTGGTAGTGAAAGCCCTTCATCAGAGATATTGGGTGGGCTGTATAGAGAAGTTTGTGGGTGGGATTACTGCTGAAGTTATCAGACATGCTGGTCTGGTGCCAGGGTCAACAAATGGATAGGCCTGAGGACTGTCCATGGGAACCAGCCTGAAGTCTGGGTCCACAGAGGTTGACCTGGTGCTGGGGTGGTCTGGACATAGGCCCATAATATGCCTTGGTCTTGAGCTCATAGGGGTCACCCTGCTTCCAGGATCCGCTTGGGCAGGCGTGGACCCTGGGTCCACTGGAGCATAGGGTCACAAGAACCAGCCTGGAGCTTGGGTCTGGTCTGGGGCATATTTGGGTCTGGATTCCACAGGGGTCAGTCTGAAGCTTGAGGCTGTGGGTGCTGTCCTAGGGATATGGAGGCCAGCCTGGAGCCTGTGTTTTTAGGTGTGGTTCTAAAGCTTTGGTCTCTAGGAGCTGGCCTGGCACTTGGGGTCTCCTGGGCCAGGTCTGGATATTGGATGCGGTGGAGTGGGTTTGAACCCTGGGTTTGTCAGAGTGTAGGACCATGGGAGCCAGCTTAGAGACTGGAGCCACAGGGGCTGGGTAGGCTGACAGCCTGTATCCATGGGGGTTATCCTGGAGCTTGGATCTGTGGGTGCCAGCTTTGTGCCTGGAGCTGAGGGTGCCACCTTGGAGTTTGGGTCAAGGGGGCCAGCTGGTCATTGGGTTTCAGTGGAGTAGTCCTGCTGCCAGGGTCCACAGCAAAGTTGGTGTTCACTTTATTCATCCTCTAACACGGAGGGTATCTCACCACACTATAATTTCTGGGCTGGGCTTGGGAGAGTGATGGACTAGGTAATGCAAAACGCTCCTTCTTAGCCTCTTTAATGTATCTTTTCCTGTTTCTGTGCTACAGCAAGGTGCTCTAATCTCTTACTTGGATACTTTAGCTCTTGTGAAAGTTTGTTCATGAGTAAACAGATGTTTAAATTGATGTGAGGGCTAAGTGCTGGAAAGTCCCATTCTCCAATCTTGCTGACATCACTCCTCTTAAGATTTTCTATTTCTTCTTGAATCAGTGACAGTTTGTGTAAAGAATTGTTCCTCATCACACACTGGGGCCTGTCGGGGGTGGGGGACTAGAGGAGGGATAGCATTAGGAGAAATACCTAATGTAGATGACAGGTTGATAGGTGCAGCAAACCACCATGGCACGTGTATACCTATGTAACAAACCTGCACATTCTGCACATGTATCCCAGAACTTAAAAGTATAATAATAAATAAATATTGCAAAAAAAGAATTGTTCCTTTCCATTTAGTTTATTTTGTTGGCATACAATTGTTTATAATATTCTTCTATAATCATTTTCATTTCTGTAAGGTTAGTAATGTCTCCACTTTCACCTCTGACTTTAGTAATTTGAGTCTTTTCTATTTTTTTCTCAGTCAATCCAGCTAAGATTTTGCTACTTCTTTTGATCTTTTCAAAGAACCACTTTTAATTTTGTAATTTTTCTGTATTATTTTTCTATTCTCTATTTAACTCCACTCTTATTTTTATTATTTCCTTCCTTTCTTGTCTTCTATTTATTTATTGTTTTGCTATTTTTCATGTTCTAATTCCTAAAGTTGTACAGTTAGGTTGTTGATTTGACATCTTTCTTCTTTTATATAGGCATGTAGAGCTATAAATTTTTCTCTTAGTAATAAGCATATCATAAACTTTGGTAACATGTGTTTTTATTTGTATTTATCTAAAATATTTTCTAAATTTTTGTATTCATTCTTTAATCCTTTGGTTGTTTAAGATTGTGTTGATTTGGCACAAGACAAAGATGTCTTCTCTTACCACTCCTATTCAACATAGAAATTCAACTGAATTTCAGTTATCAGAACTGGCCAACATGAAGACAATGGGATTTAGTCCTACAAATTAAGAAAGAAACTGAATGAATTAAGTCATGAAATATCAGATGGCATACAGGATTTAATTTTGAAATTCTTCAATTTTACTGAGGAATTTCTTCAGCTATGGGAATAGTCTTTTGATGATGCTCCAATTTTTAACTGGATCAATTTGCAATTTGTGTCAGAATGGAGCGCAGTTGAGAAGCCTTATGTTACTGCAGCATCTAAATTTGGCTTAACATTCAAAGGAATCATAAATAGAACCAATATGTTTGCCTTGTAAAGATAATTATCAAAGAAATGTACCCTTCTTAGGGTACAAAAAAGAGATGGCAAAAAAAGAGATGTACCTTGAAGGCAAGATACATTAACTACAAGAATATGAACTGCAATCTAATTTTTCCATATTCAATATTCACAATACTTGTGAGGATATCTTCCATTTCATTGGATATATTCTGAGACTTCTGGTTACCTTAGTATATACAGAGTATATATCTCAGTTTAAAAAGTATGGTGTTCAGAGAAGAGTCATTTGAAGGTAGCTATAATTTTGAGTTTATTAAACATAAAGTCCAACATTGAAGATTGCATAAAATTTTATCAAAATTTAAAAATAATAGACCACATTGAAAGAAAATACTTAAAAAGAATGGTGATATTGGTTAGGAAATCGATTAAAGTATCAGAATATACTTAAATATAATTATTCTCCGCTTTATTCTAATGTTTAGTCAACATAAATAGCTTAAAAATTTTTTTCCTTACTACAAAATTGTTATTTTGCTTTAACGTATATATGTTATTGTTTCACCCTTTAGGATATAACAGAATATTATAATTAATACAGGAATTTTTCAAACATTACATAATTTCAATTACCTTAGTATTCATACCTTTTCGAATTTGTACTACTTTGGACAATATATTATATATTCAGCTATTATTGAGTTCTAATTTAATTCCATTTTTGTCAAAGAATATGCTTTGTATGACTCGAATCCTCTTACATTTATTGAGACTTGTTTTATGGCCCAGAATATGGCCTATACTGGTAAGTATCCCCTGTCCACATAGATGAATTTTACTGTCATTGAGGAGAGTGTTCTCAAATATAAATGAGATCAAGTAAGTTGATATGTAGCTCAAATCTGCTATACCCTGTTGCTTTTCTGTGTTTGTTCTATCAATTACCAAGAGAGATATATTGAAATATCTGACTATAATTGTGGATCTGTCTCCTTTTCGATCTAATAGATTTTTCTTCCCATACTTAGAAGCTTTGCTTTTAGGAGCAAAATTTATGTTTGTTTTTTTCTACTCGATGAGCTATCTCCTTTATCATTATTATGCCCTTCTTTATCTCTGGTAATAGTCTATGTCCGGAGTCTACTTTGTTTTTAATAAAGCCACTCCAGCTTTCTTTTGACTAGTGTTAGGATGGTGTATATTTTTCCATCCTTTTACTCTTAACCTTTTAGTGCTTTTCATTTAACATATTACCTGTAGGTAGCACCCATTTGGGTCTGACTTTTTGTTTATTTATTTATTTAATTATCTTTTTTTATTATACTTTAAGTTCTAGGGTACATGTGCACAAAGTGCAGGTTTGTTACATATGTATACATGTGCCATGTTGGTGTGCTGCACCCATTAACTCGTCATTTACATTAGGTATATCTTCTAATGCTATCCCTTCCCCCTCCCCCGACCCCACTATAGGCCCCGGTGTGTGATGTTCTCCACCCTGTGTCCAAGTGTTCTCATTGTTCAATTCTCACCTATGACTGAGAACATTTGGTGTTTGGTTTTCTGTCCTTGCGATAGTTTGCTCAGAATGATGGTTTCCAGCTTCATCCATGTCCCTACAAACGACATGAACTCATCCTTTTTATGGCTGCATAGTATTCCATGGTGTATATGTGCCACATTTTCTTAATCCAGTCTATCATTGATGCACATTTGGGTCTGACTTTTTAAAAAATCCAATCTGACAATCTTTTTAAATTAAGGTGTTTAGACCATTTACATTTAATGTGATTATTGATATGGTTGAGTTAATCATCTTATTTGTTTTCTGTCACAATTCTGGAATGAAAAGACGTTTTGCTCTTTATTATTACATGTTTCCTCCTTATGTAGCATAGGAAACTAGAAAAATGATTTTGAAAGTTAAATATTGTTAGACTACAACAGTGAAATCAGGCTCTTCCTAGGAAAAGCAAGCCCTTTTTTGCATTTGTTTATACTATTTTAACAAAGTGTTAATTATTCATCCTTCAAGATAAGGCAAGTAATTATCTGTGTATTTTTATCCGTTTCCATGTCGTCCTGAATCACGTTTTTCTCTCCAGATAACAGGAACATTGTCTCGAAGAATCCAGGACATTTGATTCTGAAATCTCCAATGTGAACCACACTTCCTCTCCTAGTATATAACCAACCAATTCTTTAGTTCAAGCTTTTCAAATTTATCCTAAGTCCCCTTCAAATAGCACAGAGAAGTGGAAGCCTATCGCTGGGGTCTGAGACAAAGGAGTTAAAGCACCTACATGTTGACATAATTTTACTTTAAATTCTTCTTTCTTCTTTAAAAGTTCTGCTCATTTGCATTCTCCATGGAGAGAAAAAGTAAATTATACTGACGCTCCGAGAGGGAAACGCTCTTCTCACATGGGGATCCTTGCTCATGGCAACAACCTGTGCACCCCGCGGGCTGGAACTCCCACGAATCCACTAGGCTCGGCTCCCTTAGGGGTCAGCCCCCATAGTATGCTGGGATCAACCTGAACGGATCACAGCTCAAGGCTTCTGAGGCTTTTTCTGTTCGGGACTGTATTTCCCAGCGGCCACCGCGCCAGTCCACTTCCGGTCTCCGGGGTCGACGACATAGCGGGGTAAGGTCTTCACGTCTGAGGAAGAGATCTGTGGCTGCGGGAGATCTCTGCGGATTGGGGCTCCAGCCTGACTGACCCGACAGTGCGGGTGGCCTAGGGGGAGGCGCTCAGAGTAGGAACCCGGGGGTGCAGACGGGATCTGCCGGATCCCCAGGCGTGTGTGTGCGCGGGTATCAGAGGAGGGGGATTGTGAGATCATGAGTGACGGAGGGGACTGTGAGTGTGTGCGTGAGGTTCTATGCACAGGCCCGGGAGGGCGTGTGGACGCAGCGCACTTTGCTGAGTGACACTGTGCCGGTGCCCCTAGGCTCCTGCTGCTTCCTCCCTCTTTCCGCTTCACAGCTGCGGGGACTGCAGCAGAGGAATGGCCCCAGTAGGGAGGTCAGATATTGAGCCGAGAATGAAGCTTTACACAAGAAAGCGCAGAAGTGCCCCCGAGTGTTCCCCAGGGGGGCAGCTACATGTTGAGAACCACAGCGTCCTCAGAGCTCTGTCCCCAGAAACCAGCTCCAAACTGGTTGTACTGGTTGAATCGATTCCTCTTCCTTTTACTTCCTTCCTATTTCGTGTGAAGTGAGGGAAATTGTGGCTATGGAGGGAGGGTGTTTTCAAACTTAGTCTGCGCTCCAAGAAATGCCTGGAGTCTCACGCTTGCCGTATCCTTCTCCAGTCGTATTTTTATCCAAAAGAAGGACCTGGAGGAGGATGAGAGCGTTACTGCTGCACACCTAAAGTCAAGGGTGAGTTTGTGCTTTGTATTTGTTCAAGACATGCGTTTTTGATTTTAGAATATTGAGATTTCCCCTTAAATTTTCAGTGAAACTAGGGGGATATGCAAATTGATTCGTGCCCCCTCCTTCACCTTTCCACTTAATAGTCACAAAACAATTTGGCAAATCGTTCACACCTTCCTGTGCGCTCTCTTTTTCGAAGCTGGTATAGAAATACACCTCCAGTAGTTAATATTAAAGCTCCATTTTAGACCCATATTTGGGAAGGAGGAGATTAGTGTTTAGGTGGAATCACACACTAGACATCAGTTGGTCTTTACAGACCTCCTTTTCAAAACAGGGAAGAATGGAGATGGTTGGATGATCTCCATTGCCTGTGAGGCATTCGGTAGTGGAAAAGTGACCGCACAGAAATTGGTATCAACAAGAGCCAGGATTTTTCCAGGGAGTCCATGAGATGATATTTGTAATACTTGCCAGATCTCTCTGAGGTTTGGCAGCTCCAGTTGTGTTTTAGGCGTGTGTGTGTGAGTGTGTGTGTGTGTGTGTGTGTGTGTACTGTGAGAGGCAGTACACTGTTGTGGTTAAGAATAGGGGAGTGGATCCAGAGTATCTGGGTTGGAATATTGGTTCTGTCATTAGAATGAATTAATATCGTAAAGCCCCTTAGAGCAGTGCTAGGCATATAATAATGTTTAATATGTTTTAACTGTTGTTTTTTGTGTAGTCATTTTAAGTCATTCCCCTTGACTCTCTACAGAACAGGAGCATTGGGAATATGTGATTCATTGCGACTGCTGGTTGTATATTAAGAAAATGAGTGAGGGGCTCAAATGATCTAGGACAGAAATTCTTTCTTTTTAAATCGACAGATATAATTGTATGTATTTATCATGTGCAACATGAAGTTTTATGGTATGTATACATTGTGGAATGACTAAATCTAGCTAATTAACAATGCATTACCTCACATAGTTATCATTTTTGTGGTGAGAACACTTAATATCCACCCTCCTAGCATTTTTCAAGACTACAGAATATTGTTATTAATTGGAGATACCCTGTTGTGTAATAGATCTCCTGAACTTATTTCTCTTATCTTCCTGAAATTTTGTATCCTTTGACCAACATTTCCCCAGTCAACACTGCCCTCCTTCCTCCCTCACCCACATTACCCCAGATCTGTAAATACGATTCTACTCTCCACTTCTATGATATCAACTTTTTTAGATTTGGCTGAAGAGTGAGATCATATGTCTTTCTGTGCTTGGCTTACTTCACTTAATATGATGTTCTCCAGGTTCATCCATGTTTTTGCAAATGACAGAATTTCCTGCTTTTTATGGCTAAATAGTATTCCCTTGTGTAAATATACCTGCATATATACCACATTTTCTTTATCCATTTATTCATTGTTAGACGCGTAGGTTGATGCCATATCTTGGCTATTGTGAATAATGCTGCAATAAACATGGGTATGCTGATATCTCTTTGACATACAGATTTCATTTCCTTTGGAGATATATTCCCAGTAGTGGGATGGCTGGATCATATGGTAGTTCTATTTCTAATTTTTTGAGGAACCTCCATACTGTTTTCCATAATGGCTGTGCCCATTTACATTCTCACCCACAGTGTGTAAGCGTTCCCCTTTTCTTGCCAATACTTGTTAACATTTGTCTTTCCAGTAGCCACCCTAACAGGTATGAGCTAATATCTTATTGCGGGTTTAATTTTCATTTCCCTGATGATTAGTGATGTTGAGTATTTTTTCATAAACTGTTGGCCATTTATATGTCTTCTTTTGGGATGTGCCTGTTCAGGTCCTTTGCCCATCTTTTAATCAGGTTTTTTTTTGCTGTTGAGTTGTTTGACTTCTGCATACATTTTGGATCTTAATCTCTTATCATATATATGGTTGCAAATATTTTCTCTCATTCTACAAGATGTCTCTTCACTTTGTTGATTGTTTCCTTTTCTGTGCAGAAGCTTTTTAGCTTGACATAATTTCATTCGTTCATTTTTGCTTTTGTTACCTGTGCTTTTGAGGTCATATCCCAAAAAAAATCATTGCTCAGATCAGTTTCACAGAGCTTTCCCCCTATGTTTTCTTCTATTTGTTTCATAGTTTAGGATCTTACATTTAAGTCTTTAATCTGTTTAGAGTTGATGTTTGTATAATGGTTTGAGATAAGGGTCTAATTTCATTTTTCTGCATATGGATACCTACTTTTCACAACAGTATTTTTTGAAGAGTCTCTCTTTTCCCCATTGTATGTTCTTGGTACCCTCCTCAAAACTCGGTTGGTTATAAATATATGGATTTATTCTGGGCCTCTCTATTCTGTTTCTTTGGTCTATGTGTCTGTTTTTATGTCAGTACCTTGTTGTTTTGGTTACTATAGCTTTGTAGTATATCTTGAAGTCAGATAGTTTTGATGAGTCCAACTTTGTTCCTTTTGCTCAAGATTGCTTTGGCTATTTGGGTCTTTTGTGGTTCTATACAAATTTTAGCATTTTTGTTTTTTTCCTGTTTCTGTAAGGAATGTAGGACAGAAATTCTTAACCTGAGTTCCTGTGACTCCATTTATGGTCTCAGGGACCAAAAGCTCTTGAAATAAAATATTGAAGTATTATAGAAATTTATAAATGTGGGTTTTAGGGGGAGAAATAGTGTATCATTTCATAAGATTATCAAAAAAATTTATGTGACCCATGAGGTTTGGATCCATTGATCTAGATAGAACATTGGTTCTCAGCTGGGGTGATGTTTAGAAACTTTCGGTTGTCATGCTGTCGGGGAGGGTGCTACTTAGATCTAATGGATAGAGGTCAGGAATGCTGCTAAACATTGTGTTATGCACAGGATAGCTCTCCCCACTCTCCCATCTAAGAATTATCCAGCACAATATGTCAGTAGTGCCTAGGGTGAAAAACTGTAGTCCAGAATCAAAAGATTGTGATATCTGGAATGACATTGTAAATGATCTTGTATAAAATAAGTGTCCTATAATACAGAAATCATTAAGCTAATCATACTAGACTCAAGTGATAGAGTATTACACAGGTAATAAAATGATGTCTATAAGGAATTATGAAAAGAAAAATATTTGATATATCATTAAGCAATATTCATGCTATGAACAATAATACTCAAGAAAATGTTACATGGGGCGGGGCGCGGTGGCTCACACCTGAAATCCCAGCACTTTAGGAGGCTGAGGCAGGCAGATCATTTGAGGTCAGGAGTTTGAGACCAGCCTTGCCAACGTGGTGAAACCTTGTCTCTACTAAAAATATAAAAACTAGCCGGGAGTGGTGGCAGGCGCCTATAATCCCAGCTACTCAGGAGGCTGAGGCAGGAGAATTGTTTGAACCTGGGAGGCTGAGGTTGCAGTGAGCCGAGATCAGGCCACAGCACTCCAGCCTGGGTGACAGAGTGAGACTCCACCCCTGCCCCCCAAAAAGAAATTGTTATGTTTTATATGAATCCCATATACTAAGATAGGGTTTTTGTATAAGAATTCTATAAGAATTCTATCTGAAGGCATTCTATAAGAATTATATCTAAAATAATATTTTAATTGGTTATTTGGTGAAGAAGGGAACCAAGCATGGTGGTGTATATTTCACAAATTTTCTCACATAGTTTGCAAATGCCACTTATCTGCATTGTGTTCATTCAAAGAAGAATCTTGATAATGAGAATATCTAATTATATTGGTGAGATACAGCTAAAGGATATTAGAACTAGCTGATGTTATTTGTTGTAGTCACTTTAACCTCTTTTGTTGAATCTCGTGACAGGCTCAGGTTTTTTTCCTGATAACTCTGTTTTTATTTTTTACTTCAAAAGTAGAAATAGACTATCATTAATGCATACAAGACATTGGTTGGGGACTTGTAGACAATTTTTTCTAGAGATTGCTCCAACATACATAGAAAAACATAGACATCTTAGTGTTGGTCAAGAATTGGAAAATAAAGGAAACAAACTTGTTAAGTAAAAACAACAGTTCATTAGAGTATGCTGATTTCCCACCCCAAGTTCAAAGGGAGATATCTAAATAAAAAGTGTCTTTCATCTAATTTGGAGAAGTTTCCTCATAGGAAAGAAATGTGTATGTACATTTATATATGTCCATATATAGAGATGCATACACACACACACACACATATATATATATAAATATATATATACACACACACATATATATATACACACACGTGTGTGTGTGTGTGAATATAACTATATATATTCCAAGTTAATGCTTGGATGTAGTTACAATTTTTTTTTATATGAAGGCTCGCTCTGTTGCCAGGCTGGAGTGCAGTGGCACGATCTCAGCTTACTGCAACCTCCGCCTCCTGGGTTCAAGCGATTCTCATGCCTCAGCCTCCTGAGTAGCTGGGATTATAGGCATGCACCACCACACCCAGCTAATTTTTGTATTTTTAGTAGAGACGAGGTATCACCATGTTGGCCAGGTTGGTCTCGATCTCCTGACCTCGTGATCTGCCTGCCTCAGCCTCCCAAAGTGCTGGGATTACAAGTGTGAGCCACCGTGCCCGGCCATGAAATGCTCTTAAGCAAAAAGAAGAAAATTGGAGCTACAATACACAGAGGAGAACTCTTAACATGTATATAATTTTCTAAATTTTTTTCTATTAATGTCTGTTAGTCTTTTTATTAGTATTTCTATATACATATATTTTACAAATGTAATCATATTATCTATCCTGTTTTGTAACCTGATTTTTCTGTTAATCATATATCTTGAACGTTTAATATTTACTTTGTATTCTATTAAGTGGATGTTCTGAACTGTATTAACCAACTGGCTTTTGCTGAATTTAGAATGCTGAACACTGTCAGTGCAATTTGGTGCAAACACTGCCAGTGCAAATATGCTTTCCAGTTCTCATGCCTTCCCCCACTGCACCCAATCCTGATTTCACAAAGAGGTTCTGGTTTGGATGATGCAATCCCTTCTCAGCTCTGAAAGGTGGGACTGGGGGAGGAGGATCTGCTAAGGGCAGGATCAGAGGTCCAGACCTAGGCCAAGATAGGTATCCCAAGAATGGAGGACTGGCTGGAAGCCACAACTTCAAGGCAGAAATGCCTGTGCTCGGCATTCATGCTTCTGCCGCAGGTTCCCTGGGATGCAGGCGAGAGCTTGGTTTCATCCCTACTCCACCCGTTCACTGCCAGCTATTTGTGAGAGAGTGTGTGTGGGGGCAAGGGGAGTGATGGGAGAAGGGTGGAAGTGTGCGTGTTAGCAGGAGTAGTTGAGAAATAGGAACGGAGGATAAAATAGTTATTTGCTTTTGAGACACAGCTTTAATTGTGGCCTTTTTGTTGTTGTTGTTTTCCAGGGGAGAAGCCCGAGGAAGATTGACCAGTTTTGTAATTCTAGCAACATGGTCCATGTAAGTTTGTATTTCTCTCTTTTCCTTGAAATATGGTGACTTTCAGGTTAGGTGACTGTTATTATTTAACCTGAAGCTTCGTACCTAGAATTCACGATCTTACACCCCAGTTTGTCCCATTACAGTGAAGGTTGGTGACAAAAAAAAAAAAAGTCACTGCTCTTCCTATTTGTACCTCTGTTTCCTACTGGCTTTGATGTTTTCTTTGAAAAAGTTATTCAGTCTGTGCTCTGTGCTCAGACCTTGGTCAGGAAGAATATTGGAACAGTGGAGGAATCAGTCCCCACAGGGAAACAGGGTCTTATGGGTTTGATAAGTTACAGATGATTGACCACACTTGGGAACACTTTGAAACTTTACAGACTAGAGCTTTCCAGGTAGCTAAGGTAGAATTCCATAGTGAGTAGCCTCAGTCTGCAAGTGTGACAAGGTGATCTGCTTTATGAGGCTTTTAGGAAAATGATAGGTGAGGACAGTGGGCAGTAGCAGGGAGAAGATAATTCAGGGCATGAATGATAGGTGATTACAGATTCTCTGGCTGGACATGGTGGCTCACGCGTGCAATCCCAGCACTTTGGGAGGCCGAGGTGGGTGGTGGATCACTTGAGGTCAGGAGTTTGAGACCAGCCTGGCCAACATGGTGAAACCCCATCTCTTCTAAAAAAAGAAAAAAAAAAATTAGCCTGTTGTGGTGGTGCGCACCTGTAATCCCAGCTGCACAGGAGGCTGAGGCAGGAGAATCGCTTGAACCTGGGAGGTGGAGGTTGCAGTGAGCTGCGATCGTGCCACTGCACTCCAGCCTGGGTAACAGAGTGAAATTCTGTCTCAGAAAAAAAATAAAAAATAAAAAATTCTCAGAATTGGGGAAATCCTTAGAGGCCCTGGCCATCCTCAACGTATAAATAGAAAAAAAATGAATAAATCTAATATGTGAGTTCTATTGACTTTAATGCAGCTTATAAAAATCAGTTGTCATGACAAGAAAAAATACTTTTGCTGTCATCTCATACCATAATGAACTTGAGGATTAAGAACATTCTTTAATTGTATGCCACCTTTTTTTTTTTTTTTTTTTTTCTCTGAGACAGAGTCTTGCTCTGTGGCCCAGGCTGGAGTGCAGTGGCGTGATCACAGTTCACTATAGCCTTGAACTCCTGGGCTCAAGCAATACTCCTACCTCAGCCTCCCGAGTAGCTGGGACTACAGGTACGTGATACCACACACAGTTACTTATTTAATTTTTGCAGAGATGGGATATCATTATGTTGCCCAGGCTGGTCTCAAATTTCTAGGCTCAAGCAATCCTCCTATCTCTGCCTCCCAAAGTGCTGGGACTATAGGCATAAGCCACCATACTCAGCCAGCAGGAGACTTCTTGAAGAATGTGCAGGCACTCTGTGAATTTCCATATTGCTTTTTTCTTACACTACACTCCTTCACTTCCTCTCCTTTCATCTTAAAACAACTTTCTTCAGTTTCACCATTATACATGTGTTTGTGGTTTCAGGGATCAGTGACATTCAGGGATGTGGCCATTGACTTCTCTCAGGAGGAGTGGGAGTGCCTGCAGCCTGATCAGAGGACCTTGTACAGGGATGTGATGTTGGAGAACTACAGCCACCTGATCTCACTGGGTAAGGTCGTTGAGTCCCAGCTATTTTTATATCTATTTTCTGGAATATCAGCTTTCTTCACCGTGAATTTCAGGGCTATCTTTTAAGAGGTGGCTGAATTCCTTCTTCTTGTTCCCAAAGGAATGGATTGGGATTTGTTGGGTTGAAAACAGGCACCTCCCTGGAGCCCCTGCATCTTGCCTACTCCACAATGGCCTCCTTCGTTACGCTGGTCCTCTCTGTAATTGCCTCTCTCTTCATGACCATGGGGCTGAATTTGAAATCTTGTACATTCATTGAAAGATATTGTCTAAGAACCAGATTTCATATTATGTTTGATCTCAGAATTACTGTAGATTTTCTGTTTGTTGGTTTGTTTTTGTTTTTCTAACCCATCTGTAAGGAGAAGAGTGTCTTGAATTTTTCTATCAGAGAAACCTCTATGATCACTGGGAGGTTGAGGCTGCAGTGAGCTGTACCCATCACTGCACTCCAGCCTGGGCAATAGACCGAGACCCTGTCTCAAAACCAAAAACAAACAAACAAAAATGTCTGTTATTTACGTATACTGATTGGGTTGACAGAAATTCATTTAACACTAAAGGGAATGCATTTCATTTCCTTCAATAAACATTCCATTGTTTTGCAGTTGAAAGTTTCAGACCATGGAGTTTATGTATTTTCATTTAGTGAATATACTGAGTGAGCTATAAATGTCTAAGGATGCAAAATAAATGACAATAATAAACAATAATTCTTGACTTTGTGCTACTGTACATCAGGCAATGTTAGAAGTATTTTGCATATATATAACTTATTTTGTCTTAGTATCAATCCTATAAAATAGGTATTGTATCATCCCCATTTTAGAGTTGGGAAAACTGAAGGACAGAGTTTAAGTGACTTACCTGAGGTCATACTGCTAGTGAGTAGCAGAGATAGGATTTGAACCTGGCAGTCTGGATTGAAGTTTCCTGCTCTCAACCATTCAGTTATACCTCTTTTCAAGGGATAAGATTCTGAGTTTAAATGAAAGGAAGTCCTTTTCTAACATAGTTAGAAAAGAGTTCTCTTACTCAACCTCTCACTCTTATCTGAAGTCTCTTTTCAATATTGTTTTGACTTGTAATTTATTGTAAGTTTAAGCAGGTCACAAAGATTTGAAAAAAAAAAATCTGTATTAAAAAAATTCTACATGTGTCGTTTCTTTTAAGCAGGAAGTTCCATTTCTAAACCAGATGTAATTACGTTACTAGAGCAAGAGAAAGAGCCCTGGATGGTTGTAAGGAAAGAAACAAGCAGACGGTATCCAGGTAAGTGAGGGTAAAGCAGGCGGGGGGAAGCCATCATTGTCCTGGACATGTGCTCAGAAAGGAGTCATACACTTGAGATGTGGTTTGAAAAGCTTTCTTCAGTGACCCAAGTCCTGTTGGATAAAAATGCCCAAGACCTGGGAAGGAAATAAAGATTACAGCAGAAGCCATCACCAAGGAACTTCATCATTTACTAATCACCTAATTTCTGTTCTCTTATTTCCTTCCCCTTTTAGTGGAGTAAGTTCCCTCTTTTTTTCCCAGGGTAAACTTTTTTTTTTTTTTTAAGGTGGAATCTTGCTCTGTCCTGCAGTGTGGAGTGCAGTAATCTGATCTTGGCTCACTGCAACCTCTGTCTGTTGGGTTCAAGCAATTCTCATGCCTCAGCTTCTCAAGTAGCTGGGATGACGGGTGCCCACCTCCACACCTGGCTAATTTTTGTATTTTTAGTAGAGATGGGGTTTCACCATGTTGGCCAGGTTGTTCCTGAACTCCTGACCTCAGATGATCTGCCCGCCTCGGCCTCCCAAAGCCCTGGGATTACAGGTGTGAGCCATCGTGCCCAGCCCATTTGCCAACTTTTTAATTGGATTTTTTTTTTTTTTCCTGTTATTTGAGTCTCTTGTCAGAGAAATAGTTTGCAAATAATTTCTCTCATTTAATTTTGTCTATTCCCTCCGATGATAGTTTCCTTTGCTCTGCAGAAGCGTTTAGTTTAATATAGTCCCATTTGTCTATTTTTGTTTTTGCCGCCTATGCTTTTGCAGTGTTAACCAGAAAATTTTTGCCTAGGTCAATGTCCTGAAGCACTTCCTTTATGTTTTCTTTTAGTTGTTTTATAGTTTTGAGTCTTACATTTAAGTCTTTAATCCATTTCCAGTTGATTTTTGTATACGGTGAGAAATAGGGGTCTGGTTTCATTCTATCACATACGGATATCCAGTTTTCCAGCACCATTTATTTATTTATTTTTAATTTATTTTCCAACTTTTATTTTAGGTCCAAGGGGTACATAAGTGGGTTTTTTATATGGGTAAATTGCATGTTGTGGTGGGTTTGGTGTGCAGATTATTTCACCACCCCGGTAATAAGCATAGTACCCAATAGGTAGTTTTTGGATCTTCGTCCTCCCACCCTCTACTCTCAAGTAGGCCCTGATGTCTGTTTTTCTGTTCTTTGTGTCCATGTGTACTCGGTGTTTAGCTCCCATTTATAAGTGAGAATATGTAGTATTTGGTTTTCTGTTCCTTAATTAATTTGCTTAGGATAATGGCATCCAATGCCATCCATATTGCTGCACATAATCTTGTTCTTTTTTATGGTTGCATAGTATTCCTTGGTGTATATGTACCACATTTTCTTTATCCAGGTAACCATTGATGGACATTTAGGTTGATTCCATGTCTTTGCTATTATGAATAGTGCTACAATAAACATAGGCATTCATGTGACTTTAGGCTAGAACTATTTTCTTTTTTTGTTTCTTCCTTGTCTGGTTTTGGTTTCATGGTATGCCAGCTCCATAGAAAGAGTTAAGGAGAATTCCCTTCTCTGAAATTTTTTGGAATAGTTTGAGGAGAATTAGTTCTTTGAGAGTTTGGTAGATAGAATTCAGCAGTGAAGCCATCAGTCCTGGAGTTTTCTTTTTTGGGTGACATTTTATTACTAATTCAATCTCATTACTCATTGGCCTGTTCAGCTTTTCTATTTTGATGATCTTTTCTGTTTCTGTGGTGTCAGTGGTAATATCTCCTTTTTTTATTTCTGATTTTGCTTATTTCTTCTCTTTTCTTCTTGGTTAGTCTAGCTAGTGGTTTATTAATTTTATTTATGTTTTTTAAAAAACAACCTTTCATTTCATTGATCTTTTGTATTATTTAGCCTGTATTTTATTTAGTTCTGCCCTAATTTCATTAGATCGTTTATTTGAAATCTTTCTGCTTTTTCAATGTAGGTGTTTATTGCCATCAACTTTGCTCTTAGCAGTACTTTTGCTGTATCCCATAGGTTTTGGTATGTTGTATTCTGATTTTCATTTGTTTCAAGAAATTTTTTAATTTCCTCCTTATGTTCTTTCTTGACCCAGTGGTTATATAGGAGCAGGTTGTTTAATTTTCATGTGTTGTACAGTTTCCAAAGTTCCTCTTGTTACTGATTTCTCATTCTATTCCATGTCTGAGAAAAGACTTGATATAATTTTGGTTTTGAAGAATTTGTTAAGAATTGCATCCTAACATATGGTCTATCCTAGAGAATGTTCTGTGTGCTAATGAGAAAATGTGTATTTTGTAGCTATTTGATGAAATGTTCAGTAAATGTCTGTTAGGCCTGTTTTGTCTAATGTGAAGTTTAAATCCAATGTTTCTTGTTAATTTTCTATCTAGATGATCTGTGTAATTCAGAGTGGGGTGTTGAAATCCCCAATGATTATTGCACTGGAATACATCTCTCTCCCTTTTGATCTAATAATATTCACCTTATATATCTGGGTGTTCTGGTGTTGGGATTATAGTATGTTTAGAATTGTTATATCCGCTTGCTGAATTGATCCCTTTATCATTATACAGTGATCTTCTTTGTCTCTTTTTTGCTGCTTTTGACTTAAAATCTTTTTTGTCTGATATAAATATAGCTATTCCTGCTCACTTTTGGTTTCCATTTGCATGGAATATCTTTTACCATTCCTTTACTTTCAATCCATATATGTCTTTACCAGTGAGATGAGTCTGTTGGCAGCATATAATTGGGTCACTTTTTAAAAAATCCATTCCATCTATATCTTTTAGATGAAAAGTTTAATCCATTTACGTTCAATGTGATTACTGATATGTGAGGGCTTATTCTTGTCATTTTATTAATTGATTTCTAGTTGATTTGTGTATCCTTTGTTCCTTTCTTTCTCTTTTATTTTTCATCATTGTGGTTTGGTTGTTTTCTATAGGGGTAACATTTGGGTTCTTTCTGCTTATTTGTGTTTGCTGTGTCAGTGGGTTTTATAATTTTGTGTGTTTTCACAATGGCAGATATTCTTTCACTTCTAGGTGTAGGACTCTTAAGCATATCTTGTAGAGCTGGTCTGCCCTCAGCTTTTGCCTGGGAAAGATTATTTCTTCTTCATTTATGTTTTATAATTTGCTGAGGATAGTATCCTTGACTGGCAAGTTTTTTCTTTCAACATTTTGAATATACCATTTCATTCTCTCTCATTTCTTTCTGTTGAGAAATCTGCTGTTCGGCTAATGAGAGTTCCCTTGTAAGTGACTAGATGCTTTTCTCTTCCTGTTTTTAGTATTCTCTCTTTGTCTTTGACTTTTATATTTTGACCATAATGTGCCATGGAGAAGACCTTTTTGTGTTGTTATGTATTTGGGTATCTCTGAGCTTCCTGTATCTGGATGTCTACATCTCTTGCTAGAATTGGAAAGTTGCCAGCTGTTATTTCATTAAATAGATTTTCTTTCCTTTATTTTTTCTCTTCATCTCTGGGACCTCAAAATTTCAAATATTTGGTTGTTTTATGATGTCCCATATAGGGTCTTTGTTTCTTCTTCTTTTTTTGTTTTTCTATTTTTGTCTGACTGGGTTATTTCAAAAGAATTGGCTTTATGTTCTGAGATTCTTCTACTTGATCTAGTCTGTTGTTGAAGATTTTGAATGTATTTTATATTTTATTCAATGAATTATTCAGTTTCAGAATTTCTGTTTGGTTCTTTTTTATAATGAAATTGGTAAGTTTCTTCTTCTTATCCTGAGTTTTTTTTTTCTGATTTGTTTGTATTGTTCTTCCGAATTCTCTTGTATCTCACTTAGCTTCTTTAATATAATTATTTTGAATTCTTTTGCTAGGATATAGCATTTTTCTCCCATTGGAATGTTTCTGGAGAATTATTATGTTCCTGTGGAGATGTCAAGTTTCCTTCTCTTTTTTTTTTTTTTGTTATTTCCTGTGTTTATTCTCATTTTTTTGAATTTGCTTTTGTAGGGGAGGCTTTTTTCCTAAAGATGTACCTATGGTTAATAGGGTTGGATAGGGCATTTTCGCTTTGATTCTGGGCGTGTGCAGTAGTGTTGTTATGTAGTGTTATGATTTTTTTTTTGGCTGTAAACAGTGCCTTTGGTGTCTGTGATTTCTTCCTTGGCTTTGGTTGTGATGGTTAGTGGAGGGTATGGTGAAGTTTTATTGGGGATGAGGAGTGATATAGTTTAGATATTTTCCCCTCTAAATCTCATGTTGAAATGTAATCCCCAGTGTTGGAGATGGGGCCTGGTGGGAGGTAATTGGATCATAGGGGTGGATTTCTCATGAATGGCTTAGCACCATCCCCTTGGTGCTGTCCTCACAATAGTAAGTGAGTTCTTGCAAGACCTGGTTGTTTAAAAGTATATGGCACTTCTTCTTGTTCTCTCTCTTGTTCCTTCTCTTGCTGTGTGACATTCTTTGTCCTGTGTTGCCTTCTTTTATGAGTAAAAGGCCCCTAAAGCCTCCCCAGAAGCTGAGAAGATGCTAGCGCCATGTACAACCTGCAGAACCATGAGCCAGTTAATACTCATTTTTTCGTAAATTACCCAGTCTCAGGTATTCCTTTAATGCAAGAATGGCCTAGCACGAGGACACAAGGTAGGCAAGTCCTTGGGCTCTGGTGGTGGCAGTGGCAGTCCAGATGTGCCTGTTTTGGGGCCCCAGCATAGTGTATGCTGGTACTAGTATTAGTGTGTCTAGGCACGTTGATTCTTTGGCCTCCTCGTAGTTTGGATAGTGCTGGCAGTGGTAGTGGTATGCTGGGTAGGTGGATGGGTTCTTGGATTCTTGGGCAGCAAGTGTGGCATGGGTGATGGTAGTAGTAGTGAACAGGACAACCTTCTGGCTCCCAAGCAGTAAGTGCTTAGTGTTGGAGGTGACTATGATGGGCTGGGTGGGCCAGTCCCCAGAACTTCCGGTTGTGAGTACAGGTGGGTACCAGTTGTGGAGGAAACAGCAGGTTGTATGTGTCTGACCTTAGGCCTCTGTGATGAGTGCTTAGGTAGCAAAGGTGGTAGATGGATCAGGGTGATCCCCAGGTCCCCAGATGGTGTGCTTGGGGACTTGGGCACAGAGCTGGGTCTGCTGGACCTGACCTTAGGCCCCCCAGTTGTACGTGCTGGTTCTTGTGGTAAGCAGGGGTGGGGTGATCCCCAGGCCCCTGGCAGAATGCTGCTGTTGATTTTCTTTTCCAATGTGAGTTGAAATTTTCTTGTATATGCCAGTATATTTGGATTGTATCCTGGACATTCTAATTACTGACTATGAAACTATGGGTCTCATGGTCTTAAGTCCTATAGAACATATCAATATGTTTCAACAGATAGTTGACCTAGTTAGGTTCAATCTTCTGTGGTTCATTTTCCTATTTTTACATGTACATAACCAGGCTGGCTCAGATGTGCATTTGCTTCCACTGGAAACAGAAGTGATATGAGAAAGGTTCTATCTACCAACTTTGTTGGTTTTGGCTAATAAAATCAATAAAGGTTTTATTGGTTTGAATTGATGGTTTCAGTTGACAAAAGGACTTTGTATGCATGTGTGTTATACGAAAATAAAATAGGTTTGCTTTCTTCATTTCTTTCAGATTTGGAGTTAAAATATGGACCTGAGAAAGTATCTCCAGAAAATGATACCTCTGAAGTAAATTTACCCAAACAGGTTATAAAGCAAATAAGTACAACTCTTGGCATTGAGGCCTTTTATTTTAGAAATGACTCAGAATATAGACAATTTGAGGGACTACAGGGATATCAAGAAGGAAATATCAATCAAAAGATGATCAGCTATGAAAAACTGCCTACTCATACTCCTCATGCTTCTCTTATTTGCAATACACATAAACCGTATGAATGTAAGGAATGTGGGAAATACTTTAGTCGTAGTGCAAATCTTATTCAGCATCAGAGTATTCATACTGGAGAGAAACCCTTTGAATGTAAGGAGTGTGGGAAAGCCTTTCGACTTCACATACAATTTACTCGACATCAGAAATTTCATACTGGTGAGAAACCTTTTGAATGTAACGAATGTGGAAAGGCCTTTAGTCTTCTTACCCTGCTTAATCGCCATAAGAACATTCACACAGGTGAGAAACTGTTTGAATGTAAGGAATGTGGGAAGTCCTTTAATCGTAGCTCAAACCTTGTTCAACATCAGAGTATTCATTCTGGTGTAAAACCATATGAATGTAAGGAGTGTGGGAAAGGCTTTAATCGTGGTGCACACCTTATTCAGCATCAGAAAATTCATTCCAATGAGAAACCCTTTGTATGTAAGGAATGTGGGATGGCCTTTCGATATCATTACCAACTTATTGAACATTGCCAAATTCATACTGGTGAGAAACCCTTTGAATGTAAAGAATGTGGAAAGGCGTTTACTCTTCTGACAAAGCTTGTTCGACATCAGAAGATTCATACTGGTGAGAAACCCTTTGAATGCAGGGAATGTGGGAAGGCCTTTAGTCTTCTCAACCAGCTTAATCGCCATAAGAACATTCACACAGGTGAAAAACCGTTTGAATGTAAGGAATGTGGGAAGTCCTTTAATCGTAGCTCAAACCTTGTTCAACATCAGAGTATTCATGCTGGTATAAAACCATATGAATGTAAGGAGTGTGGGAAAGGCTTTAATCGTGGTGCACACCTTATTCAGCATCAGAAAATTCATTCCAATGAGAAACCTTTTGTATGTAGGGAATGTGAGATGGCCTTTAGATATCATTGCCAACTTATTGAACATTCTCGAATTCATACTGGTGACAAGCCATTTGAATGTCAAGACTGTGGGAAGGCCTTCAATCGTGGCTCAAGCCTTGTTCAACATCAGAGTATTCACACTGGTGAGAAGCCCTATGAATGTAAGGAGTGTGGGAAGGCTTTTAGACTTTACCTACAACTTTCCCAACATCAGAAAACTCACACAGGTGAAAAACCATTTGAATGTAAGGAATGTGGGAAATTCTTTCGTCGTGGTTCAAATCTTAATCAACATCGAAGTATTCATACTGGAAAGAAACCCTTTGAATGTAAGGAATGTGGGAAAGCCTTTCGACTTCATATGCACCTTATTCGACATCAGAAATTGCATACTGGTGAGAAACCCTTTGAATGTAAGGAGTGTGGGAAAGCCTTTCGACTTCATATGCAACTTATTCGACATCAGAAATTGCATACTGGTGAGAAACCCTTTGAATGTAAGGAATGTGGAAAGGTTTTTAGTCTTCCCACCCAGCTTAATCGCCATAAGAACATTCACACAGGTGAGAAGGCATCTTGAATGTAAGGAATGTGGAAAGTCCTTTAATCGTGTCTCAAACCATGTTCAACATCAGAGTATTCGTGCTGGTGTAAAACCATGTGAATGTAAGGGGTGTGGGAAAGGCTTCATTTGTGGTTCAAACGTTATTCAGCATCAGAAAATTCATTCCAGTGAGAAACTCTTTGTATGCAAGGAGTGGAGGACGACCTTTAGATATCATTACCACTTATTTAACATTACCAAATTCACACTGGTAAAAAACCCTTTGAATGTAAAGAATGTGGAAAGGCCTTCAGTTTTCTGACACAGCTTGCTGGACTTCAGGTCATTCATACTGGCGAGAAGCCATTTGAATTTGAGAAATGTGGGAAGGCCTTCAATAGTGGCTCAAACCTTGTTCAACATCAGAGTATTCATACTGGTGAGAAACTCTATGAATGTAAGGAGTGTGGGAAAACTTTCAGATTTAGTTTGGTCCTGACTGCACATCAAAGAATTCATACTGGTATGAAACCCTGTGAATGTACAGAATGTGGGAAGACCTTTAGTTGTAGCTCAAACATTGTTCAACATGTTAAAATTCATACTGGTGAGAAACGCTATAATGTAAGGAATATGGGAAAGCATTTGCTGTGGATGATCAGCTGTCTCAACATCAGAAAATTCAGAATAGTTAGAAATTTTGTGACAATAAGGAGTGTGGACAAGCCTTCACTGTGTACGAAAAATTTACTCAACACCAGAGAGCTCATATTGATGAGAAATCTTGTGAACATAAAAGAATGTGTGAAGAACTTTCATCATGGCCTGGGATTTGCTCAACTTCTGAGTATTCATACTTCTGAGAAATCTTTGAGTGTAAGGAATGTGGGGCGTTTTATAGCCACACTAAATACCTTAGAGTTCGGAGAAGATAATTCTTGTGAGAAAGTCTTTGAATGAGGAATATAGGGTAGTTGTCATGTTCACAATGTACTCCCTATGAAATAATTTACCAGATACAGGCATACCTCGCTGAATTGTGCATTGCAGTTATTGTGTTTTATACAAACTGAAGGTTTGTGGCAACCCTGTGGTGAGCAAGACGATCAGGTCCATTTTCCCAACGTCAGGTGTGCATTTCATGTCTTTATGTCACATTTTGGTAATTCTCAGAATATTTCAAACTATTTCATTGTTATATATCTATCATGGTGATCAATGACCAGTGATTTTTGATGTTGCTATTGTAATTGCTTTGGGATACCACAAATTCTGCCCATAAAAGATGGTAAACCTAGTTGATACTTGTTGTGGGTTTTGAAAGAATAGTCAAATATACAATCATATACCCCAACCTAGATTCAAAATTGTTAACAATTTGCACGTTTATTTTTTGTATATTTGTTGTACCATTGAGAATAAGTTTTAGACATCATGACACTTTACCCTTTATTTAATCAACGTGTGTATCAACCAAACATGAAGACAATATAGACAATATCATATAGCCATTGTACCATAATTACCGTTAAGGAAAGTATTCATAATTCTGTAATATCATTCCATTTTCAGATTTCTTCATTGGCTTCCAAACCATCTTTTACAGCTATTCATATTCAAAGGAGAATCCATTGCAGAATCTGCATTGCATTTGGTTATCTCTCTTTAGTGTATTGTAGCCTGGAAATCCTATGAATGTAGGCGCTCAAATTTTGGTAGGTATTAGAATCAACAGTGGCACTTAGTAAAGCTACAGAGGCTTAAGCCCTAGCTTATAATTCTGGGCCTCTATGTTTTTTATTATTTCTCCAGGTGATTGTGATACCAACCAGAGTTAGAGAGCCACTGACCTAGAACATTTCTCCTTTCTCCTCATTCTTCTTTTTTTTTTTTTTTTTGCAGTTGCAAGATTTAATAGAGTGAAAACAGAGCTCCCATACAAAGGGAGGGGACCCAAAGAGGGTAGTCGTTGCCGGCTCGAATGCCTGGGTTTATATCCTGATCATTGTCCCTCCCGCTGTGCTCTCAGGCAATAGATGATTGGCTATTTCTTTACCTCCTGTTTTTGCCTAATTAGCATTTTAGCGGGCTCTCTTTCTTACCTGATGGGTCGGGTGTGAGCTGAGTTGCAAGCCCCGTGTTTAAAGGTGGATGTGGTCAACTTCCCATCTAGGCTTAGGGATTCTTAATCGGCCTAGGAAATCCTGCTAGTCCTGTTTCTCAGTACCCCCTCTCAACAGGAAAACCCAAGTGCTGTTGGGGAGGTTGGCCAACAACTGCTCTAATTGCTTCCTGCTGAATTGGGGTGTAGTAGGGGTTGTGCAGTTGAGATTTCCTCTGGAGGGGTGCCTTCGATGTCATTAACATTGGAGCATGGGCTAGCAGGCCGGTCCAGGGGTCCGCGGTAGATTTTAGTCATGGACTGCATCTGGGGCTCCATTTGAAGAATGAGTTGTGGCTTTACAGCTTCGATTCTGGAAAAGACAAACTTAACAAGGAGGTTAAAGATACAGAGATTGAAATGTATGGCCTGCAGTGCAGGGGATTATTTCTTTGGCACACTTCACAGGCCCTGACTATCTGCTTGATAGTTTTGAAAAGGCCTGGTCCATCTCCTCATTCTTAAAAAATGAGATTGAATTTTGATTAGCCCAGGAAAATTGTCTATGTGTTTAGATTTCTTTCTTTATAGTGTCATTTAGTGTTGTTCTCTTTGTTGCATATTCTGTACAAGGGAATTTGAGTCCAGAGGCTCTGTTAGGTCAGATTAAACATTTTGGGGAAGAATACTTTGTAGGCTATTTGTATGGCATATTTCACTGTCAGAAAACATTTAAGTACAGGTCCTTGCATTAGTGAAACTAAGTTTGATCATTTGGGTAAGCTGGTAACCGCCATAAGTCCATTGTAAAGATCTAATTTGTAGTGCATAAATAATCTATGGAGAGACTTTGACCTCTGAATATTTATAATCATGTGTATTTTAGCTGTGGATTGAATACAAAATGAAAATTGAAATAGACTATTCAAAAATGAATGCCATTAAGGTTGTCAACATAAGTCAACTTGTGTGATAAGGCTGACAGTATATTCAGTACAAAATTAGCACCCTCTAGTTTATTCAGGGAGCCAAGATTATTTTGTCTGGAACCTTGTTTTTGTTCAGCATTTATCATCAGCACCTATACATCATGGCTGGTATGTGAGCTGTTGATAAACTTTGAAAAAAATTAAGCCTTTAAATCAAGCTATAAAACATGATACCATTGTGGCATCATGAATTAGAGAGATTAACTTTTTTAAAGATCAATAATAATCCTTTGTGATTTTATTCCAGTGCATTTAAAAATCTATAAAATGATAATTTATATTGATAGCTTTCTTCTTTTTGTGAATATATCCTTATCAGATTATTATGCTTTTGATAGACTACTTAATTCTATTTCTTAACATTTAATTGTATCTATAATCATAGGTAAAGTTATAATTTTCTAAACATTTTTCAGGTTTTGTTAATGCAGTGATCTTATAAATCTTACAAAACGAGGCTATTTAAAACCTGGCTTTCTAGTCTCATGTTCCTATTTTTTATTTCCACTTTCATCTTTTTCATATTGATTCTCTTTGACTTTCTTTTTTGAACTCAACAGATTCCCTGGGTATTAACCCAGCACAACTCCTTTATGGGTCATTGCACATTCTGGTATCTCATTAAGAATTGTCATAAAAAAGAGATCCCAGGAGGCCTTCCAGTGAAACTCTATCATCATGCAATCTTGGGATTTCTAAGTTGGAAGTCACAGTCCCTTTGCAAACATAATAAAACACTTTAAAATATTTGCTAAAGTTACAAACCAATTATGTAAAAATTTAAAAATCACCTACTACTTTTAAAAGCAGAGAAGGCATCCATAGACTATTTCCTTGCTTACAAGCTCAGTGAACATACTGAATTCACTTATAAAAAGAATTTTCTCAATTTTAGTTGCTTTTCAAAAAATTCTTATTCCTTTTATTTGTAATTCTTTGACATTGTTGCTGCTTCACAGTTTTGGTAATTGGACAGTTTGGTCTTTATTATGATATTAACATTTTTACCTGTCCTGAAACAAGGAAATACAATCAAAGAAACAGAAGATTGGTGGACCTTGAACCACATTATGATATCAGATGACCCAGAGTCATGGTTACTAAGTTGCTTAAATTTTTAGTAACAAAGATGTATTAGAAAGTGACAGGTCAATTCAATAATGGTTTTTTTGGATACATTTAATTATATAATCCCCTTAAGTTGTGCTTAGTCAGCAGTATTTAATCTGTTGTCTATTATATATCTAACTGGTCTGTTATGTTTATTATATATTTATATATTGCTTATTCATATCTTATTGGAGTAACTCATTTTTAAAACAATATATTTCATCTCCTAGGAGAAGAGGATCGAGTATGTGTTTTTATTCTTTTTCATTAGGACATTGGGGTATTTTCTTATTGTGAAATGTATTGAATATTTCATTTATTTGGTTTGTGAGTCTGACCTTCACTCCCTAGCACTGATTTTTATTTGGCCCTCCTTTTACCTGATTCATAGGAGTTACGAGTAGCCGTTAATATGGATACATTTTTCCCATTTCTAGTACACTGCCCCTTCCAAAAGTGTCTGGCTTACTCAAACTTTTCTGTATTTGTTCCATCTTGCTTTTACAGATCAATACAAATAGGTAACTATACCTTCTAAACAAACATCAAGTTGGTGGAAAAAAGGCATATGAACAGTTCTTTCTCACCTACTATCAACAAACAGTAAATTAAACATTCCTAACTGCAGCCTCCTTTTGTAAAATTTATAACCATTTATCTTTTGAGTGTGACATGATACTAGATGTATGATAATTACATGTTTTGTGTATCAGTATGAACATGATTTTTAACAGACTTGTTCCAATGAACTATTATAGAGATGGTCCCCAACAATGTCAACTAACAATTTCTCAGCTTTATGATGGTACAAAAGTGATATGTTGCTATAGTTTGGATATTTGTCCCTCCAAATCTCATGTTGAAGTTTGATCTCAGTGTTGGAGGTGGGGCCTAATGGAAGGTGTTTGGGTCATGGTGGAAGATCCCTCATGAATAAATTAATGCCCTCTCTGGATTGAGGGGTGAGTGAGCTATCGCTCTGTTAATTTTTGTGAGAGCTGGTTGTTCAAAAGAACCTGGCACCTCCTCCCTCACCCTCTTGTTTTCTCTCTTGCCATGTGATGTCTGCATACACTGGCTCTCCCTTCATCATCTGCCATGAGTGGAAGCAGCCTGAGACCCTTAGCAGAAGCAGATGCTGCACCATGATTCTTGTACATTCTGCAGAACAGTGAGCCAAATAAACCTCTTTATTAATCACCCAGCCTCAGATATTCTTTTGTAGCAATACAAAATGGACTAAGACATACTCAGTCAGAGTATGCTCCTCAAACTAAGATGGGGCTATGTTAAGTTGAAAATATTGTAGGTCATAAATACACATTTGGCATATGATGTTTTCAATTTGTGATGGGTTTATTTGGATATAACGCTGTCATAAGTTGAGAAGCATCTGTAGTAATTATGATAATTTGATGTGTAGCCAGTAGGAGTCCAGTTACATTTGTTTTTTTGACTTCTTTTTTTCTTTTTTTTTAAATGAATATTGTGTTCAGGTCCTAAGAAGATGTTTTAGACTGATCCTTCTTTGTTGGTCCATGTTCCCCATGCCTCTTGTCCTGAGTCATGGAATCAACCCATGATTCAGTACCCTCGTAGGGTGTCCTGGTTCTATTTAGAGGAAAAGAGCCTTTGAGACCAAGAAATCTGGCTGCTATGGGTGCACATGGCAGTTACAGGTATGGAAGAAGATGCTGGTTTTGTTAGAATTCTTTTAATAGTTTCAGAGTAGAAAATGTCATTGTAAGGTCAGAAGTTCACTCTGATTTTTCTCAACTTACATTTCTATGATCTGCTCTTGTTTGCATTTGATATTTTATTGAATTATAAGGTTTTATGTATGGTGATAGCTGAGAAGTTTATCTCCTGCTAGGGCCTGCCTGAAATGACACATTAATCTGCTTGCCCATTTTTGGAGATATTGGTCTGATTCAAATTTGTCATGGTGTTTCTGAGCAGTGTTATGAAGAACATTCAATAATGGATAATAGATAGATAGATAGATAGATAGATGGATAGATTTATATTTGAGATGGAGTTTTGCTTTTGTTGCCCAGGCTGGAGTGCAATGGTGCAGTCGTGGCTCACCACAACCTCTGCCTCCCAGGTTCAAGCGATTCTCCTGCCTTAGCCTCCCAAGTAGCTGGGATTACAGATGCCTGTCACCACGCCCAGCTAATTTTTGTGTTTTTAGTAGAGACAGCTTTCAGCATGTTGGCCAGGCTGGTCATGAACTCCTAACCTCAAGTGATCCGCCCGCCTCAGACCCCAAAGTGCTGGGATTACAGGTGTGAGACATCTTGCCCAGCCGACAATAGATAATATTTTGAATGTTCATAGATTCTCCAGAAAAAAACTGGACAGAAGATTTCTGTCATCCTTTTTTTTTTTTTTTTTTGAGACAGAGTCTCACTCTCTCGCCCAGGCTGGAGTGCAGTGGCGCAATCTCGGCTCACTGCAAGCTCCGCCTCCTGGGTTCACACCATTCTCCTGCCTCAGCCTCCCGAGTAGCTGGGACTACAGGCGCCCGCCACCATGCCCAGCTAATTTTTTTTGTATTTTTTTTTTTTTTTAAGTAGAGACGGGGTTTCACCGTGTTAGCCAGGATGGTCTCGATCTCCTGACCTCGTGATCCGCCTGTCTCGGCCTCCCAAAGTGCTGGGATTACAGGCGTGAGCCACCAAGCCTGGCCTTCTGTCATCCTTTTATAGGGTATTATGATAATCCAGTTTGCAGTATGGGGGATGAGAGACCTGTGTGTTCTAATTTCTAGGATACCATTCCATTTCTATGAGTCTTCTGCACAAGTGTGGTCTCTAGGGTTGCACTGTGGTTATTTGTAATTGCTGAAAGTGAAACTTTCTCCTTGGATTCCCCAGCGGGTCAGAGTCTGTTATTACAGATTAGAGTCCAGGATTATAGAATCAGTAATTTTTATTAACAGTTGGCTATGACTATCTAGAGTAAGCACTGCATTTATTTTTCCAAGATGTTGTCATGTGACATAACTTATGGCCAGTAGGATGTAAGTGAATATTTTTGGCAGTTCTGGAAACCTCTCTTAAAACACAGCTGGCTGAATATATTAATATTTGAGAAATCTGGGTGAGGGATATCCAGAAATTCTTTACGATTTTCCCCAGTTCTGTGTAAGTCTGAGAGCTCATACCATTCTGATGCCAGCAGTGGAAGAATTCATGATTGGTTTGGAGCAAGGCCACAATATCAGGCTTACATCCATATTATATGACAGAGAAATTAACCTTATCTTGTTTTATCCACTTTAATTTGATGCAGTTTTACTATTTTACTCACAACCAAATTTAATCTTAAATGATACACCTAGATTGTCATATATTAAGACTAAGAACAGTCAATATATTCTTCTATGTTCTGTAGCTCAAAAGCACAGATCTGCAGAGAGCAGAGCATCTATCCCATGCATGTTGTCATGTACTTATCCCACACCCTATTAAAACCACAGTACCTGTAAGGGAGACATTTTTTTTCTTCAAGAATATGTATTTCTGCCACATCTATGATTCTCCAAAATGAGATGACAGAAAATGCTAAACGATTGTTAGATGACTGTATGAAGTTCCACTTCTGGATGATAGGATAGGGAGACTCTGCAGGCTCATTTACCAGCAAGACAAGTAAAAGTGAAAAAAAAACAAAAAACAAAAACTATTTTTAAAACCTTACTATTTGAGATCTGAAAGAGTGCAAAGAGTATACAGTGAATGAAATATCTAACAACAAAGTCTACTAAAACTTGGTAAGAGCAGTGAGAATTCGTGGTATTTAAGACACAGCCCACTCTCTTCTTGTCTTCACAGCTCAGTTTGATGGAAGCTTCACACTGGGTGGATGCTGCCAAGATTATGCGGCTCCAGCTCTCAATCAAGTTTTATAACAACAGGAGGGTCAGGCTTCCAGGGATTCTTATTCCCACCTCCTCTCAGTTGAAGAGGCTAAATTCCTGGTGATGCAACCAAGAGGCTTGGGGCTCCATTGCTTCCCCCGCTCCCACCCATAGGTTGGAAGCTCTACCCAGGCACAGTGAACTCAGATTTGGGCCCTGATTGCCTTTGCCTCAGCTTGCTTGTAAGGCAGAGGTTTCACAAGAGAAACAAAATGGCTACCACCCAGCCCATTGCCCAGAATGGTGGTTCAGAGATTTTGTCCAGAGGGAGAGACAGTGTATAAGAATAGAGCTCTGAAGCTCTCTCAAGAAGAATGGAATTTATTTGAAACAGTGTCAGAAACTTCCCTTAATTAAAAACAACATGAACCGTAAGTCAGCTAGTTAATCAGGTAATTCCAGGGGAAGACACAGCTAAGGAGCCCTTCTAAGGTCAAAAGAAACCTTAAAGACTGGCCTCAAAAACTAGCCCTGCTTGGCTTAAATTATACCAAACTGCTTAGTAATTAATGCTCCAAGGACTTGTGGAGAACAGTAGACTGATCAGACAGAAGCCAGTGGAGCCTAGTGGGCTAGAAATAATACCAAAGGAGACAAACATCTTAACAGAGAGATCAGGGAAAGATGGTCAAAGAGACTCCTGTTTAAAACCATACCAGGGTATATTCTGCGTATGTCCAAGGCTGTACCCTCTGAAGAGCAACAAAATGCTTCCCACTGCCAGCTATTTCACTAAAATAGCTTAGTGAAAACACAAAACAAATAACTACGAGTAACTCTGCATATGTCCAAGGCTGCACCCTCTGAAGAACAACAAAATGCTTCCCACTGCAAGCTACTTCACTAAAATAGCTTAGTCAAAGCAGAAAACAAATAACAAAACAAAACAAACAACAAAACCACTCTGAAGAACAACAACAAAAACCACTCTGAAGAAGGGGACAGGGAATCAGTATCCAGAATCGCTATAGTATGTTACCTAATATGTCCACTTATCAACAAGAAATTGTAAGACATACAAAGAAACTGAAATGTTCGACTTATAAACAGGAAAAAAGCAGGCAACAGAAATGGCCTTTGACAGGGAACAGATATCAGATTTAAAAGACAAAAACTTCAAGGTAGCCATTATATATATATTCACAGCAGTAAGGGAAAATACAAAGATAATGTCTCATCAAATAAAGAATATCAATAAAGGAAATCATAAGATGAACCAAATGTAAATTCTGGAGTTGAAGACTATAATAACTAATATAAAAAATCATTAGAAGGGCTAAATAAGTTTGAGCTGGCAGAAGAATTAGAAAACTTTCAAATAGATCAATAGAAATTATGCAACCTCAATTCCATCTTCCCATTAGAAAATAGAATAGGAAAATGAAGAAATAGGATGAGAAAATAGAACAAAGAAATATAAACAGAGCCTCAGAGAAATTCAGGACGCCTTTCAGTGCACCAGTGTACATGTAATGAGAATACCATAAGGTGAGGAGAAAGAGAAGCACAAAAATATTCAAAGAAATAATGGCTAAAAACATCCACAATTTATTGAACAAACATTAATCTATACTCACAAGCATCTCAACAAACTGTGAACAGAATGAATGCAAACATATCCACAAACAGACACGTCATAGTAAAAATGTTAAAAGTGAAAGGAAATGTTGAAAGCTGTAAGAGAAAAACAATGTGCCACAAGGGTACCCCAATAGATTAACAGCAAACTTCTCATCAGAAACAATGGAGGGGATGAAGGCAGTGGGATGATACATTCAAAGTACTCAAAGGACAAAAGCTTTGTGAACCATGATCTTATTTCTAGTAATGCTGCCTTCAAAAAAAAGGTGAAACAAAGCCCTCCCAGATCTGCCATATGAGAAATTGTAAAAAAAAAAAAAAAAAGTTATTAATACTGAAAGCAAGTAAAACACATGAAAATTTAAAATCACATTTTTAAAAAGAACAAAATTAATATTTATAATTAAAGGTAATTATAGCCAGGCATAGTGGCTCATGCCTGGTATCTCAGCACTTTGAGAGGCTAAGGCGGGCAGATTGCCTGAGGTTGGGAGTTCAAGACCAGCCTGGCCAACATGGCAAAACCCCGTCTCTACTAAAAATACAAAAATTATCTGGGCATGGTGGTGTGCACCTGTAGTCCCAACTACTCGGAAGGTGAGGCAGGAGAATCGCTTGAAACCAGGAGGCAGAGGTTACAGTGAGCTGAGATCATGCCACTTCACTCCAGCCTGGGCAGCAAAGTGAGACTCTGTGTCTCACACACACAAAATGGTAATTATAAAAGGCAGCATAAATGCACATTTCTTTTACTTTTTTCTCTTAATAGATTTAAAAAGCAATTGTATAATATGTACATAATTGTATTATTGGCCATATGACATGGAAATGTAATATATTTGACAATAGCAGCATAAAGGAAGTAAATGACAGCAGAGTTGTATTGGAGTAAAGAAATGATACGCGATAGTAACTAGAATTCATAGGAACAAATAAAAAGAAGTAGAAATAGTAAATAAAAAGCTATATATCAAAAATACCATATAAATATATATATACTCTATTCCATCCTTAATAGACATAAACCTATACAGAATAAGTATAATAATGTATTTTTGAGTCTGTAGCATGTGTAGACATAATAATGTAGAACAATAATAGAATTGAAAAGTAGGATAGATTAGAACTATATAAATAACATTTATATATCTCACTGGGATCAAGTTAGTATTATTCTGAAGCTGATTCTAAGATGTATATAATAAACCCTACAGCAGCCATTAAGAAAATAACAAAAATACAATGAATAAAAAATTTAAATGTGTTATTATAGAAAATCAACACAGAGGAAGGCAGTAAGAAAAGAAATGTGGGACTGGGTGAACTATAGAAAAAAACAACATGGCAAAAATAAGTCATTCCTTATCAATAGTTACTTTAAATGTAAACGGATCAAACTTGGCAATCAAAAGACATAGATTGGGAGACGATAAATGAACGAGATCCAACTAAATGCTATCTATAAGAAAGTCACTTTAGATCTAAGGACACACATAGTTTGAAAGTGAAAAGATGGGCCGGGCGCAGTGGCTCACGCCTGTAATCCCAGCACTTTGGGAGGCCGAGGCGGGCGGATCACCTGAGGTCAGGAGTTTTAGACCAACCTGACCAACATGGAGAAACCCCGTCTCTACTGAAAATACAAAAACTTAGTCGGGCTTGGTGGCGGGCGCCTGTAATCCCAGCTACTTAGGAGGCTGAGGCAGGAGAATGGCGTGAACCCAGGAGGCGGAGCTTGCAGTGAGCCGAGATCGTGTCACTGCACTCCAGCCTGGGTGACAGAGCGAGACTCCGTCTAAAAAACAAACAAAAAGAAAGTGAAAAGAAGAAAAAAGATATTTCATGCAAACAGCAATTAAAAAGAGTGGGCATGGCTGTATTAATATCAGACAAAATATACTATAAGTTAAAAAAGGTTAGAAGAGACAAAGAATATATAATAAAAGGGTCAACTTACCAAGAAGATATATCAATTACAAATACATATACACTAAACACCTGAGCTCCAAAATATATGAAGGACACATTGACAGAATTGAAGGAAGAAATAGACATCTATGCAATAATAGTAGGAGACTTCAATACACTACTTTTAATAATATGTAGAGGAACAGGACAGAAGATAAATAAGGAAATAGGGGACTTGAACCAATTGGACCTAACACACATATATACATAACATTTCCACTCAACAATAGCAGAGTGCACATTTTCCTCAAGTGCATGTGGATTATTATCCAGGATAAACTATGTCTTAGGCCACAGAAGAAGTCATAATGTTAAAATATTGAAACTAGAATTCAATAGCATAAGTAAAACTGTAAAATCCACAAGTATATGAAAACTAAGCACACTCTAAACTAGTGGATCAAAGAAGAAATCAAAACAAATGAAAATGAGGTAAATGAAAATGAAAACACAACATACCAAATTTATGGGATGCAGCAAAAGCAGTGTTAAGGGAATTTTATAGCTGTTAGTGTTTACATTAAAAAAGAAGAAAGATTTCAAGTCAGCCCCCTAACTTTATGCCATTAGAAACTAGAAAAGAAGAAGAAACTAAATCTGAAGCTAGTAGAAGGAAGGAAATGAAAATATTAGGCTTGAGATTAACATATTAGAGAATAAAAAATAGAGAAAATTAGTAAAACTAAGAGTTGGTTATTTGAAAAGCTCAACAAAATTGAGAACCATTAGGCAGATTGATTAAGAGAGGAAGACTGAAATAACTAGGATCAGAAATGAAACAGGGAACATTCCATTCCTACCAACTGTATACTAATAAAAAGCATTATTCAAGAGTACTTTTTACAACGGTATTCCAATAAATTTGATAACCTAGACAAAATGGAAAAGTTTCTAGAAACACACACCTTTCTAAGACTCAATAATGAAGAAATAGAAAATCTGAATATACCTATGACCAGTAAGAAGAATGAATAGCAATCTAATACCTCCTAACAAAGAAAAGCCAAAGACTACATGGTTTCACTGGTGAAGTCTACCAAATGATTTTACATCTTTATTCTTTTCTAGCACTATAGGCATTTAAAGCTAAAAATAAAAACATATTTAGCTGCTCCAAAAATTTGGATTGTTTTTGTTTTTATTAAAAATACATTCTAGGCAAGGTGCGATGGTTCATGCCGGTAATCCCAGCATTTTGGGAGGCCAAGATGGGAGGGTTGCTTGAGGCCAGGAGTTTGAGACCAGCCTGATCAACATAGTGAGATTCTCATCTCTATTTTTAGGAAGTAAAATAAAAAATACATCCTAATTTCTCTTATAATTTATTCTTTGATCCATGGGGTATTTAACAATGTGTTGAATAATTTCAAAATATTTTTACATTTCCCAAATTTCCTCAGTGTTTGATTTCTAATTTTATTTTCACTGTGGTCAGAGAATATACTTAGCATGACTTACTTATAAAAAATATTATGATTTGCCATATATAAGTCTAGTATATTGTTTAGTTTAGAAAATGTTGCATGTTGAGTATGTATTTTATTGTTGGTTGAGTGTTCAACCAACCATCAGTTAAGACAAACTAGTTTGTAGTGTTGTTTAAGTCTTCTATATCCTTGCAGATTTTCTGTCTAGTTGTTGTATGTATTGAGAATAGAGTGTTAAAATCTCCACCTTCTATTGTTGAGCTGTCATTTTCTCTCTTCAGTTTTGTCAGTTTTCCTTTCATGTATGTAGTCTCCTGTTTTTAGGAGCATATACGTTCATTGTAGTTATATTTTTCTAATTAACTTGCCCTTTTATCATTAAATAAATCTCTTTTTCTTTAGTAACATTTTGAAAGCCTGTTTTGTCTGATGGTAGTATAACCATTCCTATTCTCTTCTGATCACCATTTGTATGGTATCTATTTGTATCTTTTTCCATCCTTTTGTTTTCCGTCTGTTTTCAGCTTTTAAAAAGAACTAATGTATATCTTAGCTTAAAAAAATCTAATTGAGATTATTGCTAAAATAATAACAGTAGTCGTCAGGCATGGTGGCTCACACCTGTAATCCCAGCACTCTGGGAGGCTGAGGTGGAAGGATTGCCTGAGCCCAGGAGTTCACGACCAGCCTGGGCAATATAGTGAGACCCTGTCTCTACAAAAAATTAGAAATAAAATTTTAAAAATCAAAATAAATAAAATAATATCAATAGTATACAGAAAGTTTACTCCAATATAGCTCCCTTCCTTTGTGCTATCATAGTAATATGAATGTGACACAAATTACAACTTTATACATTATGAACAAAATAATACAATTGTATAATTATGGTTTTATGCAGTTATCTTTAATCAGTTAAAATAAAAAAGTAAAAGTGTATATTATCTTTTATTTACCTATGTAATGACTTTAATCAGTGCTCATTATTTCTTTGTGTGGATTCCAGTGACCATCACCTTCATTCTAAAGAACTTTAATATTTCTTATTAGGAAAGTCTGCTAGCAACAAAGGCTTTCAGTCCTTATCTGCAATTCTCTTTATTTTATCTATATTTTGAGAGAGAATATTCTGGATATAGAATTCTTGGTTGACTGGTAGGGTTTTATTTGTTTTTGTTTTGTTTTGTTTTGTTTTTTGTTTTTGTTTGTTTTAGTACTTTGAATCTCATCCCACTGCCTTTTGTTCTCTGTTGTTTCTGATGAGAAGTCAGCCAGTAGTCCTGTTGAGAATCTCGTTTATATGATGAATAATGTTTCCCTTGCTGTTTTCAAGATTTCCCTTTGTTCTTGGCTTCTGACAATTTGACTCTGGGGTAGCTCTCCTTGAGACATGTTGATTAAGTATTAATATCTGGGTTTATCCCACTTGGAGTGTGTTCACATTCTTGTAAATGTAGGTGTGTGTGCATGTGTGTGATCAACTTCACAGAGAGTTTGGCCATTATTTTTCAAGCATTTTTTCTTTTTCTTTCCTTCTGACCCTCCTCTTATATGTATGTTGGTTTGCTTGATGGTGTACTACATGCCTCTGATGCTTTCTTCATTTTTATTCCTTCTGTTTTTCTTTCTGTTCTTCAGACTGCATAATTTTATTGACTTGACCTATTTTCAAGTTCACTAATTCTTTTTTCAGGTTAAATCTGCTATGAGTTCTTCTAGTGAATTTTTCATTTCAGTTATTGTGCTTTTCAACTCTAGAATTTCTACTTGGTTCTTTCATTGCAGTAATAATTTCCATCTCTCTGTCGATAGTCTCTGGCAGGGTATTATTGTCATACTCTTCTTTAAATTCTTTACATATGGCTTGTTTTAGTTCTTTGAACATAATTAAAATAGCTGCTTTCAGATCTTTGCTAAATCCAACATTTTTGCTGTCTCAGAGACAGTTGTCTACTAGCTGCTTCATTCCCATCCCCTCTGAGTGAGCTACTTGGATTCTTTAGCTCCTGTGAAAGTTTGTTCATGCATAGATATACGTTTAAATTGATGTTTCTGTGAGAGCTAAGTGCTGGAAAGTCCCATTCTTCTATCTTGCTGACATCACTCCTGTTAAGATTTTCTATTTTTTCTTGAGTCAGTGATAGTTTGTGTGTTTCTAGGACTTTTTCCTTTCCATTTAGGTTATTTTGTTGACATACAATTGTTTATAATTTTCTTCTATCATCATTTTCATTTTTGTAAGTTTAGTAATGTCTCCACTTTCAGCTCTGACTTTAGTAATTTTGATGTTTTCTCTTTTTTCTTGTTCAGTCCTGCTACAGTTTTGCCACTTTTTTTGATCTTTTCAAAGAACCAGCTTTTAATTTTGTAAGTTTTCTCTATTATTTTTCTATTTTCTATTTAATCTAACCTCACTTTTATCTTTATTATTTCCTTTCTTCTCCTGGTTTTGCTTTTTTTTTTTTTCTATTTTTCATATTCTAATTCCTAAGTGTATACAGTTAGGTCATTGATTTGACATCTTTCCTCCTTTTTATAGGCATGTAGAGCTATAAATTTTTCCCTGAGCAGTAAGCATCTCATGAACTTTAGTAAATTTGTATTTATCTAAAATGTTTTCTAAATTCTCTTTTTATTTGTTCTTTAACCCTTTGGTTGTTTAAGATTCTGTTGATTTGGCACAAAACAGTGATATCATCTATCCTTACTCCTATTCAGTATAGAAATTCAACAGAATTTCAGTTATCAGAACTTGCCAACATGAAGACAATGGGATTTAGTCCTACAAATTAAGGAAGAAACTGAATAAATAAAGTCATGAACTAACGTATTATATACAGGATTTAATTTTGAAATTCTTCAATTTTGCATAGGACTTTCTTCAGCTATGGCAGTAGTCTTTTGATGGTGCTCCCATTTCTAACTGGATACATTTACAATTTGTGTTAGAATGGAATGCAATTGAGAAGGTTTATGTTTCCGTAACACCTAAATTTGGCTTAACATTCAAAGGTATCATAAATTGAGCCAATTTGTTTGGCTTTAGGAATAATTTTTAAATAAATGTACCCTTCCTAGACTAAGTGGCAAAAAAAAAAGTAGAAATGTACTGTGAAGGCAAAATACATCAACTGCTAAAATATTTGCAATCTAATATTCCATATTCACAATACTCATGAGGATATTTTCCATTTCATTGGCTATATTCTAAGACTTCTGATTACCTTAGTATATGCAGAGTATATATCTCAATTTAAAAGGTATGGTGTTCAGAGAAGCGCCATTTGAAGGTAGCTATAATTTCAAGTTTATTAACCATAAAGTCCAGCATTGAGGATTACATACAATTTTATCAAAATTTAAAAATAATAGACTGTGTCAAAAAAAATCCTTAAAAATATGGTGATACTGGCTAAGAAATTGATTAAAGCATTGGAATATATACCAAAAATAATTATTCTGCTCTTTAATGCATAGTCAATATAGATAGCTTAAAATTTTTTCCTTACTACAAAAACATTATTTTGTTTTAATGCAAATATGTTATTGTTTACCCTTTAGGATATAACAGAAAATTATGACTCATAAAGGAAATTTTCAAACATTATATAATTTCAATTATCATAGTATTCATACATTTTCAAATTTTTACTACTTTGGACAATATATAGTGAGCTGTTATTGATTTCTAATTTAATTCCATTTTTGTCAAAAACATTCTTTGTATGACTTGAGTCCATTTACTCATTTATGGAGACTTGCTTTATGGCCCAGAATATGGTATACGCTGGAAAGTGTCTCCTGTCCACCTAAGATGAATTTTACTGTCTTTGAGAAGAGTGTTCCAGAAGTGTAAATGAGATCAAGCAGGTTGATATGTTGTTTAGATAATCTATACCCTGTTGCTTTTCTGCATTAGTTCTATCAATTACCAAGAGAGATATGTTGAAATATCTGATTATAATTGTGGATTTGTCTGTTACTTTATTGATCTAACAGGTTTTTACTCACATACTTAGAAGCTGTATTAAGAGCATAATTTAGGTTTGTTCTTTCCACTGGATGAACTGTATCCTTCATCATTATGATGATGTAACTTTCTTTATCCCTGATATAGTCTTTTTGGTGAAGTCACTTTGTTTTTAATATAGCCACTCCAGCTTTCTTTTGACTAGTGTTAGGATTTTATATATTTTTCCATCCTTTTACTTTTAACCTATTAGTGCTTTTATATTTTAAGTATTACCTGTAGGTAGCACGTATTTGGGTCTGACTTTTAAAAAAAAAATCCAACCTGACAACCTTCTTAAGTTAAGGTGTTAGACCAGTTACACTTAATGTGATCATTGATCCAATTAAGTTTGTTATCTTGCTATCTGTTTTCTGTCACAGTCGGGAATGAAAAGACATTTTGCTCTTCATTATTCCACGTTTCCGCTTTATATAGCATAGGAAACTACAAAAATCATTTTGAAAGTTCAATGTTGCTAGATTACAACAGTGAAATCAAGCTTTTCCTACGAAAAACAAACCCCCTTTGGCATTTATTTAGACTGTTTTAAGAAAATGTGTTAATTATTCATCCTTCAAGATAAGGCAAGTAATTCTCTGTGTACTTTTATCTGTTTCCATGCCGTCCTGAATCACGTTTTTCTCTCCAGATAACAGGAAGATTGTCTTGAAGAATCAAGTATATTTGATTCTGAAATCTCTCATGTAAACCACACTTCCTCTTCTAGTATAAAACCAACGATTCCTTTTCTTTCTTTCTTTCTTTTTTTTTTTTTTTTTGAGACGGAGTCTCTCCAACCATTTCTTTAGTTCAGGCTTTTCAAATTTATCCTAAGTCCCTTCAAATAGCACAAAGGGGAAGCCTATGCTCGGATCTGAGACGAAGAGGTCAAAGCAGCTACATTTTGACGTAATTTTACTTTAAATTCTTCTTTAAAAGTTCTGCTCATTTGCATTCTTTTGCATAGAGAGAAAAGGTAATTTACCCTGACGCACCGAAAACAGCAACGCTCCTCTCAGATGGGGATTCTCGCCCGTGGCCGCAACCTCTGCACCCCACGGTCTGGAACTCCCACAAATCCATTAGGCTCGGGTCCCTTAGGAGCCCCCAATGTATGCTGGGATCAACCTGAACAGACCATAGACCAAGACTTCTGAGGTTCTTTCTGCTCAGGACTGTATTTCCCAGAGGCCACCGCACCGGAATTAGCGGTTCCACTTCCTGTCTCCTGGGGTTGACGACCTAGCTGGGTAAGGTCTTCACGTCCTAGGAAGAAATCGGTGGCTGCGGGAGGTCTTCGTGGACTGGGACTCGAACCTGACCGACCCGGCAGTGCGGGTGGGCGAGAGCGAGGCGCTCAGAGGAGGAACCCGGGGCGCAGACGGAATCTGCCAGATCCTTAGGCGTGCGTGTGCGCGGGCATCAAAGGATGGGGATTGCGCGATCTTGAGTGACGGAGGGGACTGTGTGAGTGTGTGCGTGAGGCCCTGTGCACAGGACCGGGACGGCGTGTGGACGCAGTGCGTTTTGCTGGGGCTGTGTGAGTGTCACTGTGCCGGTGGTACTAGGCTCCTGCTGCTTCCTCCGTCTTTCCCCTTCAAAGCTGCAGAGGCTGCAGCAGAGGAATGAAAATGTCCCCAGTAGGGAGGTTAGATATTGAACCGAGAATGAAGCTTTGCACAAGAAGGCGCAGATCTGGACTCGGGGTGGGAATATGAGAGCTGGAAGTGCCTCTTGAGGGTCCCCCAGGAGGGCAGCTACATGTTGAGAACCCAGCGTCCCTCAGAGATCTGTCCCCAGGAACCAGCTTCGAACTCAGACCGATTCCTCCTCCTTTTATTTCCTTCTCATTTCGTACGAAGTGAGGGAAGTTGTGGCCATGGAGGGTGCTTTCAAACTTAGTCTGCGCTCCAAGAAAAGCCTGGAGTCTCACGCTTGCCGTATCCTTCTCCAGTCGTATTATTATCCAAAAGAAGGACCGAGAGGAGGATGAGAGCGTTATTGTTGCACACTTAAGTCAAGGGTGAGTTTGTGCTTTGTATTTGTTCAAGAAATGCGTTTTTGATTTTAGAATATAGAGGTTCCTGTAAATTTTTAGTGAATTTCAGGAGAATATGCAAATTGATTCTTGCCCCCTCCCATTGTGCCGCCTCCCAGCGAGCCGTTCCCCACCCCGCCCGCTCCCCACCTTGCCATTTAATATTCACAGAGCCATTTGGCAAATCGTTCACACCTTCCTGTACGCTCTCTTCTTCTAAGCTGGTATAAAAATAGTCCTCCAGAGGTTTATATTAAAGCTTTATTTTAGACTCTGCTTTGAAAAGAAGATTAGTTTGTGGAATCACACGCCAGGTTTCTGACTCTTTACAGGCCTCCTTTTCCAAGTAGGGAAGAATGGAGATGGTTGGGTGATTTCCATTCGTCTGTGAGGCTTTCAGGAATCGGAAAGTGATTGCACAGAAATTGGTATCAACCAGAGTCAGGATTTTTCGGGAGAGTCCATGAGATGATAATTGTAATACTTGCCAGATCTCTGTGAGATTCGGCAGTTCCGGTTGCATTTTGGGCTATTTGTGTGAACTGTGAGAGGCAGTACGCTGTTGCGGTTAAGAATAGGGGAGTGGATCCAGAGTATCTGGGTTGGAATGTTTGTTCTGTCCGTTTCTGGTCTTCTCAGGCTTGTAATGAACATTAGAATGAATTAATACTCTAAAACCTCTTAGAGCAGTGCTAGGCATATAATAATAAATGTTTAATGTTTTAGCTTTTGTTTTCGTGTGGTCATTTTAGGTCATTTCCCTTGACTTTCTATAGGACAGGAGCATTGGGAATATGTGATTCATTGTGATTGCTGCTTGCATAGTAAGAAAATGAGTGAGTTGCTCAAATGATCTAGGACAGAAGTTCTTTTTAAATTGACAGATAAAATTGTATGTATTTATCGTGTGCAACATGATGTTTTATAGTATATGTACATTGTGGAATGACTAAATCTAGCTAATTAGCAATGCATTACCTCACATAGTTATCATTTTTGTGGTGAGAACACTTAATATCCACTCTCTTAGCACTACAGAATAGTTATTAATAGTAGTTATTAATAGTAGATACGTTGTTGTGTAATAGATTTCTTGAGCTTATTTCTCTTATCTTCCTGAAATTTTATATCCTTTGACCAACATTTCCCCAGCCAACACCATCTTCCCTCCCTCACCCACATTACCCCCGACCTGTAAACACCATTCTCTTCTCTAATTCTATGATATCAAGTGTTTTCTTTTTTTGAGAGAGAGTGTCTTACTCTGTTGCCCAGGCTGGAGTGCAGTGGCGTGATCTCGGTTCACTGCAACCTCTGCCTCCCGGGTTCAAGTAATTCTCCTGCCCCAGCCTTCCGAGTAGCTGGGACTACAGGTGCATGCCACCACACCCAGCTTATTTTTGTATTTTTAGTAGAGACAGGGTTTTGCCATGTTGGCCAGGGTGGTCTCGAACTCTGGACCTTAGGTGATCCGCCTGCCTCGGCCTTCGCCTCCGCTTTCGAAAGTGCTGGGATTACAAGTGTGAGCCACCGCACCTGGCCTATATGAACATTTTTCAGATTCCACTGATGAGTGAGATCATCTGCCTTTCTGTGCTTGGCTTACTTAATATGAATTTCTCCAGGTTCATCCATGTTGTTGCGAATGACAGCATTTCCCTTTTTTTATGGCTAGTTTTCCATTGTGTATATATACCTGCATATATACCACATTTTCTTTATCCATTCATTGATAGACAGTTAGATTGATTCCATATCTTGGCTATTGTGAATAGTGCTGCAATAAACATGGGTGTGCAGGTGTCTCTTTGGTATACAGATTTCATTTCCTTTGGATAAATATCCAGTAGTAGATTGCTGGATCATATGGTGGTTCTATTTCTAATTTTTTGAGGAACCTCCATGCTGTTTTCCATAATGTCTGTGTCACTTTACATTCTCACCAACAGTGTGCAATGGTTCACATTTCTCTACATTCTCACCAACATTTGTTAACTTATGTCTTTTCAATAGCCACCCCAACACATATGAGGTGATATCTTATTGTAGGTTTAATTTTCATTTCCCTGATGATTAGTAATGTTGAGTATTTTTTCATATACTGTAGCCATTTATATGTCGTCTTTTGAGATGTGTTTATCAGGTCCTTTGCCCATTTTTTAATTGGGTTGTTTTCTTGCTGTTGAGTTCCTCACACGTTTTGGATATTAACCCCTTATTAGATACATGACTGCAAATATTTTCTCTCATTCTGTAGGTAGTCTCTTCACTTTGCTGTGCAGAAGCTTTTTTAGCTTGATGTAATTTCATTTGTCTATGTTTGCTTTTATTGCCTGTGCTTTTGAAGTCATTTCTAGAAAAAAAAATTATTGCCCAGATCAATGTCATGAAGCTTTCCCCGTACGTTTTTTTCTATTTGTTTCATAGTTTGGGATCTTACATTTAAATCTTTAATCCATTTAGAGTTGATTTTTGTATAATGGTTTGAGAAAAGGGTCTAATTTCATTCTTCTGTGTATGACTCCCCAGTTTTCACAACAGTATGTATTGAAGAGACTGTCTTTTCCTTATTGTATGTTCTTGGCACCTGTCTCAAAAATCAGTTGGTTGTAAACATATGGATTTATTCTGGGGCTCTCTATTCTGTTCCGTTTGTCTAGGTGTCTGTTTTTATGTCAGTATCATGCTGTTTTGGTTACTATAGCTTTGTAGTATATATTGAAGTCAGGTAGTTTGATGCCTCCAACTTTGTTCTTTTTGCTCCAGACTGCTTTGGCTATTTGGGTCTTTTGTGGTTCTATGCACATTTTAGGATTTTTTTTTTTCTATTTTTGTCAAGAATGTAGGACTGAAATTCTTAATCTGAGTTCTTGTAACTCCACGTATGGTCTTGGGGACCACAAAGCTCTTGAAATAATGTATTGAAGTACTATGGAAATTTATCAATGTGGGTTTTAGAGGGAGAAATAGTATATCATTTCATAAGACTATCAAAACTGTATGTGACCCATGAGGTTTGGATCCATTGATCTAGATAGAACATTGATTCTCAGCGGGGGTGATGTTTAAAAACTTTTGGTTGTCACACCATGGGGGAGGTGCTACTTAGATCTAGTGGATAGAGGTCAGGGATACTGCTGAACATTGTACCGTGCACAGGATAACCCTCCCTATAGCCCCAACAAAGGATTATACAGCACAATATGTCATTAGTGCCTAGGGTGAAAAACCTTAGTCTAGAATCAAAAGATTGTGATACCTGGAATGACACTGTAAATGATCTTATATAAATCAAGTGTCCTGTAATATGGAAATCACTAAGCAAATTATACTAGACTCAAGTGATAAAGTATTATGCAGCTAATAAAATGATGTCTATAAAGAATTATGAAAAGAAAAATATTTGATATACCATTAAGCAGTATTCATGCTATGAACAATGATACTCAAGAAAATGTTACATGTATATGAATCCCATATACTAAGATAGGGTTTTTGTAAGGCATTCTGTAGGAATTGTATCCAAAATGATATTTTAATGAGTTATTTGGTGAAGAAGGGAACCAAGCATGGTGATGTACATTCCACAGATTTTCTCATGTAGTTTCCAGATGCCACTTATCTGCATTGTGTTCATTCAGAGAAGAGTCTTGATAATGAAAATGTCTAATTATATTGGTGAGATACAGCTAAAGGATGTCAGAACTAGCTGATGTTATTTGTTATAGTCACATTAATCTTTTTGATCCTCATGACAGGCACAGTTTTTTGTTTTTTATGATTAAAAGTACTCACTCTCTGTTAACTCTGTTTTATTTTTATTTTTGAATTCGGATGTAGAAATATGACCATCATTAATGCATACAAGAAATTAGTTGAAGACTTGTAGACAATTTTTTTTAGAAATTGTACTAACATACATAGAAAAACATAGACATCTTAGTGTTGGTCAAGAATTGGGAAATAATGGAAACAAATTTATTACATAAAAACAAGAGCTCAGTAGAGTTTCCTTTTTTTGTCCCCACGTTGAAAGGAAAATGTCTAAATAAAAGATGTCTTTCATCTAATTTGGAGAACAATTTCCTCGCAAGAAAAAAAATGTGTATGTACATTTAAATATGTACATATATAGATACATACACATGTGTATATGTGTGTATATATGTGTGTGTGTGTGTGTGTGTGAATATAATTATATATTCTAAGTTAAATGCCTGGGCATAGTCACAATTATGACATACTCTTTAGCAAAAAGAAGAAAATTGGGGCTACAATACAGAGATAAGCACTGTTAGCATGCATATACCTGTCTAAATTTTTGTATTGATGTCTATTAGTCTTTTGCTTAATATTTCTATATACATATATTTTACAAATGTAATCGTATTGTTTATCCTGCTTTGTAACCTGATTTTTCTGTTAATCATATGTCTGGAACAATTAATGATTACTTTGTATTCTATTACATGGCTATTCTGAACTGTACTTACCCCAGCTGGCTTTTGGTGAACTCAGAATGCTGAACACTGCCCATGCAATTCTGTCTATATCCTTTCCAGTTCTCATGCCTTGCCCCACTGCACCCAATCCTGAGTTCACAAAGAGGTTCTGGATTGGATGATGCAAGCCCTTCTCAGCTCTGAAAGGTGGACTAGGGGAGGAGGATTGCTTACAGCAGGATCAGAGGCCCAGTCCTAGGCCAAGATTGGTATCCCAAGAGTGGAGGACTGGCTGGAAGCCACAACTTCAAGGCAGAAATGCCTGTGCTCGGCATTCATGCTTCCGCCGCAGGTTCCCTGGGATGTAGGCGAGAGCTTGGTTTCATCCACACTCCACCTGTTCACTGCCAGTTTATTTGTGAGAGTGTGTGTAGGGAAAAAGGGAGTGACGGGAGAAGGGTGGAAGTGTGCGTGTGAGCAGGAGTAGTTGAGAAATAGGAATGGAGGATAAAATATTTATTCGTTCTAGTGCTTTCGGACACAGCTTGACTTAGGGCCTTTTTGTTGTTGTTGTTTTCCAGGGGAGAAGCCCGAGGAAGATTGACCAATTTTGTAATTCTAGAAACATGGTCCATGTAAGTTGGTGTTTCTGTCTTCTTGAAATATGGTGACTTTCAGGTTAGGTTAGGTGACTGTTATTATTAAACCTGAACCTTCTTACGTAAGGATCCACGATTTTTTTTTTTTTTTTTTTTTTTTTTTGAGACGGAGTCTTGCTCTGTCACCCAGGCTGGAATGCAGTGGTGCGATCTTGGCTCATTGCAACTTCCGCCTCCCAGGTTCAAGCAATTCTCCTGCCTCAGACTCCCGAGTAGCTGGGACTACAGGCACCCACCAGCACGCCTGGCTAATTTTTTGTATTTTTGGTAGAGATGGGATTTCACCATATTAGCCAGGATGGTCTCGATCTCCTGACCTCATGATCCCCCTGCCTTGGCCTCCCACAGTGCTGGGATTACAGGCGTGAGCCACTGTGCCTGGCCAGGATCCACAATCTTACACCCCACTTTGTCCCATTACAGTGAAGTTTGGTGACCAAAAAATAAAAGTCAGTGCTCTTCCTATTCGTACCTCTGTTTTCCCACTGGCTTTGATGTTTTCTTTGAGCAGGTTATTCAGTCTGTGCTTAACTCAGTCCTTGGTCAGAAAGAATGTTGGAACAGTGGAGGAGTTGGTCCCCACAGGGAAACATGGTCTTGTGGGTTTGATAAGTTACAGATGATTGTCGCATTTGACCACACTCGGGAACACCTTGAAACTCCTCCACAGACTGGAGCTTTCTAGGTAGCTGAGGTAGAATTCCATAGTGAGTGGCCTCAGTCTGCAAGCGTGACAAGGTGTTCTGCTTTATGAGGCTTTTAGGAAAGTGATCAGTGAGGACAGTGGGCAGTAACAGAGATTATTCAGGGCATGAGTGGTAGGTGATTACAGATTCTCTGAATTTGGGAAAACCTTAGAGACTCTGACCATCTTAAATGTATAAATAGAAAAATATGACTAAATCTAATATGTCAGTTATTTTGAATTTTACGCAGCTTATAAAAATCATTTGTCATGACAAGAAAAAATACTTTTGCTATCATCTGATACCACAGTAAGCTTGAGGATTAACGGCATTCCTCAATTGTATGCTGCCACCTTTTTTTTTTTTTTTTTTTTTTTTTTGAGATAGGGTCTCACTCTGTAGCCCAGGCTGGAGTGCAGTAGTGCCATCACACTTCGCTGCAGCATTGAACTCCCAGGCTCAAGCAATACTCCCACCTCAGCTTCCCAAGTAGCTGGGACTATAGGCACATGCCACCACGACAGTTCTTTCTTTCTTTCTTTTTTTTTTTTTTCCAGGGAGTGCATCTCGTTATGTTGCCCAGGCTGTTTGCCAACTCCTGGGCTCAAGCAGTCCTTCCACCTTGGTCTCCCAAAGTGCTGGTATAACAGGCATGAGCCACCACACCAGGCCAGCAGCAGGATTCTTGAAGAATGTGTAGGCACTCTGCGATTTTCCATATTGCTCCTTTATTGCAGTTTAATCCTTCACTTCCTCTCCTTTCGTCTTGAAACAACTTTCTTCAATTTCACCATAATCCATGTGTTTGTGGTTTCAGGGATCAGTGACATTCAGGGATGTGGCCATTGACTTCTCTCAGGAGGAGTGGGAGTGCCTGCAGCCTGATCAGAGGACCTTGTACAGGGATGTGATGTTGGAGAACTACAGCCACCTGATATCACTGGGTAAGGTCATTGGTCCCAGTTATTTTTGTATCTGTTCTCTGGAATATCAGCTTTCTTCATCATGAGTTTCAGGGCTGTCTTTTAAGAGGTAGTTGGATTCCTTCTTCTTATTCCCGAAGGAATGGATTGAGATTTGTTGGGTTGAAAACAGGCACCTCCTTGGAGCCTCTGCATCTTGCCTACTGCACCAGGGCCTCCTCCATTATGCTGGTCATCTCTGTAATCCCCTCTCTCTCTTCATGACCATGGGGCTGAATTTGAAATCTTGTATATTCGTTGAATGATATTGTTCAAGAACCAGGTTTCATATTATGTTTGATCTCAGAATTACTGTAGATTTTCTTTGTTTGTTTTTGTTTTTCTGGCCCACCTGTAAGGAGAAGAGTGTGTTGAGTTTTTCTATTAAAAGAGCCTCTATGATTGCTTGAACCTGGGAGGTCAAGGCTGCAGAGAGCCGTGGTCATGCCACTGTACTTCAGCCTGGGCAACAGAGCAAGACACTGTCTCAAAAAAACAAAACAAAACAGAGCCTCAATGATTTACATATACTGATTGGGTTGACAGAACTTATTTAGCACTAAGTCAGTATATTCCATTTCCTTCGACAGACCTTCCGTTACTTGTTTTGTAGTTGAAAGTTTCAGGCCATGAAGTGTATGCTTTTCTGTTGGGTGAAAATTCTTAAAATGAGCTGTAAATGTCTAAGGATGCAAAATAAATAATGACAATAAACATAATAATTTTTAACTTTGTGCTACTACGTATGAGTGAGAGTTAGAAGTATTTTACATATATTACCTTATTTAATATTAGTATCAATCCTATAAAACAGGCATTATTATATTTCTGTTTTAGAGTTGGGAAAACTGAAGGACAGAGAGTTCAAGTGACTTACTTAATGTCAAAGTACTAGTGGGTGGCAGAGACAGGATTTCAACCAGGTAATCTGGCTTGAAGTTTCCTGCTGTTAACCACTAAATTATACCTCCTCTTGAGGGATAAGTTTCTATTATGAGTTTAAATGAAAGTGCTTTTTTTTTTTTTAAACATAGTTGATCCCTTACTCAATCCTCTCTTATCTGGAGTCTCTTCTCAATATTGTTTTGGCTTGTAATTTATTATAAGTTTAACTAGGTCTCAGGGTTTAAAAAAAATTTTTATATTAAAAAAATTCTACATGTGTTATTTCTTTTAAGCAGGAAGTTCCATTTCTAAGCCAGATGTGATTACATTACTAGAGCAAGAGAAAGAGCCCTGGATTGTTGTAAGTAAAGAAACAAGCAGATGGTATCCAGGTAAGTGAGAGTAAAGCAGGCAGGGGGAAGCCATCATTGTCCCGGACAGCCCATGTGCTCAGAGAGGAGTCACACCCCTGAGATGTGGTTTGGAAAACTTTCTTCAATAACCCAAGGTCCCCCACTGGACAAAAATGCCCAAGACCTGGGAAGGAAATAAGATCACTGTAGGAGCTGTCCCCAAGGAACTTCATCATTTACTAATCACCTAATTTCTGTTATTTTCTTCCTCTTTTAATGAAGTGAGCTTCCTCTTTCTTTCCCAGTGTAAACTTTAAACAGTTTTTAAAATTATTTTTTAAGAGGCAGCATCTTGCTATGTTGCCCCAGCTGATCTTGAACTCTTGGCCTCAAGTAGTCTTCCTGCCTCAACCTCCTAAGTAGCTGAAATTACAGGCATGAGCCAATGCTTCTGGCCCCCAGTGTAAACTTTTAACACGTATTTTGGATCCAGCTACTTTCCAACTCTGCTTTTGCATTTAGATTTCTACATGTGTTTTCACTAAGAAATGTATTCATGTTCAGTAAATATGTATAGAGTGCGCATTCCTAGAAGGCATATGCTTGGCTCTGGTCAATACTGTAATGTACAGGTAATGAACAAGACTGAGAAAGTCACTGCTGTCATGGACTTTACCAGCAGTTGGTGAGACATGCCTCAAACAAGTAAGCAAATGAATAGATAAGGAATACCAAATAATCATGCTATAGAGACAAGGAAATAGGAGTGATGGGGTGAGAATGGCAGCACTTGGGTGCTTAGGGTACCTGTCTGGAAGTGGGCTTGCTTGCATAGAGATGTGAAGTAAGTGTTCAAGTACTCTAGTCAGACTGAGCAGGAAACACAAAGGTGGAGTAAGTAATGGAACAGCGGGAAGAAAGGTCTGAGAGTTACGTCGGAGTCGTATCATACAGGGTTTTGACTGTCGTTGTGAGGAATGTGGGAAGTTCTTCAAGAGTTATTTATTCATTTTTAATTGATACCCAATATTTGTACATATTTATGGGATACATGTTATGTTTTGTTCCATGCATAGAAGGTGTAATGAACAAGTGTCAGGGTATTTGAGGTATCCATCAGATCCACCAGAGGAGGGTTTATCATTTCTTTCTGATAGGAACATTTCAAGTCTTCTAGCTATTTTGAAATATACAATACATTGTTGTTAATTAGAGTCACTCTACTCTGCTTATGAACATTAGAAGTCATTCCTCATATTTAACTGTATGTTTGTAACATTAACCAACTCCTCTTCATCCCCCACCCCTCACCCACACACCCTTCCCAGCCTCTGGTTTCTATCATTCTATTCTTTACCTCTGTGAGATCTTTTTTTAGCCTCCAGATATGAATGAGAACATATGATATTTGTCTTTCTTTTTTTTGAGTTGGAGTCTCATTCTTGTCGCCCAGGCTGGAGTGCAGTGGTGCGATCTTGGCCCACTGCAACCTCCACCTCCTGGGTTCAAGCAATTCTCCTGCCTCAGCCTCTAGAGTAACTGGGATTACAGGTGCCTGCCACCACGCCTGGCTAATTTTTGTATTTTTAATAGAGACAGGGTTTCACCACATTGGCCAGGCTGGTCTCAAATTCCTGACCTCAGGTGATTCACCCACCTCGGCTTCCCAAAGTGCTGGGATTACAGGTGTGAGCCACTGCGCCCAGTCTGATATTTGTCTTTCTGACCTCCGATTCCCTCCATGTTGCTGCAAATGACATGATTTCATTTTTTAAATGCCTGAATAGTATTCCATGTGTATATATCACATTTTCTTTATCTGTTTGTCTGTTGGGGGACACTTAGGTTGATTCCATACCTTTGGTATTTTGAATAATGCTACAGTAATCATACAAGTGCAGGTATCATTTTGATATACTGATTTTATCTTCCTTTGGATTAATACCCAGTAGTGGGATTGTTGGATCATATGGTAGTTCTATTTTCAGGTTTTTGAGAAATCTGCATGCTGTTTTCCATAGTGATTGTACTAATTTATATCCCACCAACAGTATATAAGAGTTCCCTTTTTCCCTCATCCTCTCAGGTATGTTTAAACCCAATGTTTCTTTGTTAATTTTCTCTCTAGATGATCTAATTCTGAGAGTGGCACAGTGACGTCCCCAGTGATTATTATACTGTAGTATCTCTCTCCCTTTTGCTCTAATAATATTTGCCTTATATATCTGGGTGTTCTGGTGTTGGTGTTATATGTTTAGAATTGTTATATTCTCTTGCTGAATTGATCCCTTTATCATTATATGATGACCTTCTTTGTCTCTTTTTGCTGTTTTTTACTTAAAATCTGTTTTTTTCTGATATAAACGTAGCTATTTCTACTCACTTTTGGTTTCCATTTGTATGGAATATCTTTTCCTGTTCTTTTACTTTCAATCCATATGTGTCTTTACCAGTGAGAAGAGTTTCTTGTAGGCAGCTTATAGTTGGATCATGTTTTTTCATCCATTCAGCCCGTCTGTATCTTTTAAATGAAGTTTAATCCATTGACGTTCAGTGTGATTACTGATATGTGAGGGCTGATTCTTATCATTTTATTAATTGATTTCTAGTTGTTTTGTTTATCCTTTGTTCCTTTCTCTTTTATTTTTTATCATTGTGGTTTGGTTGTTTTCTTTAGGGGTAACATTTGAGTCCTTTGTCCTTATTTGTATGTTTGCTGTGTCAGTAGGTTTTATACTTTTGTGTGTTTTCACAATGGTAGATATTGTCCTTTCACTTCTAGGTGTAGGACTCTTGAACATATCTTGTAGGGTTGGTCCAGTGGTGATGAATTCTGTCACCTTTTGCTGTCTGGGAAAGACTATTTCTTTTTCATTTTTGTAGAATACTTTGCTGAGGATAGTGTCCTTGACTGGTGATTTTTTTCTTTCAACACTGAATGTATAATCACATTCTCTCTCATTTCTCTCTGTTGAGAAATCTGCTGTTAGGCTGATGAGAGTTTCCTTGTAAGTGACTAGATGCTTTTCTCTTGCTGTTTTTAGTATTCTCTTTTGTCTTTGACTTTTATATTTTGACCATAATATGCCATGGAGAAGACCTTTTTGTATTGTATCTATTTGGGTATCTCTGAGCTTCCTGTATCAAGATGTCTGCATCTCTTACTAGAGTTGGAAAGTTTCCTGCTATTATTTCATTAAATAGATTTTCTATCCTTTATGTTTTCTCTTTGTCTCTAGGACCTCAAAAATTCAAATATTTTGTTGTTTTATGATGTCCCATATGTTACGGTGGCTTTATTCATTCATTCAGATGTTCTGAGGAAAACATTTATCCTAAGGCTTAAAAGATGAGTTAGAGGGGTGGAACCAAGATGGCCGAATAGGAACAGCTCCGGTGTACAGCTCCCAGCATGAGCGATGCAGAAGATGGGTGATTTCTGCATTTCCATCTGAGGTACCGGGTTCATCTCACTAGGGAGTGCCAGACAGTGCATGCAGGACAGTGGGTGCAGCGCACTGTGTGCAAGCCAAAGCAGGGCGAGGCATTGCCTCACTCGGGAAGTGCAAGGGGTCAGGGAGTTCCCTTTCCTAGTCAAAGAAAGGGGTGACAGATGGCACCTGGAAAATCGGGTCACTCCCACTCTAATATTGTGCTTTTCCAATGGGCTTAAAAAACGGCACACCAGGAGATTATATCCCGCACATGGCTCGGAGGGTCCTATGCCCACAGAGTCTCACTGATTGCTAGCACAACTGTCTTGAGATCAAACTGCAAGGTGGCAGCAAGGCTGGAGGAGGGGCGCCTGCCATTGCCCAGGATTAGGTAAACAAAGCAGCCGGGGAGCTCAAACTGGGTGGAGCCCACCACAGCTCAAGGAGGACTGCCTGCCTCTGTAGGCTCCACCTCTGGGGGCAGGGCAAAAAGACAGCAGTAACCTCTGCAGACTTAAATGTCCCTGTCTGACAGCTTTGAAGAGAGGAGTGGTTCTCCCAGCACGCAGCTGGAGATCTGAGAACAGGCAGACTGCCTCCTCAAGTGTTTCCCTGACCCCCGAGCAGCCTAACTGGGAGGCAACCCCCAGTAGGGGCAGACTGACACCTCACACGGCCGGGTACTCCTCTGAGACAAAACTTCCAGAGGAACGATCAGGCAGCAGCATTTGCGGGTCACCAATATCCACTGTTCTACAGCCACCACTGTTCTGCAGCCACTGCTGCTGATACCCAGGCAAACAGGGTCTGGAGTGGACCTCTAGCAAACTCCAACAGACCTGCAGCTGAGGGTCCTGTCTGTTAGAAGGAAAACTAACAAACAGAAAGGACATCCACACCAAAAACCCATCTGTACGTCACCATCATCAAAGACCAAAAGTAGATAAAACCACAAAGATGGGGAAAAAACAGAGCAGAAAAACTGGAAACTCTAAAAAGCAGAGTGCCTCTCCTCCTCCAAAGGAATGCAGCTCCTCACCAGCAATGGAACAAAGCTGGACAGAGAATGACTTTGACAAGTTGAGAGAAGAAGTCTTCAGACAATCAAACTACTCCGAGCTACAGGAGGAAATTCAAACCAATGGCAAAAAAGTTAAAAACTATGAAAAAAAATTAGACGAATGGATAACTAGAATAACCAATGCAGAGAAGTCCTTAAAGGAGCTGATGGAGCTGAAAGCCAAGGCTCGAGAACTACATGAAGAATGCAGAAGCCTCAGGAGCTGATGCGATCAACTGGAAGAAAGGGTATCAGTGATGGAAGACAAAATGAATGAAATGAAGTGAGAAGAGAAGTTTAGAGAAAAAAGAATAAAAAGAAATGAACAAAGCCTCCAAGAAATATGGGACTATGTGAAAAGACCAAATCTACGTCTCATTGGTGTACCTGAAAGTGACGGAGAGAATGGAACCAAGTTGGAAAACACTCTGCAGGATATTATCCAGGAGAACTTCCCCAATCCAGCAAGGCAGGCCAACATTCAGATTCAGGAAATACAGAGAATGCCACAAAGATACTCCTCGAGAAGAGCAACTCCAAGACACATAATTGTCAGATTCACCAAAGTTGAAATGAAGGAAAAAACGTTAAGGGCAGCCAGAGAGTAAGGTCGGGTTACCCACAAAGGGAAGCCCATCAAACTAACAGCGGATCTCTTGGCAGAAACTCTACAAGCCAGAAGAGAGTGGGGGCCAATATTCAACATTCTTGAAAGAATTTTCAACCCAGAATTTCATTCCAGCCAAACTAAGTTTCATAAGTGAAGGAGAAATAAAATCCTTTATAGACAAGCAAATGTTGAGGGATTTTGTCACCACCAGGCCTGCCCTAAAAGAGCTCCTGAAGGAAGCACTAAACATGGAAAGGAACAACCGGTGCCAGCCACTGCAAAAACATGCCAAAATGTAAAGACCATCAAGGCTAGGAAGAAACTGCATCAAGTAATGAGCAAAATAACCAGCTAACATCATAATTACAGGACCAAATTCACACATAACAATATTAACTTTAAATGTAAATGGGCTAAATTCTCCAATTAAAAGACACAGACTGGCAAATTGGATAAAGAGTCAAGACCCATCAGTGTGCTGTATTCAGGAAACCCACCTCACATGCAGAGACACACATAGGCTCAAAATAAAGGGATGGAGGAAGATCTACCAAGAAAATGGAAAACAAAAAAAGGCAGGGGTTGCAATCCTAGTCTCTGATAAAACAGACTTTAAACCAACAAAGATCAAAAGAGACAAAGAAGGCCATTACATAATGGTAAAGGGATCAATTCAACAAGAAGCGCTAACTATCCTAAATATATATGCACCCAATACAGGAGCACCCAGATTCATAAAGCAAGTCCTGAGTGACCTACAAAGAGACTTAGACTGCCACACAATAATAATGGGAGACTTTAACACCCCACTGTCAACATCAGACAGATCAACGAGACAGAAAGTTAACAAGGATACCCAGAAATTGAACTCAGCTCTGCACCAAGCAGACCTAATAGATATCTACAGAACTCTCCACCCCAAATCAACAGAATATACATTCTTTTCAGCACCACACCACACCTATTCCAAAATTGACCACATAGTTGGAAGTAAAGCACTCCTCAGCAAATGTAAAAGAACAGAAATTATAACAAACTGTCTCTCAGACCACAGGGCAATCAAACCAGAACTCAGGATTAAGAAACTCACTCAAAACCACTCAACTACATGGAAACTGAACAACCTGCTCCTGAGTGACTACTGGGTACATAACGAAATGAAGGCAGAAATAAAGATGTTCTTTGAAACCAACAAGAACAAAGACACAACATACCAGAATCTCTGGGACACATTCAAAGCAGTATGTAGAGGGAAATTTATGGTACTAAATGCTCACAAGAGAAAGCAGGAAAGATCCAAAATTGACACCCTAACATCACAATTAACTAGAAAAGCAAGAGCAAGCACATTCAAAAGCTAGCAGAAGGCAAGAAATAACTAAAATCAGAGCAGAACTGAAGGAAATAGAGACACAAAAAACCCTTCAAAAAATTAATGAATCCAGGAGCTGGTCTTTTGAAAAGATCAACAAAATTGAAAGACCATTAGCAAGACTAATAAAGAAGAAAAGAGAGAAGAATCAAATAGATGCAATAAAAAATGATAAAGGGGATATCACCACCAATCCCACAGAAATACAAACTACCATCAGAGAATACTACAAACACCTCTACACAAATAAACTAGAAAATCTAGAAGAAATGGATAAATTCCTCGACACATACACCCTCCCAAGACTAAACCAGGAAGAAGTTGAATCTCTGAATAGACCAATAACAGGCTCTGAAATTGTGGCAATAATCAATAGCTTACCAACCAAAAAAGATCCAGGACCAGATGGATTCACAGCCGAATTCTACCAGAGGTAAAAGGAGGAGCTGGTACCATTCCTTCTGAAACTATTCCAATCAATAGAAAAAGAGGGAATCCTCCCTAACTCATTTTTTGAGGCCAGCATCATCCTGATACCAAAGCTGGGCAGAGACACAACGAAAAAAGAGAATTTTAGACGAATATCCTTCATGAACATTGATGCAAAAATCCTCAATAAAATACTGGCAAACCGAATCCAGCAGCACATCAAAAAGCTTTTCCACCATGATCAAGTGGGCTTCATCCCTGGGATGCAAGGCTGGTTCAACATATGCAAATCAATAAATGTAATCCAGCATATAAACAGAACCAAAGACAAAAACCACATGATTATCTCAATAGATGCAGAAAAGGCCTTTGACAAAATTCAACAAAATTCATGCTAAAAACTCTCAATAAATGAGGTATTGATGGGATGTATCTCAAAATAATAAGAGCTATCTATGACAAACCCACAGCCAATATCATACTGAATGGGCAAAAACTGGAAGCATTCCCTTTGAAAACTGGCACAAGACAGGGATGCCCTCTCTCACCACTCCTGTTCAACATAGTGTTGGAAGTTCTGGCCAGGGCAATTAGGCAGGAGAAGGAAATAAAGGGTATTCAATTAGGAAAAGAGGAAGTCAAATTGTCCCTGTTTGCAGATGACATGATTGTATATCTAGAAAACCCCATTGTCTCAGCCCAAAATCTCCTTAAGCTGATAAGCAACTTCAGCAAAGTTTCAGGATACAAAATCAATGTACAAAAATCACAAGCATTCTTATACACCAATAACAGACCAACAGAGAGCCAAATTATGAGTGAACTCCCATTCACAATTGCTTCAGAGAATAAAATACCTGGGAATCCAACTTACAAGGGATGTGAAGGACCTCTTCAAGGAGAACTACAAACCACTGCTCAAGGAAATAAAAGAGGATACAAACAAATGGAAGAACATTCCATGCTCATGGGTAGGAAGAATCAATATCATGAAAATGGCCATACTGCCCAAGGTAATTTATAGATTCAATGCCATCCCCATCAAGCTACCAATGACTTTCTTCACAGAATTGGAAAAAACTACTTTAAAGTTCATATGGAACCAAAAAAGAGCCCGCATCACCAAGTCAATCCTAAGCCAAAAGAACAAAGCCGGAGGCATCACACTACCTGACTTCAAACTATACTACAAGGCTACAGTAACCAAAACAGCATGGTACTGTTACCAAAACAGAGATATAGATCAATGGAACAGAGCAGAGCCCTCAGAAATAATGCTGCCTATCTACAACTATCTGATCTTTGACAAACCTGACAAAAACAAGCAATGGGGAAAGGATTCCCTATTTAATAAATGGTGCTGGGAAAACTGGCTAGCCATATGTAGAAAGCTGAAACTGGATCCCTTCCTTACACCTTATACAAAAATTAATTCAAGATGGATTAAAGACTTACATGTTAGACCTAAAACCATAAAAACCCTAGAAGAAAACCTGGGCAATACCATTCAGGACATAGGCATGGGCAAGGACTTTATGTCTAAAACACCAAAAGCAATGGCAACAAAAGCCAAAATTGACAAATGGGATCTAATTAAACTAAAGAGCTTCTGCACAGCAAAAGAAACTACCATCAGAGTGAACAGGCAACCTACAAAATGGGAGAAAATTTTCACAACCTACTCATCTGACAAAGGGCTAATATCCAGAATCTACAATGAACTCAAACAAATTTACAAGAAAAAAACAACCCCATCAAAAAGTGGGCGAAGGATGTGAACAGACGCTTCTCAAAAGAAGACATTTATGCAGCCAAAAAACACATGAAAAAATGCTCATCATCACTGGCCATCAGAGAAATGCAAATCAAAACCACAATGAGATACCATCTCACACCAGTTAGAATGGCGATCATTAAAAAGTCAGGAAACAACAGGTGCTGGAGAGGATGTGGAGAAATAGGAACACTTTTACACTGTTGGTGGGACTGTAAACTAGTTCAACCATTGTGGAAGGCAGTGTGGCGATTCCTCAGGGATCTAGAACTAGAAATACCATTTGACCCAGCCATCCCATTACTGTGTATATACCTAAAGGATTATAAATCATGCTGCTATAAAGACACATGCACACGTATGTTTATTGCGGCACTATTCACAATAGCAAAGTCTTGGAACCAACCCAAATGTCCAACAATGATAGACTGGATTAAGAAAATGTGGCACATATACACCATGGAATACTATGCAGCCATAAAAAATGATGAGTTCATGTCCTTTGTAGGGACATGGATGAAACTGGAAACCATCATTCTCAGCAAACTATCACAAGGACAAAAAACCAAACACCACATGTTCTGACTCATAGGTGGGAATTGAACAATGAGAACATATGGACACAGGAAGGGGAACATCACACTCCGGGGAATGTTGTGGGGTGGGAGGAGGTGGGGAGGGATAGCATTAGGAGATATACCTAATGCTAAATGACGAGTTAATGGGTGCAGCACACCAACATGGCACATGTATACATATGTAACAAACCTGCACATTGTGCACATGTACCCTAAAATTTAAAGTATAATAATAATAAAATTAAAAAAATATATATATATAAACAGAAAAAAAAAAAAGAGGAGTTGGATGTTTGTTACAAAGAGCAAAGCCAGACGATTCTTGGAAGATGAAGCAGTCTAAGCAAGCAAGAAGATAAGAGAAAGGTTATATCATGTTCTGGTTGCTAAAAGGAGGGAGTGGTTAGAGATCAGCCACAAAGGAGGACAGTGCCCTGATAGGAAGTTTTGTTCTCTGTGTTAAGGTTTTTGGATTTTGTGCTAAGACTAAAGATAAACCATTCAAAACCAGTTTTAAGTATGATCTGTAAACTTTGATCTGAATCAGAATCATCTGGTAGAGATATTAAAAATACAGCTTTGGCTGGGTGTGATGGCTCCCACTGGTGATCACAGCATGTTGGGAGATCAAGGCAGGAGGATTGCTTGATGCCAGGAGTTCAAGACCAGCTTGGGTAACATGGTGGGACACCATCTCTACAAAGTAAAAATAAAAATAAAGTAAAAATTAGCCAGACTTTGGACTGCAGGAAGACTAAAGAAAAAGAAATTGTCCAGACTTAGTGGCATGTGCCTGTAGCTGTAGCCACTTGGGAGGCTTAGGCAGGAGGATTGCTTGAGCCTGGGAGTTTGAGGCTGCAGTGAGCTGTGATCATGCCATTGCACTATAGCCTATGCAACAGAGAGAGACCCTGTCTCTTAAAAAAAAAAAAAAAAAATAGAGGCCAGGCACAATGGCTCACACCTGTAATCCCAGCACTTTGGGAGGCCAGGGTGGGTGGATCACCTGATGTTAGGCATTCCAGACCAGCCTGGCCAACATTGTGAAACCTCGTCTCTACTAAAAATACCAAAATTAGCCAGGCACGGTGGCAGATGTTTGTAATCCCAGCTACTCTGGAGGCTGAGGCTGAGGCCAGAGAATCACTTGAACCCAGGAGGTAGAGGGTGCAGTGAGCTGAGATTGTGCCATTGCACTGCAGCCTGGGCGACAAGAGTGAAACTTCGTCTTAAAAAAAAAAAAAAAGCTTTCTTCACTAAAAATTCTGATTCTGTACATCTGAGTTGCTTGAATATCAATATATTTAATCTTACCAAATGGTTTTGATTCACACCTAAATTTGACAAAGTTAACCTGTTCCCTTATGCACACCACCATCTTACATAAATTCATTATTGGCACCCTTTTCCTTTTTCAGATCCCTTCCCTGAAAGTATTATATTTTATACTTAGGCCATTTGTTTAATGGATTTTGTATGCATGTATGTTATAGGAAAATAAAATAGGTTTGCCTTCTTCATTTCTTTCAGATTTGGAGTCAAAATATGGACCTGAGAAAATATCTCCAGAAAATGATATTTTTGAAATAAATTTACCCAAACATGTTATAAAGCAAATAAGTAAAACACTTGGCCTCGAGGCCTTTTATTTTAGAAATGACTCAGAATATAGAAGTAGATTTGAGGGACGACAGGGACATCAAGAAGGATATATCAACCAGAAGATCATCAGCTATGAAGAAATGCCTGCTTATACTCATGCTTCTCCTATTCATAATACACATAAACCATATGAATGTAAGGAATGTGGGAAATACTTTAGTTGTGGTTCAAATCTTATTCAGCATCAGAGTATTCATACTGGAGAGAAACCCTATAAATGCAAAGAATGTGGGAAAGCCTTTCAACTTCACATACAACTTACTCGACATCAGAAATTTCATACTGGTGAGAAAACTTTTGAATGTAAGGAATGTGGAAAAGCCTTTAATCTTCCCACCCAGCTTAATCGCCATAAGAACATTCACACAGTTAAGAAACTGTTTGAATGTAAGGAATGTGGGAAGTCTTTTAATCGTAGCTCAAACCTTACTCAGCATCAAAGTATTCATGCTGGTGTAAAACCATATCAATGTAAGGAGTGTGGGAAAGCCTTTAATCGTGGTTCAAATCTTATTCAGCATCAAAAAATTCATTCCAATGAGAAACCCTTTGTATGTAGGGAATGTGAGATGGCCTTTCGATATCATTACCAACTCATTGAACATTGCCGAATTCATACTGGCGAGAAACCCTTTGAATGTAAAGAATGCAGAAAGGCCTTTACTCTTCTGACAAAGCTTGTTCGACATCAGAAGATTCATATGGGTGAGAAGCCCTTTGAATGCAGGGAATGCGGGAAGGCCTTTAGTCTCCTCAATCAGCTTAATCGCCATAAGAATATTCACACAGGTGAAAAACCATTTGAATGTAAAGAATGTGGGAAGTCCTTTAATCGTAGTTCAAACCTTATTCAACACCAGAGTATTCATGCTGATGTAAAACCATATGAATGTAAGGAGTGTGGGAAAGGCTTTAATCGTGGTGCAAATCTTATTCAGCATCAAAAAATTCATTCCAATGAGAAACCCTTTGTATGTAGGGAATGTGAGATGGCCTTTCGATATCATTACCAACTTATTCAACATTGCCAAATTCATACTGGTGGGAAACCCTTTGAATGTAAAGAATGTGGAAAGGCCTTTAGTCTTCTGACACAGCTTGCTCGACATAAGAACATTCATACTGGTGAGAAACCATTTGAATGTAAAGACTGTGGGAAGGCCTTCAATCGTGGCTCGAACCTTGTTCAACATCAGAGTATTCACACTGGTGAGAAGCCCTATGAATGTAAGGAGTGTGGGAAGGCTTTTAGACTTCACCTACAACTTTCTCAACATGAGAAAACTCATACAGGTGAGAAACCCTTTGAATGTAAGGAATGTGGGAAATTCTTTCGTCGTGGTTCAAATCTTAATCAACATCGAAGTATTCATACCGGAAAGAAACCCTTTGAATGTAAGGAATGTGGGAAAGCCTTTCGACTTCATATGCACCTTATTCGACATCAGAAATTTCATACTGGTGAGAAGCCCTTTGAATGTAAGGAATGTGGCAAGGCCTTCAGTCTTCACACCCAGCTTAATCACCATAAGAACATTCACACAGGTGAGAAGCCATTTAAATGTAAAGAATGTGGGAAGTCCTTTAATCGTGTCTCAAACCTTGTTCAACATCAGAGTATTCATGCTGGTGTAAAACCATATGAATGTAAGGAGTGTGGGAAAGGCTTTAGTCGTGTTTCAAACCTTATTCAGCATCAGAAAACTCATTCCAGTGCGAAACCCTTTGTATGTAAGGAGTGTAGGAAGACCTTTAGATATCATTACCAGCTTACTGAACATTACCGAATTCATACTGGTGAGAAACCCTTTGAATGTAAAGAATGCGGAAAGGCCTTTGGTCTTCTGACACAGCTTGCTCAACATCAGATCATTCATACTGGTGAGAAGCCATTTAAATGTAAGGAGTGTGGGAAGGCCTTTAATCGTGGCTCAAACCTTGTTCAACCTCAGAGTATTCATACTGGTGAGAAACCCTATGAATGTAAGGAGTGTGGGAAGGCTTTTAGACTTCACCTACAACTTTCTCTGCATCAAAAACTTGTACAGGTGAGAAACCCTTTGAATGTAAGAAATGTGGGACAGCCTTCAGACATCAGTAGCAACTTACTGAACATCAGAAAATTCATACTTGGGTGAAAACCTTTGAATGTAAGGAATGTGGGAAGGCCTTTCAATATCATTACCAATTTCATGGACATTATAGATTTCATATTCGTGAGAACCCTTATGAATGTCAAGGATGTGGGAAATGCTTTACCAGTGGTAGAAACCTTAGAGTACATCAGAGAATTCATACTGGTGAGAAACCATATCAATGTGAAGAATGTGGGAAAGCCTTTAGTCATAGTTCAAACCTGTTAAACATGTTAAAATTCATACTGATGAGAAACCCTATGAATGTAAGGAATGTGAAAAGGCCTTTAGCAGTAATTATGATCTTACTGTACATCTGAGAATCCGTACTGCTGAGAAACCCTGTGAGTGTAAAGAATGTGGAAAACTTTTGGATTTAGCTTAGTCTTTACTGCACATCAAAGAATTCATACTGGTATGAACCGTATGAATGTAAAGAATGTGGAAAGACCTTTACTTGTAGCTCGAGCCTTGTTCAACATGTTAAAATTCATACTGGTGAGCAACCCTGTGAATGTAAAGGATGTGGGAAGACCTTTAGACTTAGTTCAGTCCTTTCTGCACATCACAGAATTCATACTGGCATGAAACCCTATGAATGTAAAGAATGTGAGCAAACCCTTACTGTGAATGATCTGCTTACGCAACATCAGAAAATTCATTATAGTTAGAAGTTTTATGAATATAAGGAGTGTAGACAAGCCTTCACTGTGTATGAAAAATTTACTCAACACCAGAGAATTCATATTGATGAGAAATCCTGTGAACATAAAAGAATGTGTGAAGAACTTTCATCGTGGCCTGGGATTTGCTCAACATCAGAGTATTCATACTGCTGAGAACTCCTTTGAGTGTAAAGAATGTGGGATATTTTATAGCCACACTAAATGCCTTAGAGTTCAGAGAAGATAATTTTGGTGAGAAAGTTACTGATGTGAGGAATGTAGAGTAGCTGCCATGTTCACAGTTTACTGCCCGTGAAATATTTTACTGGATACAGGCGTACCTTGCTTAATTGTGCATTGCAGTTACTGCATTTTATACACACTGAAGGTTTGCAGCAACCTTGCAGTGAATAAGTCTATCAGCACCATTTTCCAAACAGCATATGCACATTTCATGTCTTTGTGTCACACTTTGCTAGTTTTCATAATATTTCAAACTTTTTCATTGTTAAATCTGTTATGGTGATCTGTGACCAGTGTTTTTTGATTACTAGTGTAATTGTTACTAGTGTAATTGTTTGGGGATACCACAAATCCTGCCCATAAAAGATGGTGAACCTAGTTGATAATTGTTGTGGGTTTTGAAAGAATAGTAAAATATATACACATATCCCCCCCACCTAGATTCAAAATTGTTAACAATTTGCCACATTTATTTTTTGTATATTTGTTGTACCATTGAGAATAAGTTTTAGACCATTGAGAATAAGTTTTAGATATCATGACACTTTACTCCTTGTTACATCAGCATGTGTGTTACCCAAACATAAAGACAATATCATATAACCATAGTACCATAATTACCCTTAAGGAAAATATTCATAATTCTGTAATATCATTCCATCTTCAGATTTCTTCCTTGGCCTGCAAACCATCTTTTACAGCTATTCATTTTCTCTTTTTTTTTTTTTTTTTTTGAGATGGAGTCTCGCTCTGTCGCCCAGACTGGAGTGCAGTGGTGCGATCTGGGCTCACTGCAAGCTCTGCCTCCTGGGTTCACGCCATTCTCCCGCCTCAGCCTCCTGAGTAGCTGGGACTAGAGGCACCCGCCACCATGCCCAGCTAATTTTTTGTATTTTTAGTAGAGACAGGGTTTCACTCTGTTAGCCAGGATGGTCTCGATCTCCTGACCTCGTGATCCACCCGCCTTGGCCTCCCAAAGTGCTGGGATTACAGGCATGAGCCAGCATGCCTGGCCTACAGCTATTCATTTTCTAAGGAGAGTCCATTGCAGATTCTGCATTGCATTTGGTTATCTCTCTTTAGTGTATTGTAGCATGGAAACCCCATGAAAGTATGCTCTCAAATTATGGTGGGTATCAGAATCCCCTGTGGAACTTAGTAAACCTACAGAAGTGTAGCCCTAGTTTATAAGCCTGGGCCTCTGTTTTTTATTATTTCTCCAGGTTTTGTGTCTGTGATACCAACCAGAGTTAGAGAGCCACTGGTCTAGAACATTTCTCATTTTAAAAAAATGACATTGAATTTTGAGTAGCCCAGAAATGTTGTTGGCTATGTGTTTAGATTTCTTTCTTTATAGTGTCATTTAGCCTTGTTCTTGGTTGTATTTTCTTTACAAGGGAAAGTAAGTCCAGAGGCTTTCTTAGGTCTAGATTAAACGTTTTGGGGAAGAATACTTTGTAGGTTATTTCTATGTCATATTGTACTGTCAGAAAACATTTAAGTACAGGTCCTTGCATTAGTGAAACTAAGGATGATCATTTGGGTAAGCTGGTAACCGCCGTAAGTCCATTGTAAAGATTTAGTTTGTAGTGGGTAAGTAATCTATGGAGAGACGTTGTCATCTCTGAAAAGTTATAGTCACGTGTACTTAAGCCCTGGATTGAATACAAAATGAAAATTGAAATAGACTATTGAGAAATGAATGCCATTAAAGCGTCAACATAATTCAACTTGTGTGATATGGCTGACACTGTACTCAGTACAAAACTGGCACCCTTTGGATTGTATAGGGAGCCAAGATTGTCCGGAACCTCTTTTTTGTTCAGCATTTATCACCAGCACCTATACCATGGCTGGTACATGAGCTGTTGATAAAAATTTGAAAAAATATTAACCCTTTAAATCAAGCTGTAAAACATGATACCATTAAGCCGGGAGCAGTGGCCTCATGCCTGTAATCCCAGCACTTTGGGAGGCCAAGGTGGGCAGATCACCTGAGGTCAGGAGTTTGAGACCAACTTGGCCAACATGGCAAAACTCCATCTCTCCTAAAAATAAAAAAATTAGCTGGACATGGTGGTGCATTCCTGTAATCCCAGCTACTTGGGAGGCTGAGGCAGGAGAATCACTCGAAATTGGAAGGTGGAGGTGGCAGTGAGCCAAGATCGTGCCACTGCACTCCAGCCTGGGCGACAAAGTGAGACTTCATCTCAAAAAAACCCCAAAACAAAACATGATACCGATGTGGCATCATGAATTAGATTAAATTTTTTTTAAGATTAAGAATAATCCTTTGTGATTTTATTCCATTGTGTTGAAAAATCTATAAAGTGATAATTTATATTGATAGCTTTCTTCTTTTTATGAATATACCCTGGTCAGATGATTATTCTTTCAATAGACTACTTAATTCTATCTTTTACCATTTAATTGCATCTATAATCATAAGTAAAGTTATAATTTTCCAAGTATTTTTCAGGTATTGATATTGCAATGATGTTATACAACTTATAAAACAAGATTATATAAAACTTGGCTTTCAAATCTTATGTTCCTATTTTTTATTTCCAGTTTCATCTTTTTTCTATCCATTCTCTTGAACTTTCTTCTTTGAAATCAGCAGAGTCCCTGGGTATTAACCTAGCACAACTCCTTTCTGGGTCATTGCACATCCCGGTAGTATCATTAAGAGTTGTCAGAAAGATCCCTGGCAGCCTTTCGGTGAAACTCTATCATCATGCAATCATGGCAGTACTATGTTGGAAGTCAGAGTCCCTTTGCAAACATAATAAAACACTTTAATATATTTGTTAAAGTTACAAACCAAGTATGTACAAATTTAAAAATCACGGCCAGGCACGGTGGCTCACGCCTGTAATCCCCAACTTAAAATGGTTTGACTTATAATTTTCAGCTTTATAATAGTACAAAAGTGATATGCTGCTATAGTTTGGATATTTATCCCCTCCAAATCTCATATTGAAGTTTGATCCCAATGTTGGAGGTGGGGCCTAATGGGAGGTGTGTGGGTCATGGGAGAAGATCCCTCATGAATAAATTAATGTCCTCTCTGGATTGGGGGGTGAATTATCACTCTGTTAGTTCCTATGAGAGCTGGTTGTACAAAAGAGCCTGGCACCTCCTTCCTCACCCTCTTGCTTCCTCTCTTGCCATGTGATGTCTGCATACACTGCCCCCTTTCATCTGCCATGAGTGGAAGCAGCCTGAGGCCCTTACCAGAAGCAGATGTTGCACCATGATTCTTGTAAATCCTACAGAACACTGAGCCAAATAAACCTCTTTCTTTATTAATAACCCAACCTCAGACATTCCTTTATAGCAACACAAAACTAAGACATACTCAGTCAGAGTATGCTCCTTGACTTAAAATGGGGCTATATCTAGATAAACCCATTGTTAAATTGAAAATATTGTAGACCATAAATGCACATATGGTGTATGATGTTTTCAATTTATGATGGGTTTATTTGGACATAACTCCCCGTAAGTTGAGAAGCACCTGTAGTAATTATTATTATTTATGCTCAAATTGACATAATGTGGCCAGTAGGAATCCATTTACATTTTTTTTTTACTACTTATTTTTTTCTTTTGATGTTTTAAAGGAATATTGTTTTCAGGCCGTAAGAGGATGTTTAAGACTGACCCTGTTTGTTGGTTCATGTCCCCCATGCCTCTTGTCCTGAGTCATGGAATCAACTCATGATTTAATACCCTCTTATCTTAGGGAGTCCTGGTTCCTTTTAGAGGAAAAAAGAATTAGAGACCAAAAAATCTGGCTGCTGTGAGTGCACATGGCAGTTACAGGTATGGAAAAAAAGATGCTGCTTTTGTTAGAATTCTTTTAATAGTTTCAGAGTTGAAAATGTCATCCTAAGGTCAGAAGTTCCCTCTGAATTTTCTCAACTTACATTTCTATGATCTGCTCTTGTTTGCATTTGGTATTTTATTGAATTATGTTTTATGTATGGTGATAGCTGAGAAGTTTATCTCCTTTTAAGGCCTGGCTGAAATGATACATTAATCTGCCTCCCATTTTTGGAGATATTGCTCTGATTTAAATTTGTCATGGTGTTTCTGAGCAGCGTTGTAAAGAAACTTGTTTTAGAATATTCAGTCATGGATGTTATCTTGAATGTTCATAGACTCCCCAGAAAAGAAGAAAAAGTAGACACAAGATTTCTGTCATCCTTTTACAGGGTATTGTGATCATCCAGCTTGGGGTATGAGGGATAACGGACCTGTGTGTCTTAATTTCCAGAATACCATTCCATTTCAATGAGTCTTCTGCACAAGTTGTGGTCTCAGGGATTCACTGTCTTCATTTGTAATTGATCAAAATGAAACCATCTCCAGGATTCCTCAGTGGGTCAGGATCTGTTATTTATTAGGCCCGCATATCCATTCTACCCTGCTTTCATGATTATAGAACCAGTAATTTTTATTGATAGTTGGCTGTGACTATCTAGAATAAGGACTGCAGTTATTTCTCCAAGGTGTTGTCATGTGACATAACTTATGGCAAGTAGGATGTAAGTGAATATTTTGGCAATTCTGGAAACCTCTTAAAACAAACTAGCTTAATATATTAATATTTGAGAAATCTGGGTGAAGGGTAACCAGAATTATTTACTATTCTTCCAAGTTCTGTATAAGTCTGAGTGCTCATTCCATTCTGATGCCAGAATGGTAAAATTCATGATTGGTTTAGAGCAAGGCCACAGTATCAGGCTTACATCCATATTATATGACAGAGAAATTAACTTTTATTATATTTTATCCACTTTAATTTGGGGCAGTTTTACTATTTTACTCACAACCAAATTTAATCTTAAACGCTACAACTAGATTGTCACATGTAAAAAGTAATAACCATCATTATATCTTTTATGTTCTGTAATTCCAAAGCACGGATCTGTAGAGAACAGAGTGTCTATCCCATGCATGTTGTCATGTACTTATCCCACACCCTATTGAAATCACAGTACCCATAAGGGAGACATTTTTTTTCTTCAAGAATATGTATTTCTGCCACATCTATGATTCTCCAGAATGAGATGACAGAAAATGCTAAACTATTGTTAAATGACTATATGTAGTTCCACTTCTGGATGGTAGATGGGGGGGCTCTGCAAACTCATTTTCTAATAAAACTGGCAAAAAAAAATGTATAAAAACCTTGCCATTTGAGGTCTGAAAGTGTCCAAACAGTATATAGGAAGTGAAATATCAAGAAATTCTACTAAAACTTGGTAAGAACCAAGAACTTGGTAAGAGAATTTGTGGCATTTAAGACACAACTCCCTTTTACTCTTCACAGCTCAATTTGATAGAAGCTTCTCTGTGGGTGGATGCTGCCAAGATGATGGGGCTGCAGCTGTCAATCAAGGTTTGTCATATATCAACAGGAGGGGCATGCCTCCAGGGTTTCTTATCCCCACCAGCTCTTGGTTAAAGTGGCTAAATTCCTGGTGAACGCAACTAGGAGGTTTGGGGCTCCTTTGCTTCCCCCAGCCCCACCCAGAGTTTGGAAACTCTACCCAGGCAGAGTGAACTCATTTGCACCCAGATTGCCCTTGCCTCCACTTGCTTCTAAGGCAGAGGTTTCATAACATAAAAAACAAGATGGCTACAACCCAGCCCATTACCCAGAATGGTGGTTCAGAGATTTTGTCCAGAGGGAGTGGCAGTCCATAAGAATAGAGCTCTGAAGCTCTCTCCAAAGGAATGGACTTTATCTGAAACAGTGTCAAACAAATAGCTCCCCTAAAGTAAACACAACAACATAAACCATAGGCCAGGTAGTTAATCAGATAATTCCATGGGAAGAGACAGCTAAGGAGCCCTCCAAAGGTCAAAAGAAACCTTAAAAACTGGCCTCAAAAATTAGCCCTGCCTGACTTAAATTATATTAAACTGCTTAATAATTTAGGCTCCAAGGAAATGTTGAAAACAATGGAGTGACCAGATAGACGGCAGCGGAGCTTAGTGGGCTGGAAATAATACCAAGGGGGCAGTTATCTTAACAGAGAGATAGGGAAAGATAGTCAAAAAGACTCCTGTTTAAAACCATTGTCACAGCAGGGTAACTGCATATGTTTAAGGCTGAGGAACAACACAAAATACTTCACACTGCAAGGGGAAAGGGAAATCGATTTTACTAAAATAGCTTAGCCAAAACACAAAATACATAGCCAAGCAAACAACAACAAGAACAAGCTCTGGAGAGGGGACAGGCAAATCACTACAGTATGTTTCCTAATATGTCTACTTATTAGGAAAATAATAAAAAGTAAATTAAGACATGCAAACAAATGGGAAAGTTGGACCTATACACAGGAGAACAGCAAGCAGGCCAGGTGCAGTGGGTCACACCTGTAATCCCAGCACTTTTGGAGACCAAGGTTGGCAGATCACTTGAGCTCAGGAGTTTTGAGACCAGCCTGGACTACATGATGAAATCCCATCTCTACTAAAAATACAAAAATTAGGCAGGCATGGTAGCACATGCCTATAACTAGGCTAAGACACGAGAATCGCTTGAATTCAGGAGGGAGAGGTTGCAGTGAGCCAAGATCACACCACTACACTCCAGCCTGGGCAACAGAGCAAGACTCTTAAAAAAAAACAAAACAAAACAACAACAACAACAAAAAAAAACGGCAACAGGTTGGCCTATGACAGGGAACAGATGTCATATTTAATAGACAAAAACTTCGATGTAGCCATTATATATTCACAGCAGTAAAGGAAAATATAAAGATAACGTCTCATCAAATAAAGAAAATCAATAAGGAGAAATGACAAAATGAACCAAATGTAAGTTCTGGAGTTGAAGACTACAGTAACCAAAATAAAAAATTCATTAGAAGGGCTAAACAAATTTGATCAGCAAGTAAATAGAAAACTTTCAAACAGATCAATGGAAATTATGCAACCTCAATTCCATCTTCCCACTAGAAAAAAGAATAAGAAAATAAAATGAAATAGAATGAGAAAATAGAACAAAGAAAATATGAACAGAGCCTTGAAGAACAAGAAAATATGAACAGAGCACTTTTAAGTGCATGAACATACATGTAATGAGAATACCAGAAGGAAAGGAGAAAGAGAAATGAGCACAAAAATATTCAAAGAAATAATGGCAAAATACATCCACAATTTGTTGAATAAACATTAATCAATACCCACAAGCATCTCAACAAACTGTAATCAGAATGAATGCGAAGATATCCATGAACAGACCTATCATAGTAGAAATGCTAAAAGTGAAAGAAAATGTTGAAAAATATAAGAGAAAAATGATGTGTCGCTTACAATGGAACACCAATCGATTGACAGCTGACTTCTTATCCAAAGCAATGGAGGGGATGAAGGTAGTGGGATGATATATTCAAAGTACTCAAACGACAAAAGCTCTGTCAAGCAGTAACACACTGTCTTTCAAAAATGAAGGTGAAATAAAGCCCTTCCCAGACCTACCACATAAGAAATTGTAAAGGTTATTCAAACAAAGCAAGTAAATCTACATGGAAATTCAAAACCACATTTTTAAAAAGAACAAAATTAATATAATTAAAATTACAAAAAGCAGCACAAATGCACATTTCTTTTTACTTCTCTTAATAAATTTAAAAGGCAGTTGTATAATACAGTATGTACATAATTATATTGTTGGGCCTATAACATGGAAATGTAATATATTTGACAATAACAGCATAAAGGAAGTAAATGACAGCAGAGTTGTATTGGAGTAAGGAAATGATACATGATAGTAACTAGAATTCATAGGAACAAAAAAAGAAACAGAAATAGGTGGCCAGGGGTCGCAAGCTGGTGGAGGACCTGCCCATGGAGGAGCCCAGGGAGTCAGTGCTTCTTCCCTCCCTCCCCCACTCCCCTCCCCACTCCCCCCCACCTCCCCAAGAATGTTCCACTATGAGTCTTGGGAGGATTGTCTTCTGGATGAAGATGAAGATGAATTTCAGGGACTGAGAGAAGAAGATGAAGAGATTGATCAATTCAATGATGATATTTTTGGGTCAGGTGCAGTTGATGATGATTGGCAGGAAGCACATGAGTGCCTGGCTGAATTGGAAGAAAAGCTACCAGTGGCAGTTAATGAACAAACAGGCAATGGAGAAAGGGAAGAAATGGACTTGTTGGGTGACCATGAGGAAAATCTGGCAGAAAGGCTCAGTAAGATGGTGATTGAAAATGAACTAGAAGATCCAGCTATCATGAGGGCAGTGCAGACCAGGCCAGTTTTATAACCCCAACCAGGAAATCTGAATTCCAGTATCTGGGATGGATCCAAAGTTATGAGGCAAATCTGAGGACCACTGCTCACTTAGGAAATGTCTACAGTGTCTGTATTAGAATATGCCTTGCCTCAGAGGCCCCCCAGGGTCCAGAAAATGATTGGGACCTTTCTGAACATGCATTACCAAGGTGGTCAACTTCACCTGTCATTGGCAGTCCTCCTGTTAGAGCTGTCCCCATAGGCACCCCACCTAAGCAGATGGCCGTACCCAGCTTTACCCAACAGAGCCTGTGCAGTCCTATTCCATAGACTTTCCTCCGCCTGAAACCAGCAACTGAAAACGAAAGCCAATTTGGAAGATTCTGCGTTCAAAGCCTGTCCATGTTCGGCCCCCAATGCCACCGTGTTATCCTGGTCCCTATGATGAGAGGATGCCTCCAAATCAGCTCTACAGTGTCCTGAACTCTTCCCTCCTGGGTCACCCTTTTCCTCCTAGTGTTCCTCCTGTTCTCAGCCCCTTTCAGAGAGCACAGCTTCTTGGAGGAGCACAGCTACAGCCTGGACAGATGTCTCCCAGCCAGTTTGCATGGGTCCCTGGATTTGTTGGTAGTCTGCATGCTGCTATGAATCCCAAGTTGCTACAAGGGCAAGTTGGGCAGATGCTTCCCCCAGCACCAGGCTTCCATGCCTTCTTTAGTGCTCCACCCTCCGCTACACCACCTCCACAGCAGCGCCCTCCTGGCCCAGGACCTCACTTGCAAAACTTAAGATCTCAAGTCCCAGTGTTTAGACTGGACGCAACTCCCCTCCATCCACAGCACCATTGACTCTTGCATCAGAGACAGCAACAGAATAGAAATCAGCATCAGAATCTCAGTGGTGCAGGAGATAGAGGAAGTCACTGGAGCAGTCATCAAGATCATCTCCGAAAGGATCCATATGCCAATCTCATGTTGCTGTGGGAAAAGGATTGGGCCTCTAAAATTCAGATGATGCAACTGCAAAGCAATGGTCCCCACCTGGATGATTTTTATTACCAGAATTACTTTGAAAAACTGGAGAAACCATCAGCTGCTGAAGAAATACGAGGTGATGGCCCTAAAAAGGAGCATAACAAGCTTATTACCCCTCAAGTGGCCAAACTGGAGCGCACCTATAAGCCAGTACAATTTGTGGGCTCTTTGGGAAAGCTTACTGTTTCTAGTGTGAATAATCCCTGAAAAATGATTGATGCTGTTGTGACATCTTGGAGTGAGGATGATGAGATAAAAGAAAAACAAATTCGAGACAAGAGGAGAAAAACCCGTCATAATTAAGAAAACCTACAGTTTACTCCTTGATGTGGAGGACTATGAAAGACATTATCTCCTAAGTCTAAGACAGCGACCTGCTCTAATGGATGAGCGAAAGTACGGAATTTGTAGCATGTATGACAACTTAAGAGGGAAACAGCCTGGACAAGAGAGGCCTAGTGATGACCGCTTTGTACAGATCATGTGTATCCAAAAAGGGAAGACAGTGGTTGCCCGTATTCTTCCTTTCCTCTCCACAGAGCAAGCAGCTGACATTTTCATGACAACAGCCAGGGACCTCCCTTTCCTTATCAAGAAAGATGCACAAGATGAGGTGCTGCCATGCTTACTGAGTCCCTTCTCTCTCCTCCTCTATCATCTTCCAACAGTGACTATCACCAGCCTTTTGCAACAGCTAATGAACCTACCTCAAAGTGCAGCTACACCAGCTCCCTCCAATCCTCACTTCACTGCTGTGCTCCAGAACAAATTCTGACTGGATTCCACTGAATCCCTAGATCAATTTGAGAAATGACTTCTAAACATTGGGTCTTCTCATCTGTAATTATGGAAGATGTTTCAATTTATTAAGGCCTTCCCTAGCTTCTCTCAACAAAATTGTGTAATTTTTAGGTAGTAGTCTTGCATGTGTTTTGTTAAATATATTCCTAAGTATTTTATGTTCTTTATCAATGAAAATTTTTTTGATTTCATTTTCAATTGTTTGCTATGATAGAAAAATTCAATATTTTTGGTATATTGTCCTTGAAACTACCACTAAAAATCCTTTCCGCAAAGAAAGGTTGACTCAGATGACTTCAATGGCAAATTGCCCCAAGATTTGTCAAAAAACCAAAAAGAATATCTAGGGAAAATAAACAGCTAACATAGAACTTTATGATAAATTATTGACTGCTTTTTCACTAAAGTCAGACTCAAGGTAAGGATGTCTGCTCTGATAATTTTTTTTTTTAAGACAGCGTCTTGCTCTGTTGCCCAGGCTGGAGTGCAGTGGCACGATCTTGGCTCACTGTAACCTCCACCTCCAGGGTTCAAGTGATTCTCCTGCCTCAGCCTCCCGAGTAGCTGGGATCACAGGTGCACCACCACACCCAGCTAATTTTTGTATTTTTAGTAGAGATGGGGTTTCGCCATGTTGGCCAGGTTTGTCTCGAACTCCTGACCTCAGGTGATCCAACTGCCTCAGACTCCCAAAGTGTTGGGATAACAGGCGTGAGCCACTGCGCCCAGCCTTGCTTTGAACATTTCCATTCAACACTCTACAGAATGCCCTAGCCTGTGCAGTATGGCAAATAAAGGAAATATAAATTAAAAGGAACTGTCTTGACAGATGTCCTGATTGCGTTTATAGAAAATTCTAAGTAATTTATAAAAAATAAACCCTGCTAGGCCAGGCGCGGTGGCTCACGCCTGTAATCTCAGCACTTTGGGAGGCTGAGGCGGGTGGGTCACGAGGTCAGGAGATCGAGATCATCCTGGCTAACACAGTGAAACCCCGTCTCCACTAAAAATACAAAAAATTAGCCAGGCGTGGTGGCACGTGCCTGTAGTCCCAGCTACTCGGGAGGCTGAGGCAGGAGAATGGCGTGAACCCGGGAGGCGGAGCTTGCAGTGAGCCGAGATTGCGCCACTGCACTCCAGCCTGGGCGACAGACCAAGACTCCGTCTCAAAAAAAAAAAACAAAAAACCCTGCTAAAGCTAAGTGAATTTAGCAAATCATAAAATGTAATATCAAGATACAAAAATGTAAATACTTTAAGGACAAATTGTTTCTAGGTGTTAAAGAACAGATCATTACAACTCTAAAATCTTATCAATAAAATAAAAAGAAACTATAATACTGCCTTGACTATAGATGAAAAAGTTCTAATTAAAATATCACCAAATGGACTCTAGCAGTATGACAAAAATTGTAGCATATTACAAGAAATGTTTAAAATTTAATAAAGTCATAAGTACAAATCAATACATCAATAAATTTAAGGAGAAAAACATAAAATTAAAATAGATAACAAAATGGCCTTGGAAAAAATTCAGCAGTTTTTAAATTAACAATCACTACAAAAGTAGGCATCCTCCCTCTACCCCTACATATATTGAAGGAAATTTAAAGTCAGCAGAGAATTTATCCCCAAATGAAGAGTGAATATTATAGTAAATGATTAAATGTAGGTTCTTGAGGAAACATAGGACCAAAGAAAAAAATGTTGGGAAATATTCCATTAAATTTGGAAACAAAAGATACCTACTACCATAATATTCAACTGTGTTCTGAAGATTCTAGCTATTGCAATAAGAAAAATAAATATAAATACTGGAAAATAAAATTTTATTTGTGTAATCTGCAAAGATTACATAACTGATAACCTATAAATCTTAAAATGTCTCATAAAGATAGAATGCATGGTCAGACTATATGCATGTGGTGGAAAATACTGCATCAACATAGCAAAGTATCCAGAATGACATTCAAGTCAATTAGAGGGAAGAAAAAAACAAGACAAAAATAATGGAGAAAGCCAAGAATATGAAAGTCAAAGTAAAGGAATGATGATAGGCCAAGAAATACATTTGAAAAATGGCTTAAGTCAAAATTTAGGAATACATACAAAAACATACCTAAACTGAAGCTATAGCACTCAATTTACCAGTTCTCAGGAGTCTAAGAGAACAATTTGGAAATATCTAGTAGGGTATACAGAACCCATGGTTGATTTAGTATTATCTAACATAACTGAAAGAGTGTATGATGTATGAGCAATTGTACTTCCATGTATATACAGCTACTGAAATTCCAATTCACATAAACCAATGATCACAGACAAGGATATTTATTGAAGTATATTTGAAATAGTGAAAACCTGTTAAAACATAAATACCAATGAAAGTTTAAATTCATTATAGTACGTTCAAATAAAAAATTGAGCCATCCTCATTAGTATAGTAGTGAGTATATAAAAACTAAACTGGGCCAGCAATTTATTGCAGAGGAATATGTGAGCAGCAGAGCAATATACAATTCACTTCCTTTCCCAGCATAGCTAAGCATCTGCCATTAGATCTGAATATTCTATCTTTAGGGTCACTCTTTTTTGGTTATGGCATTTCCAGTGTGGGCTCACATCCAAAATATTAGATATTCTGAATGAGACTTCCTTAGTAAAGTTTATCATGCACTAGATAAAATTAAGCAAATTTTCTTTACTGAAAGACTCAAATCTTTTGATTGATAGCCTGATAATAAGCACTTTTTTAAAAAAGGGATTTAGTATTCAAAACTTCACAAGGCTGTGTGCCCACAAACCAATTCTCAAGTTGCCATTAAGTACTACTGTTCCCAGAGATGTTCTTTTAGATATGTTGTGTTAAGGCACTGGTACTTTGGAGGAACAATCCACTGATACATTAACAATATTTTGCATTAATATACGTCTCAAAATACTCTGCTTTTTGTTACATCCAATTATTGTTATTTGTAAAAATAATTTGCAAATGTTGAGCAATGATATAATTAGATAGTAAATGACTTGTACAATGATATATTATGGCTGTCTTATTTGCATAAAATGGACCTGGAGTTGCAAATCATAATGGATCCATGAGATCACAGACATTTTGGTTGACAATGGACATTAGTCCAAGTTGAGGAAAGTGGTAGTATGGTAGTCTTAAAGAAATGAGTTACAATTATTTTTAAGGAAGAATTGAATTTCAACTGTATATATTCACGCAAACCCCTACATGCCATTAAATCTATATATTTTGGTGCAGATGCTTTTGTATTCTTACCGGGAAGGCTTTTCACAAAACTGCTTGATGACTGCCACCTGGTTGGAAGTATTGTCAGATGCCATAAATTGTAAGATACACCTTGATTTCAAATATGTGAAAAATTGTGCTCAGTGTTAAGCATTGAGGAAATTATCATATCCAATCTAAGCCACAATTTGGCCATTTAAAGCTAAGAAAAACTGAGAACATGGATCTTGAAGATACTTGGACTGGATCAGCTCTTCCTTTCCCATCATTAATTTGGAAAACTAGAACAGATCTATCCCTGGACAGTCCAAGTAAACAAATTATTTTGCTTAATTGCTTTACTAGGTTTTTGAATGAATGTGCTGATGGTTTAGAATTTCTGCTTTCTTCGTAATGACTCACCTACATTTTTGCCTTTTAAGAACTATCCTCATCTGTTGTATTATCAGGATTATAATATCAGTGTAGAAAGAGCTAGTGAAATTTTGATATTACTTCCTCCTTGAAATTTTCAATAAAACAAAAAATATCTCCTCCATCTGTACTTACATCCAATTCTCATTCACAATGCTGTAATTATCTTTTTCCTTTGATTAGCTATACTAAAATCAAGTATTAATATTTTTTCACAAAGCCTTAATAAGTCTATTTTATTTTCAAATTCATTAACTCCTTTTAATGATCCTCCCTTCTTTCTTATATTGACTTATTTTTCCCTTAGTTTCTTGAGTTTAATGCTTCTTCATTCTTTTAACAGTTTTATAAGTGATTACTATGTTAAAGAGACAGTATTAAGTCACTGGGAGTAGAGTGGTGAGCAGGAGAAACAAAGTGCTGGCCCTCAATATTTGTTTCCTGAATATATTAACAGGTTACTGATTTTTCACTGAGCACAGGTTTGGCCACATTCACAAATTCTGATCTTACCATTCATTTCTAAATTGTCCTTTATGGTTTCATTTTCTTTTTGATCTAGTGTCATTATATTATTGGAGATTTTAAATTTCCGAAATGCCAAAGTACTACTCTACAGATCGTTTACTAAATTAAAAGAAATATTTAGCTCTACAACAGAGAAACCTGGTGATTACCATATGAAGCAAGTATTTCAGTTACCTATCGCTGTGTGGCAAACTACTCCAAAACTTAGTGGCTTAAAACAGGCCATATTTTAAACGTAAATCTGCAATTTGGGCAGGCTCATGGGGGAAAGCTTTTCTCTGCTCCACTTAGCACCAGCTAGGATAGCCTGAAGGCTAAGGGTTAGAATCATCTGAAGGCTCATACCCTCATACACTTGGTGCTGGATCCCGGCTGTTACCTCAATTACAGCTGTAATCAGGACAGCTTTACTTAGCTTTTCTATGTGATTACTTGGCATCTTCATAGCATGGTGGCTGGGCTTCATCCCAAGTGGGTCAGGCAGAAGCTGTATTGCCTTTTATGACTTAGTCGTGGAAATCACAGTGTTATTCCTGCCATAAACACAGGCCCACCTGGCCAGATTCAAAAGGAAGGACCATGAGCTCTACCTCTTGGGGAGTGTTGGTATCACATTGTAAGATGAACATGCAGAATGGGATATATTGGTGTGGCCATCTTTGGAATGTATGTTCTGCTACACCAAGTGAATGAACTAAGGATACCATAGTGGTATAATGACATTGTATGCCACCTAATGGGTTACAAATTGAAATACAAAATTTCTCCCATTAAGTATTCTTGCCAAAATATTTAATCTGTCCCTAATTGGGTCTCTAATCCCAAATTCCAGTTAATGGGAAATACTGGGGATAAAAAAGCACATTTAAAAATACTTTGGGAAGGCCGGGTGCGGTGGCTCATGCCTGTAATCCCAGCACTTTGGGAGGCTGAGGCGGGCAGATCACCAGGTCAGGAGATCGAGACCGTCCTGGCTAACATGGTGAAACCCCGTCTCTACTAAAAATACAAAAAATTAGCCGGGCATGGTTGAAGGCGCCTGTAGTCCCAGCTACTGGGGAGGCTGAGGCAGAATTGCCTGAACCCGGGAGGCGGAGCTTGCAGTGAGCCAAGATCGCACCACTGCACTCCAGCCTGGGCGACAGAGACTCCATCTCAAAAAAAAAAAAAAAAAAAAAAAAAAAAAGTCAATGTTGCAATAAAGTTGTGGGGGGAAGGGCCATTCTTACTTTAAAAGAGACGAACAATGCACAAATGTAATTCATGAATTTGGTTCCTGAATTTAAAAATAACCTATGAAAAGCATTGTTTACACAAATGAAAAGAATGAACACAACTGAGAATATGAACACAGACTGAATATTACAGATTATGGAATTATTGCTAATCTCCTTAGGTGTGAAGTTACTGGGGGTCAAATCTTTTGGCTTCCCTGGGTTACACTGGAAGAAGAATTATCTTGGGCTACACATAAAATGTGCTAACAATGGCGGATGAGCTTAAAAAAAATCACAAAAAAAATCTCATGTTTTAAGACAGCTTACAAATTTCTGTTGGACTGCATTCAAAGCTGCCCTGGGGCACAGACAGGTTGGACAATTGTTATATAGCAATTAAGTAGGAGGCAGCCTTTATTCTTAGATGTGATGTGTTATAGTATCTGCAATTTATACTCAAATACTACAGCAAAATATGTAAATATTATGTATAAGCAAACCAAATGTGACAACATATTAACAATTGCTGAATCTAGATAGAACATAACTGTTCATTATTCTTTTAAGTTTTCCAAATGGATAGTGGCTGTTTTTAATTTATCATTGTGGGCAGAAAAAGCGACTGACATACCTGCTTTTTGGGTTATAAAAAGAAAAAAGCATTACAGCTATCCCTGAGTCTTCAAAACTTTACTCTCATAATCTTCACACCCATCAAATCTAGAGATTTCTTTCTCACATTAATTTTCAGAGATAGGTTCTGACTTTATAAATGGAAGTTTAATCTATTTTACTGGATATTATCTCCAGTTAATTATTCCAATCTAAATAAGGAGTGAAAGGTAATGGACAGTTTTTACAAATTTCTTACACCCACAGGGCCTTCCTCTCACATGAATGTACTAAATGTATCCCCAATGAAAAAAATAAAGCAATATTTATTGATAAAATGCTGTGTGCCAAATACTCTTTTAAAGGTTTTATCTTTTATTAGCATTTCATCCTCACAAAAATACTATTAGGTGGTACTGTTATTACCATTTTAAAAACCAAGGCACAGGGGCATGTTTTGCCAAACACCACATAGGCAGAGGTGGAATTATGAGAATTATATTATTTATATATATCATAAAGATAGGCCAAGGCTGGTCTTTCCCATGTTCATTACATTAACAGAATCATTTTCCGTTACAGTGCTATATAAAGTGTGGTCCATGTGTTGACACTGGCCCACAAATTGTTTGCTTCTGGTCTCTGCAAAAGTTATAGATACCAAGAGCAAGTATTTAGAAATGTTTGCAGCAATCTGACAGAGTTAACTCAGTTAAATACCATAATAAAAAACTGGGGCTTTTATTTTGTATGTCTGTTTTTTTCTTTTCATTTTTCTGGTAATCTATTTATTTATTTATTTAAGAGACAGAGTCTTGCTCTGTTGCCCAAGCTAGAGTGCAGTGGTGCGATCTCAGCTCACTGCAACCTCTGCCACTTAGGTTCATGCAATTTTCCTGCCTCAGCCTCCTGAGTAGCTGGGATTACAGGCACCCCCCACAATGCCTAGCTAATTTGTGTATTTTAGTAGAGAAGGGGTTTCACCATGTTGGCCAGGCTGGTCTTGAACTCCTGACCTCAGGTGATCTGCTCACCTGGGCCTCCCATAGTGCTGGGATTACAGGTGTGAGCCACTGTGCCTGGCCCGCATTTTATTTATTTATTTAGAGACAGGATCTCACTCTGTCACCAAGCTGGAGTGCAGTGGCACAATCATGGCTCACTAAAGCCATGAGGCAGGGTCTCACTATGTTGCCCAGGCTGGTTTCGAACTCCTGTCTTTCCACAGTGCTGGGATTACAGGTGTGAGCCACTTCACCTGGCCCATTATTATTGCATTTTAGAGAAGCACTGTTCAACAACAGTTTGTAGGGGAAAAGGCCCTTGATGGTTTGGGATGCAGTGCATCAGTATCAATCTTCTAAAGTCTAACAGGGACTGAGTGATGCTATAGTCTTTCGACTCTTTAACATACGAAATAATTTCTGATAAATTGTGAGCATGAAGTAAAAGGGATTCCCACATGTTCCGTAACAAACAGAAAATTTCTTAAATTACAAATTCTCTGCTAAAGGGCATTTTCTAAAGGCCATCGTATTCTCTTTACATTATGCATAGGACTTCCTCACTAATATGATTTCTCTGATGTAAAGTAAGTTGATCACTACGAATAAAGGCTTTTCCACATTCTTTACATTGATAGGGTTTTTCACCAGTATGAATTCTGTGATGTCGAGTAAGTTCTGAATTAACACTGAAGGCTTTCCCACATTCTTTACATTTATAGGGTTTCTCACCCGTGTGAACTATGTGATGTCGAGTAAGTTCTGCTTGAAGACGAAAGGCATTCCCACATTCTTTACAGCTATAAGGTTTCTCACCAGTATGAAGTCTAAAATGTTGAGTAAGATGATACCGACGACTAAAGGTCTTTCCACATTCCTTACATTCATATGGAAGCTCACCAGTGTGAATTCTTTGATGTAATGTAAGTCGATAACTGCAAATAAAAGCATTCCCACATTCATTACATATGTAGGGCTTCTCACCAGTATGGCCTCTGTGATGTTGAGTAAGATGATAGTGCCGACTAAACGTCTTCCCACATTCCGTACATTCGTAGGGTTTCTCACCAGTATGAATTCTGTGATGTTGCGTGAGATGAGTGCTACGAATAAAGGCCTTCCCACATTCTGTACATTTATAGGGTTTTTCACCAGTATGAATTCTGTGATGCTGAGTAAGTTCTGTTTGAAATCGAAAGGCTTTCCCACATTCATTACATATGTAGGGTTTTTCACCAGTATGAATTTTAAAATGTTGAGTAAGATTATAGCGACGACTAAAAATCTTCCCACATTCTTTACATATGTAGGTGCTCTCACTGGTGTGAATTCGCTGGTGTGAAATAAATTGATTGCTATGAATAAAAGCCTTCCCACATTCCTTACATTCATAGGGTTTCTCACATGTATGAATTCTGTGATGTCGGGTAAGTTCTCCTTGAAGACGAAAGGCTTTTCCACATTCGTTACATATGTAGGGTTTCTCACCAGTATGAATTCTGTAGTGTTGAGTGAGATGATAGCGACTACTGAAGGTTTTTCCACATTCCTTACATTCATAGGGAATCTCACCGGTGTGAGTTCTCAGATGTAAAGTAAGTTGATAACCACAAATAAAGGCCTTCCCACATTCCTTACATTCATAGGGTTTCTCACCAGTATGAGTTCTATGATGCCGAGTAAGTTCCGTTTGAAGACGAAAGGCTTTTCCACATTCTCTACATTCATAGGGTTTCTCACCAGTATGAATTCTACGATGTCGAGCAAGTTCTGCATGAAAACTAAAGGACTTACCACATTCTTTACATTCGTAGGGTTTTTCACCAGTATGAATTTTCTGATGTTGAACAAGGTATGAGCCATGACTAAAGGCCTTCCCACATTCATTACATTTATAGGGTTTGACACCAGTATGAATTTTCTGATGTTGACTAATATGTCGTTGTACCCTAAAGGTCTTGCCACAAACCTTACATTCATAAGGCCTCTCACCAGTATGAATTCTTTGATGTTCAGTTAGTTGATAATGAAGTCTAAAGGCCTTCCCACATTCTTTACATTCATAAGGTCTCTCTCCAGCATGAATTGTCTGATGTACTCTAAGGTCTCTAACACGACTAAAGGCTTTCCCACATTCCTTACACTCGTAGGGTTTCACACCAGAATGTATTCTCTGATGTTCAGTAAGGTGATAATGAAGTCTAAAGGCCTTCCCACATTCTTTACATTCATAGGGTCTCTCCCCAGCATGGATTGTGTGATGTACTCTAAGGTCTCCCACTCGACAAAAGGCCTTTCCACATTCCATACATTTATAGGGTCTCTCACCAGTGTGAATTCTCAGATGTTGAATAAGGTATGACTGTTGTCTAAAGGCCTTTCTACATTCCTTACATTCATATGATTTCTCTCTAGCATGAATTTTTGGATGTAGAGGATGAGATATTTGTTTTTGGATTAGCATTTGACTAACGCATCCCATCTGATGTCTCTCTTGTCTCTCAAATTCATGTTTACACTGCAAACCATTTCTGAAAATGGTGTCCTCATGGATGGTGTTTTTACTTTTTTCCCCTGTCTGCAATTGAGATAAATAGATTTTGCAAACATTCTTTTCTGAAAGCAAATTCTTGGTAATATACTTGTATTCCAAATCTGCAAAAAAAAAAAAAAAAAAAAGCAAAGAGTAAACAAATGCTATAATGCTATTTTTCTGTGTTGGGGCAGGGATGGGGGTTGTACCTCATAGTAGAAATAAAAGATAAACAGAAATAACATACATTAGAAATAAATGGTTTAGAGCAGGATTCAACAAACTTCTTCTTTAAAAGACCAGATAGTGAAGGTGTTAGGCCTTGGGAGGCATATGGTCTCTGTCACAATTACTTAGCTCTGTTATTACAGCACAAAAGTAGCCACAGATGATAATAAGTGTGGCTGTGTTATAATAACACTTGACTTATGGACACTGAAATTTAAATTTCAAAAAGTGTTTACATGAAACAAAATCTTGATTTTTTCAACCATTAAAAAAATGGAAAAAACAGTTGTAACTTAAGAGCCATGCAAAAACAGGCAGTGAGCTATTTGGCTCATGGGCTATAGTTTGCTGGTTCCTGGCTTAGAGAACTCTAAATTATTGTAGTGCAATTTAAAAGAAGGCAAAATACCTCAGAAAATGATGTGACTTTTAAGAATTGTAAAATAGGCCGGGTGCGGTGGCTCGTGCCTGTAATCCCAGCACTTTGGGAGGCTGAGGCAGGTGGATCATGAAGTCAGGAGATCGAGACCATCCCGGCTAACATGGTGAAACCCCGTCTCTACTAAAAATACAAAAAATTAGCCAGGCGTGGTGGCGGGTGCCTGTAGTCCCAGCTACTCGGGAGGCTGAGGCAGGAGAATGGCGTGAACCCAGGAGGTGGAGCTTGCAGTGAGCCAAGATTGTGCCACTGCACTCCAGGCTGGGTGACAAAGCGAGACTCTGTCTCAAAAAAAAAAAAAAAGAATGGTAAAATAGGTGAATAGGATAATAGGGTAAATCAGTGATCCGCTTATTTAGGATGGATTTAGGGAAATTTCTTACATATACTGTTCTTCAGGCACCAAACCAGACAAAATCAAAATCTATAGGAGCAAGTCCTGGATATGTGCATTTAAAATCTTTTTCATCAAATGGCTTTGATGGAGATCATTTTGAAAATCTGTACCTAATTCTTTTCCCTTTAGAATAGAGTTTCTCGTTCCCCCTAGAATAAAACCCAAACATATTACCATTGATAAAAACCCCTTTCTTATTTGGAAGACCTCTGCAAACCACCTCTGTAAATATTACAAACAAGTCACTGAGAGGGCAGCTAAGTATAATAACTTAATTTCCCCAAATTACAACATAGTTATGAATATATCTCCCTGATTCCAATCTCATCCTAGTACAGCAATTAAATATGCTCTTTCCTGGATCACTTCCCTTCTGAAAGGGAACAAAGATACATCCAAAATTGCTCAATCAAAAGTATAAATGGAAAAGTCATTTTTGTATTTCATCATTTTCCAATTACCTATTGTTACCTTGAACATTAGGCATCTCCAAAACTGTTTACATTTGCCCTGTGTGTGTGGCTACTGTTCCTTCTCTTTGTCTCTGTCCCAACTCAAGTACTGAGATATTTTATTTGGTGAGCATCAGTTGTTTTATCATTACTCATTCACAGATCCTCAAACTCATTGCTAGTCAAGAATTACACTGCAGGTCCTGGCTAGTAGAGTAAGGCAAGGTGAAGAACACAGGCTTTAGAAAGGAGAAAAATAAACGCCTTTATTCTCAGATGTAGTAGGTTGAATTGTGGCCCCCAGAAAAGACATGTTCCTAACTCCCAGTGCCTGTGAATGTGACCTAATATGGAAAAAGGGTGGGCCCTAAATCCAATAACAGGTGTACTTATAAGAGCGAGGCATAGGGAGATCAAGAGAGGGTGCCATGAAGATGGAGGCAGAGACTGCAGTGATGCGTCTGCAAGCCAAGGAATGCCAAGAATGGCCAGTAACTACTATTCTTTTCATAAATTGTTGGATTCAAATGGCTAAAACTTAGTCTAGAATTTTTGCATTTGTGTACATGAAAGATACTGACTTATAGATTTCTTTTCTTATAATGCCTTTGTCTGGTTTTGGTATCAGGGTAATGCTGGACTTGAAGAGTGAGTTTGGAAGTATTCCCTTATCTTAAAGTTTCTGGAAGAGTTTGTGTACAATAGGTATACAAATGTAAAAATCTAAAACCATAAAATTTCTAGAAAAGCTGGGGGCAGTGGCTCACGCCTGTAATCCCAGCACTTTGAAAAGCTAAGGTGGGCAGATCATGAGGTCAGGAGTTTGAGACCAGCCTGGCCAATATGGTGAAACCCTGTCTCTACTAAAAATACAAAAATTAGCTGGGTGTGGTGGCGTGTACCTGTAGTCCTAGCTACTCGGGAGGCTGAGGCAGAAGAATTGCTTGAACCCGGGAGGTGGAGGTTGCAGTGAGCCGAGATTGTGCCACTGCACTCCAGCCTGGGTGACAGAGCGAGACTCTGTCAAAAAAAAAAAAAATTAGAAGAAAACAGAAAATTTTTGTACTTTTTATATTGGGCAAAGATTTCTTAAATATGACTGAAAGGACAATCCATAAGAGAAAAATGTGATAAATTAACTTAATCAAATTAAGAGCTTATGCTATTCAGAAGACACTGTTAAGAGTTTACAGATCATACATTTGATAAAGGACTTACATCCAGAATATATAAGGGACTCTCAAAACCCAATAATTAGCAAACAACCAATGCAATTAGAAAATGGGCAGAAGGCCAGGTATAGTGGCTCACGCCTGTAAGCCCAGCACTTTGGGAGGCTGAGGCAGGTGGATCTGAGGTCAGGAGTTCGAGACCAGCCTGGCCAATGTGGTGAAACCCCATCTCTACTAAAAATACAAAAATTAGCTGGGCATGGTGGCACATGCCTGTGGTCCCAGCTACTCAGGAGGCTAAGGCAGGAGAATTGCTTGTACCCAGGAGGCGGAGGTTGCAGTGAGCCGAGGTCGCACCACTGCATTCCAGCCTGGGCAACAGAGCAAGACTCTGTTTCAAAAAAAAGAAAGAAAGAAGCAAAGAGAATGAGCAGAAGACTGTAATAGATGCTTCACCAAAGAAGATATATGGATGATAAATTAAGAATAAAAAGTTGCTCAGGATTATTAGGCATTAGGAAAATGAAAATTAAAACCACAGTGAGATACCATTACTCACCTATTAGCAAAGCTAAAATTTAAAAGACTGACCATACCAAAGTGCTAACAAGAATGTCGAAGAACTGGAATTTTCATAAACTTCTGCTGGGAAAGTAAAAAGATACAACCACTTTCTTCTTCTTTTTTTTTTTTTTTCAGACATTATCTTGGTCTGTCACCCAGGCTGGAGTGCAGTGGCACAATCTCGGCTCACTGCAACCTCTGCCTCCAGGGTTCAAGTGATTCTCCTGCCTCAGCCTCCCAAGTAGCTGGGATTACAGATGCCTGTCACTATGCCTGGCTAATTTTTGTATTTTTAGTAAAGATGAAGTTTCACCTTGTTGGCCAGGCTGGTCTTGAACTCCTGACCTCCAGTGATCCACCTGTCTCGGCCTCCCAAAGTGCTGGGATTACAGGCATAAGCCACTGCTACTGGCTGATACAACCACTTTCAAACACAGTGTGGCAGTTTCTTAAAAAATAGACATATATTTATCATATGATCTACCCATTCTACCCCAGACAGTTACCCAAGATAAATGAAAGCATAAGTCTATACCAAGAATTTTACATGAAAGTTTCCAGTAGCTTTATCTGTAATAGCCAAACACTGGAAATAACTCAATGTCCATCCTTATACATAAATGGATAAGTAAATTGTGGTACATCCATACAATGGAATACTACTCAACAATGAAAAGAAATGAAGTACTGATACATATAGCAACATGGATGAATCTCAAAATAATTTTGCTGAGTGAATGAAGCTAAATTTTAAAAATCACCATATTTTTAAAAAAGGAAGAAAAAAATCACCATATAATTCCATTATACAAAATTCTAGAAAATGAAAACTAAGTTATAGTGACAGAGAGATGATCAGTGCTTACCTGGGCAGTGGGTAGAGAGGGACATGAGGGAGGGATTTCTTTTGGAGGTGATGGATATGTTTATTATTTTGATTTTGAAATGGTTTCACAATATACAGGGCAACTTAGCAAATTTTATACTTTAAATGTGTGCAGTTTATTGTATGCTAATTATATGTCAATAAAACTGTTTTAAAATGTTATAAAAATTGACACTTAAAATGAGTACATTTTATACTATATAAATTATACCTCAATAAATATGATTAAGAAAATACACTTGTCCTATGACCCAGAAATTCCACTTCCATATATTCCCAAGAAAAATGAAAACCCAAGAGAAATGAAAACATCTGAACACAAAAACAATTGTACAAGAATGTTCACATCAGGTGGCATAATTTACTTTGGGAATAAACACAGATGGTTCTTCATCTCAGAACCTTTGCACTTGCAGCTTTTTCTGCTTGTAATGTTCTTCCTCAATACTCACATGGCCTGAGACCTTACTTTATGTCTCTGGTTCAAATATCATCACCTCAAAATGGCCTTTTCCTGATCTTATCTAAATTAGCCCTACTAACTCCCCAACACTCTAGCTCCTTACTCTACTTAACTTTCTTCACAACACATATGAAAACTTGATTATTATCTGTTTACGTATTGACAACATGTTTCCCTTACTATAATATCAACATCTCTGTGACAAGAGTGTCTATCAGTAGTGCCTAAACTCTAGCACAGTGCCTGGCTTAGGTTAGGTAAATGGGAAATATTTGATGAATAAAACTTGGACAATGGAGAAATGAATATAAATCAAAATGTTAAAGGAGGCCTGGAAACACACGTAAAATGGTCATCAATGGGGAAGAAAGAAAGCAGCCCCACTTTGAAAGAGGAGAGAAATACGAGAGAAGAGAAACAAGGAGTATGGCAAATTGGGTAAAGTTCCTTTGGTAGCTAATGTAGAGAGAATCTGAATGCTTCCCAGGTATCAGTCCTTTTTCCACAGGCCTCAGGCCTTTGAAGGGAGCTTTCCAAACAACTCAGTGCTGTGCCTCCTCCCTGACATCATGGGTCATAACTTGTGATAGCACCCTCCCGCCTAATTTGCTGTCACTCACCTGTGAACCAATTCCTTGTCCCTTCCCTCATTACTATCCAGGGCTCTTTCTCTTGCTCCAATAAAGTAATCACATCTGGCTTAGGAATGGTATATCCTGCTCATGAGAAAAGAAATGACACATGTTATAGAAAAAAACAAAAACAACCATAACCTTGAAATGACAATTCAGACTTGGTTACATTTGTAAGAAACTGCAGGTGAAAATGGTACTAGACAATGCCATGACAGTAAAGAAGAAAAAGGCCATCTAAGAATATTCACGTTAACATGGACTCACAATTACAGGACTAAAGAGACAAGGTGAGAGAGCGAAAAGGTCTGCTTTGCTGTTAACGGCAGTATAGAAAGGGGACCAGTGAGCACACCCTCTGGAGCCCTATGGCCTGGGTTCAAATCTTCTGCCACCTACCAGCTGTGTGACCTTCAAAGTTACCCTGCACATATTCACTTTTATCAAATGCAAAATGGGGCTGATATTACCGACTTCTTAGGGCTGTGGTGAGAATTAAATGAATTAATATATGCAAAGGCATATAATATGCCCAGTATATAGTATTATTTTGTTGTTGGTACTATTTTCCTAGGAGAAATATACTAAGTTTCCTAAAATATTTCCAGGTTCTTCCTCAGATATTCCTTCAACAGAAAATGTCAATTCACAGACTTTAACTTTCAACCGCAAAGCAGGTTAAGGAGAATATGTCTCCTTTAGGATGGGGTGTGTTGGCTTGAGTTTTAAATGACTATTGTTAACTCAATCCACCACTGTATAATCCATGGAGGTTCTTTTGATAATCAAGGAAAACTAGAATTCTGAGACTAGCTGTTGTCTTGTAGGAAGGTCAGATATTAACACAGAACAGCTATAGGAATTCTGAGTATATGCATTATATGAAATCTGATGTCACACAACTCAAACCTGGAAATTATTTAGAAAAGCAAGCAATGACAGGAAAAGTCAGAGGGAGGAGTGAATGTCACTGAGGGTCAGAAAGGTGAAGTTGCTTAACACAGGTGCCCATTTCCACCCCAACACTGCTGAAACTATGACTTTAGAAATAGGGGTGTCAGTCAGCCTCTTAAAACAGAGTTCTAAAGTTTGACAGTGGAGAAAGCTGATACTCCAGAAAACAGATTGTAAACGATTTCGAAAGATACCTTACCCAGTGAGACCAGGTTGCTGTAGTTCTCCAACATCACATCCTTGTACAAGTCCCTCTGCACAGCGTCCAGGCACTCCCACTCCTCTTGGGAGAGGTCTATGGACACATCCCTAAATGCCAAAGATACCTGAAATGACAAGCCTATGTATTAAAAAAAAATTAAATGTATTTTCAAGATGGAAAACTGCTTTGCAGGAAAGAAGCAACATAGTAAGCAAATAAACTGGGGCTCAAGCCTGCAATGTGTGTAAAAGAATAAAGAAATTAATATTTCTGAAATAAAGTGTTCATACGCTTTTAAAGAATATTGTTGATGCAAATTAAGTGAAATAGCATAAATAAGCACATTGCCCATTATGTGCCTGCAGTTAAAGTTCTGAATAAATGCAAGTTCCATCATCCTCTCTTCCCTTCAAAAAATTTTTGGAAAAAGAATTTTTTCACCAAAAAGTACTCTAAAATCTCTCTTAGAAAACAGGATTTGACTGACATTACGTGATTTCGTTAAAACTCTGGTTCATCATGATGCAAAATAACCTCATAAGAAAAGTCTTCAGTTAGTATATTTATTGGCTAGCTAATAATATCATCCATCTTAAAGATACAGCAGACTAATTCTTCTTTTATTCTTAGGCATTTAGGTTGGCCAAAATGTTTAAGGTCTTCCCCAGTTCTGTTTCCACCCATCATTAGGGATCAGAGCCTATTTCCAGCCATCATTAGGGATTGGAGGATCTTCCTACCTGCTACCCCTGCCATACCTCAGGAATACTTGCTTTGTTCCTAAGCCAGAGGATGCTGACGTATCCACAATGACACTGATGTCACTGGAGACCAGCACAACCTCCTCAACCACAAAATTGACTTTTGTTTTCTTATTCATCCCTTGGAAATTCCCTGGCTAGATGCCTGAAACTACCATATGCAGGCCCCAATCATACTCCAGCCTAGTCCTCTAAGCCTCTCAATGCATGGGATCTGACCTCTGCCTCTGAGGCTGACATGGAAGACAATGTTTGAGCACAGATAAGAGAAAACAGGAGCAAATGAGGAAGACACTAGGCTATTTGGCACTATCCTTCACTGTAACTAGGGAGTAACTAGGGAGCAGGTTCCACAACAGGGTTGTCTTAGGAAGGAAGTCTCAAGATAACGAGACTTCAATGATCACATGAATTTAAAAACACAGTATTTCAAGGAAGAAAAACACAAACTTACATTGGCCATGGTTTTAGAACCACAAGAACTTGTCAGTTCTCCTTGAGTTTCCTCCATGGAGAAGCACAGAATCCAGAGAAACCGGGGCTGGGGGGAAGAACAAGTGACTCTGAGACCAGATGTGTGTCAAAACTCCTAAAATGACTTAAGTTAATAAGATCCTGTTATGCCATCATTTCTACTTCCAACCCCACCATTCTGCGCATATAAACTGGGGAAGATATCTCAATATCAAGGCTGGGGTGGTGTAAATTCATGCCCACGGTTGCCAGGTGATGACAACAAAAGTAGCTATTTTTAGGATCTTCTGCATGATGGGTCCTTTATCATATTAACATTTAACCATGCAATGCATTTATCTCCATCCAACAGATGAGGTAATGAGGGCTTAAAATAATGTAACTTGCCCAAATTCACAGTTAGTAAGAGGCAGAGCTGTGTTCTGAATCCACATTTCTCTAATTATAAAGCAAACTATCTTTTTTTTTTTTTTGGAGACAGGGTCTTGCTCTCAACTCTGGCTTTTGCCTCTGAAGCCCAGAATGTTTTCAAATGAAACTTAAGCATGAGCAATTCACTAAAAATAGCAGCATATCATCCACCGAACTTATTAAATTTCAATACAATGAAGCAGATCCTAATTAAGGAAATACCAGTTGACAATTATTAGAATGGCAGACTTAAAAGATTAATAATATGCCAGATGAGCAACATCACAGGGAAATGAATACTGTGTAAATGCTACAGATTTGTAGGACCTTAAAACATGGCATGTAGAAGGATGTGAGAGACTTTTACCATCCAAACCTAATTTTGGGACTCTACCCAAAGCAAATGATGTGTATTAAGATGCATGCAGGTTAGGCCGGGCGCGGTGGCTCACACCTGTAATCCTAGCACTTTGAGAGACCAAGGCGGGCAGATCATTTGAGGTCAGGAGTTCGAAACCAGCCTGGCCAACATGGTGAAACCATCTCTACTAAAAATACAAAAAAAATTAGCTAGGCATGGTGGCACATGCCTGTAATCCCAGCTGCTTAGGAGCCTAAGGCAGGAGAATCGCTTGAACCCGGGAGGCAGAGGTTGCAGTGAGCTGAAATCGCGCCACTGCACTCCAACCTGGGCGACAGAGCAAGACTCTGTCTCAAAAAAAAAAAAAAAAAAAAAAAAAAAGATGCATGCAGGTTAGGGGTGCAAAAGGCTTACTGGAAAAAGCAAAAATAAAAAAGATGCATGCAGGGAGGTAGAATTCAGCATTCTGAGTCCAGCAATAGCTGACTGGTTAGATAAGTTACAGATCATCTATGAAACAGAATATTAAGTAGATATTAAATACTATACTAAATTGGAGAAAATATTTAAAGGATTTGGGAAATATCCAAGATATGTTCTAAATTAAAAAATAAGGTTAAAACCCAGAATGTACAATATAATTACATTTGTGAAAACATACACACACACACACATACATAAAGAAAGAACGAAGGACAGGCAGAAACTGAGAGAGAGAAAAAAGTTTAAAAATGTATATATCTATATGTCAGCACTGCCAAGCTGCATGACATTACTTGATATATTTTTAAAGTATAATCTGTAACTTTAAAAATTAATTTAGGCTGGGCACGGTGGCTCACGCCTGTAATCCTAGCACGCTGGGAGGCCGAGGTGGCTGGATCACCTGAGGTTAGGAGTGCGAGACCAGCCTGGCGAACATGGCAAAACCCCATCTCCACTAAAAAATACAAAAATTAGCTGGGTGTGGTGGCACATGCCTGTAATCCCAGCTACTTGGGAGGCTGAGGAAGGAGAATCACTTGAACCCAGGAGGTGGAGGTTGCAGTGAGCCGAGACTGTGCCACTGTAGTCCAGCCTGTGCGACGGGAGTGAGACTCATCTCAAAAAAATAAAATAAAAATTTAAAATATACACACCGGCATACATATGTACTTATTTTTCATTTTGATAAGAGAAAGCCTTTCCTTTGTTGAACGATCTTCTCTTCAACTTGAAGGAAAAGCTTAAGATAATCTAAAAACAGCTGATATATATATATATTAATATAGTTATATATATAATATATATTTATATATTAATATAGTTATATATATATTTATATATTATATATAAATACATATAAATATATTTATATATTTATATATATATATTTTTTTGAGATAGAGTCTCACTCTGTCACCCAGGCTGGAGTGTAATGACACAATCTCAGCTCACTGTAGACTCCGCCTCCTAGGTTCAAGTGATTCTCCTGCCTCAGGCTCCCGAGTCGCTGGGATTACAGGCGCCCACCACTGCGCCCGGCTAATTTTGGTATTTTTAGTAGAGACAGGGTTTCGCCATGTTGGCCAGGCTGGTTTCGAACTCCTGACCTCAGGTGATCTGCCCTCTTCAGCCTCCCAAAGTGCTGGTATTGCAGGCATGAGCCACTGTGCCTGGCCAACAGCTGTTATATTTTTACTGAATGTCTTTTTTCCCTTTAGCTCATAACATTGGAAGCAATTCTTTTGATTTTTCACATATGTCCATGTATGCTAATATATTGCAATGTCTTATACATATGAATGCTGGTCACAGTGAAGTGGCTTTTCATGTACTCCTGACAAACGTATTGACAGTTTGTGCTCTGAAATTTTCCTTTCAGCCACAATATCCTCCAAACTGCTGCTGAATAATCTTGTCCCATTAGCCTCACTTTGAATCTAACAATAAAAACTTTGTTTTTGAATCTAACAATAAAAACCCATTAGCCTCACTTTGAATCATTACAATAAAAACTTAAGGTATGAAATTGTGCTGTTCAATACAAATATGGTTATTTAAATCAAATTTTAAGCTGGGCACGGTGGCTCACGCCTGTAATCCCAGCACTTTGGGAGGCCGAGGCAGGCAGATCACGAGGTCAGTAGATCAAGATCATCCTGGCTAACAACGTGAAACCCCGTCTCTACTAAAAATACAAAAAAAATTAGCCAGGCGTGGTGGCAGGCGCCTGTAGTCCCAGCTACTCGGGAGGCTGAGGTAGGAGAATGGTGTGAACCTGGGAGGCAGAGCTTGCAGTGAGCCGAGATTGCACCACTGCACTCCAGCCTGGGCGACAGAGCGAGACTCTGTCTCAAAAAAAAAAAAAAAAAAAAGTTAAATCAAATTTTAAATAAAATTAAAAGTTCAGGCCGGGCACGGCGGCTCACGCCTGCAATCCCAGGACTTTGGGAGGCCAAGGTGGGCGGATCTTTTGAGGTCAGGAGTTTGAGACCAGCCTGGCCAATATAGTGAACCCCTGTCTCTACTAAAAATACAAAAATTAGCTGGGCATGGTGGCTGATGCCTGTGGTCCCAGCTAATCAGGAAGCTGAGGCAGGAAAATCGCTTCCACCCGGGAGGCAGAGGCTGCTGTGAGCTGAGATCTCGCCACTGTACTCCAGCCTGGGCGACAGAGTGAGACTCTATCTCGACAAAAAAAAAAAAAAAAGTTAGTTTCCCAGTCACACTAGCCATATTTCAGGTGCTTATTAGCCACATGTGGTGAGCAGCTACCACACTGGAAAACATAGAACAAATCCATCATCATGGAAAGTTCTATTGGACAGCACTGGACATCTCCTTCCTATGAACTCCCAAGGCCTGTGACCTGAATTTCTTTACTGTTTTTTATTATCTTCTACCTTATACTTATTCAGTCTATTCTGATTTTAGACTCTCTGCTGTACAGTAACACCTATGTGTTTTCAGTTCTTGTATTCCTCTGATTACTAACACAAGATTCAGTATACTGTGAGCCCTTATGTCTGATATTTGACTAAAATTCCAATTTTTGGCATTTTTTTCTTGCAAGTGGCTATTAAAGCATATTAAGACATATACATAAGACATTTATCATATAACAACTTATAATAATCAAATATTAAAAATACTAATAGCTATAGTAGGCAGCAGGTTAAATAAACTATGGTCAGTTATGATGGCACACTAAGGCCTTACTAATACTAACTATATTGGTCCATATTTATTTTTGGAGGAAGACATCAATGATGAGTTACTGACTGATACAGGCAAATTAAAGGAGCATATGCCATTATGGGCAGGGTTATAACGTTGTCATTAATAACACAAACTCTGTTGTCAGATTTTCAGAATGTGAATCTTAGTCTGACAGCTACATACTTTTCAGTTAGTTTGTTGGTAAATTAGGGATAAAAACAGCACCTATCTCATAGGGTTGTCACGAAGATTGAGATAATACATACATCCCACTTAATGATACATAATTACGTAATAAAAGTTAGCCAGTATTATTAAAATAGAGGATATTATGTCCTTTGTTCCACTGCTATTAAATAAAATCATTTTATATTATTTCATTTTTTCTAGTAAAGTTTGAGTCTCATGCCCATTTTTTAATAATGATATTTTAAGTATTTCAGAGCTGAGCCTTGAAGATGCAATTATTTTTAATTAACAACATTCGTAAAACAGACTCCCAGAAAGATAATCAAGAAATCTCTTCTTGGTAGAGCGCGGTGGCTCACACTTGTAATCCCAGCACTTTGGGAGGCTGAGGTGGGTGGATCACCTGAGGTCAGGAGTTCAAGACCAGCCTGACCAACATGGTGAAACCCCGTCTCTACTAAAAATACAAAAATTAGCCAGGTGTGGTAGTGGGTACCTGTAATCCCAGCTACTCTGGAGGCTGGGCAGAAGAATTACTTGAACCTGGGAGGCAGAGGTTGCAATGAGCTGAGATTGAGCCACAGCACTCCAGCCAGGGCAACAGAGTGAGACTTCATTTAAAAAAAAAAAAAAGAAATATCCTCTTTTGTTCTTGCAACTACCAAAGGGGGGACATCATTCTTCAACATAAAACTAGCTAAAATAATCTAATTAAGGCAGGGGTCCCCAACCCCCAGGTCACTGACTGACACTGGACCACGGCCTGTTAGGAACTGTGCCACACAGCAGAAGGTGAGCAGCAGGCCAGCAAGGGAAGCTTCATCTGTATTTACAGCTACTCCCCATTGCTAGCATTAACCGCTTGATCTCTGCCTCCTGTCAGATCAGCTGCAGCATTAGATTTTCATAGGAGTGCGAACCCTATTATGAACTGACCATGTGAGGGATCTAGGCTGCGTGCTCCTTATGAGAATCTAATGCCTGATGATCTGTCATTGCCTCCCATCACCCCAAGATGAGACCATCTAGTTGCAGGAAAACAAGCTCAGGTCTCCCACTGATTCCACATTAGGGTGAGTTGTATAATTATTTAATTACGTGTTATAATGTAATAATAATGGGAATAAAATGCACAATAAATGTAATGTGCTTGAATCATCCTGAAACCATCTCCCTCTCCCTGTCTGTGAAAAAACGGTCCTCCATGAAACCAGTCCTGGTGCCAAAAAGGTTGGGAACTGCTGTAATAAGGCATTCAATAGATAATTTTAATATGAGGTTCAATCTTGTTCTCCTGTTCTATATGGAAAGATTTACATGAATATTTGTAGCTGTTACTATCTTATTCTGTTTTCTTTTTCTTTTTCTTTTTTTTTTTTTTTTTTGAGACAGAGTCTCACTCTGTCGCCCAGCCTGGAGGGCAGTGGTGCTATCTCGGCTCACTGCAACCTCCTGGGTTCAAGCAATTCTCTGCCTCAGCCTCCCAAGCAGCTGGGATTACAAGCGCATGCCACCACAGCCGGCTAATTTTCGTATTTTTAGTAGAGATGGGGTTCCACCATCTTGTCCAGGCTGGTCTTGAACTCCTGACCTCGTGATCCACCTGCCTGGGCCTCCCAAAGTGCTGGGATTACAGGCTTGAGCCACCATGCCCACCCTTATTCTGTTTTCTACTGTTATAAATCTGTCCTAGAAAATGTTATTTGCATAATGGAACCCTGAAAAAAACCTAACCAAGATAAGAGTATTGCTATGTCCTGTAAAAGCAACCTTAAAAATCTAAAAAAAGAGTATAATCCTGAAGAACTATCTTACTTGATAAATTATGTCATATTAATTATCCTTGATTGGTTTATATAACCCTAAAAGGTGTAAATTTCTCAAAGGTTAATCAAACTTAGCAGGATTCATTGGTGTTTTCCTCTTCTCCCTATGTGCACAGAGTTATAAGAAAGCTATGGTTAGGGAGAATTAGTTTTTCTAACTAGAAGCTGGAAAGTCTTGTGTCCTTTGAATAATCAGTTAGTGCAATTTCTATTCTGCAGGAAGAAAAGTGCAGGTGCTGTGCGCACACACATACACACACACATACATACAAGTGTGCTGAAAAATCTTGCTGAAATAGGTCGGGCATGGTGGCTCACACCTGTAATCCCAGCACTTTGGGAGGCCGAGGTGGGTGGATCACCTGAGGTCAGGAGTTTGAGACCAGCTTGGCCAACATGGCGAAACCCCATCTCTATTAAAAATACAAAAAATTAGCTGGGCGTGGTAGCAGGCGCCTGTAATCCCAGCTACTCGGGAGGCTGAGGCAGGAGAATTTCTTGAACCTGGGAGATGGAGGTTGCAGTAAGCCAAGATCACATCACTGCACTCCAGCCTGGGCAACAGAACGAGACTCTGTCAAAAAAAAAAAAAAATCTTGCTAAAATATAGCTCCCCAAAGTGTTAATAGTGATGCTGGGGCTATTTTAACTTTCTTCTTTATAAGTGCCTTATGTAATATAATGAGTAACTAAATAATTTATAAAAGGTGAATATTAATTCTATAACCAGAAGTATACAATAGATCTATATCCAATTATAAAATAAAATGTTTTAACACATCAGAAGCAAATTGGTTTGACATGTATGCAAACAATAGGAAAACAGCATGACCATTATAAATAAATGCCTGCCAGTTCTTGAACATTCTTCTTCAATTCAACAAGACCTTTTCACTGTTAAGATTCTTCTCTTAATACACAAGCCAGGTGAACAGTGTCTGCAGACTGAATAAGAAAATTTGAACAAAGCAGACAGAAGAGTGTTTGGTTCTCCTCTACTTCTCCAGCAAATAATCAGTTGAAATGTTAATTTAGATATAATGCTTGTTAAATGTCTTTAAATCCTAATATTAGTGAGATTCATATAAAATTTAAAATTTGCGGCTGGGTGCGGTGGTTCATGCCTGTAATCCCAGCACTTTGGGAGGCCAAGGCAAGTGAATCACCTGAGGTCAGGAGTTCCAGACCAGCGTGGCCAACGTGGTGAAACCCTGTCTCGACTAAAAATACAAAAATTAGCCAGGCATGGTGGCAGGCGCCTGTAATCCCAGCTACCTGGGAGGCTGAGGCAGGAGAATCACTTGAACCCAGGAGGCAGAGGCTGCAGTAAGCCGAGTTCATGCCATTGCACTCCAGCCTGGGTGACACAGCGAGACTCCTTCTCAAAAAAAGAAAAAAAAATTGCGTATTATTCTTCATCACTATGACTATTACTTTACTCATATGTACTTTTTATTCTTATGACTAACTCTGTATAAAAATAAATCTCAACTCATGGATTCCTTGGAAAAAAATCCCTGCTCATGTTCACACAGATTTCTATGCTTGGACTTCCAATCACATTCCCACTTCTAAAAGCCTTAAAAGCAGGCGACCATTATCACTTGCTTACTGACACTAGTCAGGTCATCTCTAATCCTGTCATATTTTAAAACTGAGGTCTTTGGAGAAGATTGGAGAAGATGGATGATGTGATTCTACCTAAACATTAATCTCAATAAAACAAAGTTTTAACTTTAGACTCCAGGATATGCATTTCTCTACCATTATAGAAAGTGAGTGCAGAGGAATGATTTGAAAAATGAGAAAGTCATTTGGAGGCCCGTGAAGAGGAGGGTCCACCTGCATGGTCCATTGTTCACTGGAAAGGAAGGCCTGGGATAGGTCACTGGACAATTCAGGAAAAGCAAAGCAATGTTTCCATTTCCTAAAAACAAAAACATTTTATGCATTTATTTAAAGATTTACTTAAAGATATAGACCAGAGAGTTGCAATTTATGTGACAAATAATTTAGTCTTTTTAGATTGAATCAAATGAACTTCTTCAAAGGGAAAAATGCAAATGAAAGCTACAGAAAGTACCTGGGGATGTGATTTTTGTGACTGTGAGCAATGAGGTGACAGGCTCTGTGGTAGATTGTGGCTGTGCTTGACATAGCAGTGTGGTACCACGCCGTATGACTGGGTGCAGGCAAGGCTGTGTGAGGATTAGAATGTGTGATTTCCATTTTATGAATAAAAAGGAAATATAAACTTACCTGGACCTGAACTTTTAGACCTGCTACAACAATTGTTCCCTCCTTTTCAGGATCCCTGTTTTGATGAATAGCAGAATGGGGGAAGAAAAATAATCATGAGACAGCAGGCCTTTCTTAAGAGCACAGACCGACCTAGAATATCCCCTCCAGCGCCACATCTGTGCTGACCTCACGCACATAACAGCTGTGTGAGAGTGAGGCTGGGATCTGTCTCTGAACTCACACCAGGTTTCTAGATCAAAGGTATGGGAATGCAGTGGTTCTGAAACATGCAGCTGCCCACACAGCGGCTCCAACTGCGCAGTCTTCCAACCTGTCGTCCCAGGAGTCTGTTTTAGGGACACTTCTAATTCAAAAGTCCAATCGCCAACCCAGGTCTGTACCTTCTTGCTGGGAACCTTCATCCCAGAGCTCGATATTTGACTTCCCTCTTGGGGACACTGCTGTGTGCAAACACCGAGGCCGTGAGGAGGGTAGAGGGTCAGTGACACACACCAGAGAGCCAGGCACCTGTCTCAGCCTCACACCCGCACCCACACCCGCCCAACCCGGTCCTGACAGGCGCCCCGTCGCGCGCACACACACACATACACCGTCTGCCACATTTTGTCACACAATTTCCCTTCTCCGCTCCCCAAGCACGCACAGGCCTGAGGCTCCCTGCGGGCACGACACGCCAGGTCTGGGCCCTGGAGCGCCTCACTTTGGGCGGCAGTTCTATCCCCAGTCCTACTCGTAAGAGTCCCGTTCCGCCTCACCTAGCTCGGACTTCTCGCCCGCAAGTGAATAATAACGGTTAAGGTGACTGAACCGTTAAGAACGCAATGTAAAGGGCCCTTGGGGTCCAGGCAACACTGCCCAAGGGGCTTCTGGGAAATGTAGTCCACAGCCGGAAACTGATCCTTTTGGGCGGAGGCGCAGGCGCGCGCGCATCCGGCGGGTTCGACTCACTTACCAGGAACCCACGCAGGAAGCTGAGGAGGAGAACAGACGCCTCTGGGCCACTGGCCGGGCCACTTGAGCGTGGGACCGCCGAGTGTGACCCTGAGGCCGAGTGCGTGCGGGACTGGGCGATAGCTCCGCCAGGCAGGATTTTGTTTGTTTCACCTCTTGAGGTAGTCCCGGCGTGTAGTACATAATAGGCGCTTAATATGTGTATTGTAAAGAATGAGTGCCTGGCCATTTGTATTTGCCTTGTGAGCGCGTGTGTGTGGCACTGTGAGGGTTGCGGGACCGACGGAACCTCTCTGGCTCTGGCGGGTTGTGTTTCCGCGTGTGTGTAATTTGAGTGTGAGTCAGTGTGTAGTGAGTGAAGGGATCTGACTGGAGAAAACCACAGTAAATACCCGGGGCTGTGATTTTTGTGACTTTGGTCAATGGGACGACAGGCTCTGTGGTAGACTGGCTGTGCTTGACGTAACAATGTGGTACTATGCCGTGTGGTTGCCGGCAAGGCTATGTGAAGATGAGAATGTGTGATTTGGAAAATCTGGATGTGGAACATCACGGGTGCCAGTGGAATTGTGACTCTGTGTGTGTATAAAAGTTTGCAACCATAGGCCTATATGTCTGTGGGATAAAGAGAATATGTTGCGTCTTCTTGGAGTATCAGCTTTATTTAAACATTTGCATCAGAGAGTTGCGATTTATGTGCCAAAGATTTTTGTCTTTTTATATTGAATTAAATGAATTTTTTACAAAGAGAAAAATGAAAATAATAGTAACTTTCAAAAAATATTAAGAATTTCCTTCCACTCTTATATTCTGGCAATGGATCTTTGGCAATGGGTCTTTGGCAGATCAATTTGAAAAGCTTGGACTGAGGAAATTATACTTGGAAAGCACATTAGGCAGTCAGCCCTTGGTTCCTAAATACCATGCTCCACTGAAAGGAGCAAGGCTCCATGGAGAAATGGCAGATTCCAGAGCTGGGGAAGGGAAAGTTCAGAATGAACTTGGAACATCTTGTGCTTGAAAGTAAGGCAGTGCTCAAAGAATGGTGGGGACGTGTTCAAAGGACATGGAAACCAGATTGAAGGGACTTCCACTGACCAAACTTGACATGGTTTGAGCATCAAAATAAATAATGCTAGTTATAGATTAAAACCCATTAAATAACAGAGGGAATCATAATTCCAAACTGATATAAATTAGTACGTGAAAAAAAATTGAAAGTTTGATGAGGGACTGGATGTTTACATTGTTGCAAAGAACCCCTGCCCCCCCCCAAATCCCTTAAAAATGTGTCAATATAAGGCTGGGCACGGTGGCTTATGCCTATAATCCCAGCACTTTGGGAGGCCGAGGTGGGCGGATCGTGAGGTCAGGAGTTTGAGACCAGCCTGACCAACGTGGTGAAACCCTGTCTCTACTAAAAAAATACAAAAATTAGCTGGGTGTGGTGGTGCGTGGTGGGTCCTGTAATCCCAGCCACTCAGGAGGCTGAGGCAGGAGAATTGCTTGAACCCAGGAGGCGAAGGTTGCAGTGAGCCTAGATCGCGCCACTGCACTCCAGCCTGGGTGACAGAGTGAGACTCCATCTTTAAAAAAAAAAAAAAAAAGTGTCCATATGAAAAAATGCTCAACATTACTAATCATCAGAGAAATGCAAATTAAAACCACACTGAGATACCACCTCACAGTGTTAGAATAGCTGTAATCAAAGAGACAAAAGACGACAAGGGTTGGTGAGGGTATGGATATAAGGGAACACTTGTACACTATTTGTGGAAATGTAAATTAGTACAAACATAGAAAATATCCGGAGTTTTCTCAAATTAAAAATATAACCACTATATGACCCAGTCATCCCACTATATATATCTGTATATATCTGTATATATCCGTATCAGTCCATTCTTGCATTGCTATAAAGAAAACCCGAGACTCGGTAACTTATAAGAAAAGATGTTGAATTGGCTCACAGTTCTGCAGGCTGTACGGGAAGCATAGTGGCATCTGCTTTTGAGCAGGCCTCAGGAAGTTTCCAATCATGGTGGAAGGCAAAATGGGAGCAGGCACATCACATGGTGAAAGCAGGAGCAAGAGAGTGAGGAGGGAGATGGTACACACGTTTAAATGTCCAGATCTCATAAGAACTCACTATTATGAGGATGGAAACAAAGGGCTGCTAAGCCATTCATGAGGAATCTGCGCCCATGATCCAATCACCTCCCACCAGTCCCCACTTCTTATATTGGGGATTACATTTCAGTATGAGATTTGGGTTGGGATACACATCTAAACAATGTCATTCTGCCTCTGGCCCCTCTCAAATCTCCTGGCCTTCTCACATTTCAAAATACAATCTTGCCTTCCCAGCAGTCCCCCAGAGTCTTAACTAATTCCAGCATTAACTCAAAAGTCCAAAGTCTGAAGTCTCATCTGAGACAAGGCAAGTTCTTTCCTCCTATGAGCCTGTAAGATCAAAAACAAGTTAGTTACTTCCAAGATAAAATGGGGGTACAAGCATTAGATAGACATTCCTGTTCCAAAAGGGAGAAATTGGCTAAAAGAAAGAGGCTACAGGCCCTATGCAAGATCAGAACCCAGTAGGGCAATCATTACATCTTAAAGCTCCAGAATAATCTTTGATTCCATGTCCCATGTCCAGGGCACACCAATTTAAGAGGTGGGCTTCCAGCCTTGGGTATTTCTTCCCCTGTGGCTTTGCCGGGTTCAGGCTCAGAGGCTGCTCTGATCTACCATTCTGGGATCTGGAAGATGGTGGCCCTCTTCTCATAGCTCCACTAGTCAGTGCCCCAGTGTGTACTCTGTGTGAGGGTTCCAACCCCACATTTCCTTTTTGCACTGCTCTAGTAGAGGTTTTCTGTCAAGGCTTAGCCCCTGCAGCAGGCTTCTGCCTGGACACCTTGGCTTTTCCACATATCCTCTGAAATCTAGATGGAGGCTCCCAAGCCTTATTCACACTCTGTGCACCTGCAGGCTTAAGACCATGTGGAAACCACCAAGACTTATGGCTTGCAACCTTTGGAGCTGCAGTCTGAGCTGTACCTGGGCCCTTTTAAGTCACAGCTGGAGTTGGAGAAGCCAGGATGCAGGGAGACATGTCCTGAGGCTGCACAGGTCAATTCTGGCCCATGAAACCATTCTGTCCTCCTAGGCCTCGGGGCTTGTGATGGGAGGGGCTGCCTCTTAGATCTCTGAAATGCCTTAGAGGCCTGTTTCCCATTTCTTGGCTATCTGCACTTGCCTCATTTTTAGTTAGGCAAATTTCTCTAGCAAATGGTTGCTCAGAAACTTTCTTGAATTCTTCTGAAAATGAACTTTTCTTTTCTACCACATGGCCAGTGCAAAGTTTCCAAACTTTTACACTCTGCTTACCTTTTACATATAAGTTCCAGCTTTAAGTCATTTCTTTGCTCCCACATCTTAGCATAGGTGGTTACAAGCAGCCAGGCCATATCTTGAATGCTTTGTTATTTAGGCATTTCTTCTGCCAGATACCCTAGGTCATCACTCTCAAGTTCAAACTTCCGTAGATCCCTAGGGTGTGGACACAATGCAGCCAAGCTCTTTGCTAAGGCATAGCAAAAGGGACCTTTTCTCCAGTTCCCAATAAGTTCCTAATTTCTATCTGAGACCTTGGCAGCCTGGACTTCATTGTCCGTTATCACTATCAGCATTTTAGTCACAACCATTTAACCAGTCTCTAAGAAGCTCCAAACTTTCCTTCATCTTCCTATCTTCTGAGCACTCAACTCTCTTCCAACCTTTGCCTGTTATCCAATTCCAAAGCTGCTTCCACATTTTCAGGCATCTTTACAGCAATGCCCAACTTCTCGGTACCAATTTTCTGTTAGTCCATTCTCGAATTGCTATAAAGAAATACCTGAGACTAGGCAATTTCTAAGTAAAGAGGTTTAATTGGCTCACAGTTCTGCAGGCTGTACAGGAAGTATAATGGCACCTGCTTCTGGGGAGGCCTCAGGAAGTTTCCAGTCATAGTGGAAGGCAGAGGGGGAGTAGGCATGTCATATGTCAAAAGCGGGAGCAAGAGAGTGAGGGGGAGGTGCTATACACTTTTAAACAACCAGATCTCATGAGAACTCACTATTGGGAGGATGGTACTAAGAGGGATGGTGCTAAATCATTCATGAGGACTCCACCCTCATGATCCAATCACCTCCCACCAGGCCCCACCTCCAACATTGGGGATTACATTTCAATATGAGATTTGGGCAGGGACACACATTTAAACTATATCAATATCCAAAGGAAATAAAATCAATATGTTTAAGAGATATCTATGCTCCCATGTTTAATGCAGCGCTATTCACAATAGTCAAGATGTGGAAGCAATCTAAGTGTTCATCAAAGGATGAGTGGAGAAAGGAAATGGCATATATATAATGGAATAGTATTCAGACTTTAAAAAGGAGGAAATCATGTTGTTTGCAACAAGGATGAACCTGGAGAACATTATGTTAAGTGAAGTAAGCCAGGCATAGAAAGACAAATACTGTGTAATCTCACTTATATGTGGAATCTAAAAAAGTTGAACTCATAGAAGTAGAGCGTAGAATTGTGGTTACCAGGGCCTGTCAGGGGTGGTGTTGGTTGGAGAGATGTTGGTCAAAGGATATACAGTTTCAATTAGGAGGAATTTTTAAAAAGTGTGTGTCGAACTTTGAGTCAGTTCTGAGTGAGACTAGAATGTCCATAAGAAACTGGATGTGATGGAGGCTCAATAATTTAGCAGAATTATGACAAAGAGACAGGGGTGATAAGGTGAATTATATGCCAACAAACTTCTCTCTTGCACCAAGCACTACCTAGGATATTCAGAGCCCATATGGGATGTGGTTTGAATTCTACGAGTTTCATGTACAAGTGTGTATTTTATATATATATATATATATATATATATGTATATGTATATATGTGTGTGTGTGTGTGTGTGTGTATATATATATATACACACACACCAAGGTATGTATGTACAGTATTTAAACAAGTCACATGTGACCTAGAGGTTTTGCTATTATTCATACAACATGAACTGCTCAAGAAGAAAGTGGATTAGCAAACAGCTCCATCTCTTCCTTTGTGAGGGATACAGGAGGATGCATAACAAGGACAAGGCACAGAGAAGGCCATGCCCTGCGAGGAGACAGTATAAGACTGTCCACAGCAAAGTCTCAATGCCTCGAAAGTGAGGCAAAAGTGCACTTTGGAATAATGAATCAGTTCTGACACTCTGCCACCCCTTGGCCTCCTTTAGCCCTGATGTAGGAAAACACAGGGCCAGGATGACTGCCAGATGGATTAAGCATTGTTTTGCCAGTGGTACTCTTATACCCCTTGCTGAGCATGCACCTCCGAAGGGTGCATGGGGGTGGGAGCATACTGGATGCTGGTGTAAGGGAAGTCCCAGTGAACAGTGTTCTGTATTGGGCCAGTAATAGCCTCTACTCCAGATGCCATCTTCTCATGAGTCATTCCAGGTGGTTTCTCCTCTAAGAGCCTCTGCTCAATATGTTTCTCCCCTTGTTCAGAATATGCCATGATTCCAGGGGTCCCAGGAGAAGTAAGACTTTTTATTTCTTCCGGATTCCATCTTGGAAAGTTGTATGTTTCTAGGAATTTATCTATTTCTCCTATATCCGGGTTCACAATCCCTGGGCCATGGACCAGTACCAGTCCATGGCCTGTTAGGAACTGGGCTGCACAGCAGGAGGAGAGCGAACATTACTGCCTGAGCTCCACTTCCTGTCAGATCAGTGGCAGCATTAGATTCTCAGGAGCATGAACCCTATAGTGAACTCTGCATGCAAGGGATCTAGGTTGCCCGCTCCTTATGAGAATCTGATGATCTGAGGTGGAACAGTTTCATCCTGAAACCATCCTCCCCTGTCCCCTTATCACCCTGGTCTGTGGAAAAATTGTCTTCCATGAAACCAGTCCCTGGTGCCAAAAAGGTTGGGGGCCACTGTACTATATTTTCTAATTTGTTGATGTATACTTGTTTATAATAGTCACTTATGATCATTTTTATTTCTTTGTCATTCAAGGTAATGTCTCCTATTTCATTTCTGATTTTCTTTGAGTCTTCTCTATTTTTTTTCTTAGTCTACGTAAGGGATTGTTGATTTTGCTTATCTTTAACAAAAACACAACTGTTAGTTTTGCTGATTTTTCTTTATGGTTTTTCTGCTCTCTATTTTATTTCTTTTTTTTTGAGATGGAGTCTTGCTCTATCGCTGAGGCTGGAGTGCATGGCGAGATTGGCTCACTGCAACCTCCACCTCCTGGGTTCAAGCAGTTCTTCCTCAGCCTCCTGAGTAGCTGGGATTACAGTCGCCCACCACCACAACCAGCTAATTTTTGTATTTTTAGTAAAGACAGGGTTTCACCATGTTGGCCGGGCTGGTCTTGAACTCCTGACCTCAAGTGATCTGCCCACCTCGGCCTCCCAAACTGTCGGGATTACAGGAGTGAGCCACTGTGCCCAGCCTATTCCATTTATTTCCATTCTAATCTTTATTATTTTTTTTCTTTCTGCTAGCTTTGCTTTTAGTTTTTTTTTCTACTTCCTCGAGTTGTAAACTTAGGTTGTTTGAGATATTTCTTCTTTTTAAATGTAGACATTTATCCCTATAAACATTTCTCTTAGGACTGCTTTTGCTGCATCCCATAAATTTTGGTATGTTGTATTCTTGTTTTCATTTGTCTCAAGGTATTTTTTAAATTCCTTTTTGATTTCCTCTTTCACCCAACTGGTGTTCAAAAGTGTGTTGTTTAGTTACTATGTGTTTGTGGATTTTCCTTATTTATTGCTGTTATTATTTCTAGTTTGATTCCACATGGTCTGAGGAGATAATTGGTATGATTTCAATCTTCTTAAATTCTTAAGACTTGTTTTGTGACCCAACATGTGATCTGTCCTGGAGGATATTCCAAGTGTGTTTGAAAAGAATTTGTTGCATGGGCTAATTCTTCTTCTGCTGGGTGGAAAGTTATAGATATGTTTGTGGGGTCCATTAGGCTAGAGTGCACAAGTCGGGTTTTTAAAAATTGATTTTCTGCTTGAGTGCTCTATTCATTATTGAAATTGAGGCATTAAAGTTTCCTCCTATGATAGCATTGCTGTCAATTTCTCCCTTTAGCTCTGTCAATATTTGTTTTATGTATTTCAGTGCTCTGATGTTGGGTGCGTATATATTTACAATCTTTATGTCTTCCTGTTGAATAGACCCTTTTATTATTATATAATGACCTTTTCTGTCTCTAATAACAGTTTCAACATAAAGTCTATTTTGTCTGATATAATTATAGCCACCCTGCTCTCTTTGGTTACCAGTTGCATAGAATAATTTCTTCCATCCCTTCACTTTTAGCCTATGTGTCTTTAAAATTTTTTTAAATATTTTTATATTGATAATGTTTATACATATTCATGGGGAACATGTGATATTTTCTTTTTAAAAAAATGTAAATAGAAACGGGGGTCTCATTTTGTTGCCCAGGCTGGTCTCAAACTCCTGGGCTCAAGTGATCCTCCCCGCTCAGCCTCCCAAAGTGTTGGGATTACAGGCATGAGCCACTGCATCCAGCCAGATGTGACATTTTCTTACATTCATAGACTGTGGGATGCTCAAGTCAGGGTATTTGGGGTATCCATCACCTCGAGTATTTATCATTTATGTGTATTGGGAACATTTCAAGTCCTCTCTTCTAGCTATTTTGAAATATACATTGTTAATTGTGATCTCTCTACTCTGCTATTGAACATTAGAGCTTATTCCTTCTAACTGTGTGTTGTGTACCCAGTCTTTCTTCATCCCCTCACAAACACTCCTCCTAGCATCTAGTATTATTGTTCTACTGTATACCTCCATGAGTGACTTTTTTTTTACATCTCCCAAATGTGAGTGAGAATATGTGATATGTGTCTTTCTGTGCCTGGCTTATTTCACTTAATGACCTCCAGTTCCCTCTACATTGCTGCAAATAACATTATTTCATTCTTTTTTATGGTCAAATAGTATTCCATTATGTATACATATCACATTTTATTTATTTATTTATTTATGAGACAGAGTCTCCCTCTGTTACCCAGGCTGGAGTACAGTGGTGGCTCATTACAACCTCTGCCCCCCAGGTTCAAGTGATTCTCCTGCCTCAGCCTCCTGAGTAGCTGGGATTACAGGCACCTGCCACTGCGCCCGGCTAAGTTTTGTATTTTTAGTAGAGATGGGGTTTCAACATATTGGTCAGGCTGGTCTTGAACTCCCGACCTTGTGATCCACCCACCTTGGCCTCCCAAAGTGCTGGGATTACAGGTGTGAGCAGCTGTGCCCGGCTATCACATTTCATTTATTCATTCATCTATTGATGGACGCAGGGTGATTCCATATTTTGCTATTGTGAATAGGGCTGCAATAAACATGGGATTTAAGGTATCCCTTTAATATACTGATTTTTTTTCCTTTGAGTAGATACCCAGTAGTGGTATTGCTGGATCATATGGTAGTTTTTAGTTTTTTGAAAAATTTCCACATTCTTTTCCACAGGAGATGTACTAATTTAAATCTCCACCAAGAGTGTGTAAGAGTGGTGAAACCCTGTCTCTACTAAAATTACAAAAATTAGCCAGGCGTGGTGGTGTGCACCTGTAGTCCCAGCTACTGGAGAGGCTGATACAGGAGAATTGCTTGAAATGGGAGACAGAGGTTGCAGTGAGCTGAGATCATGCCACTGCACTCCAGCATGGGCCACAGAGTGAGACTCCGCCTCAAAAAAAAAAAAAAAAAATTCCCTGTTCTCTACATCCTCAACAGCATCTATTATTTTTTATCTTTTTAGTAATGGTCATTCTAACTGGGCTAAGATGATATCTCATTCTGGTTTTGATTTGCATTTTCCTGATGATTATTAATGTTGGGCTTTTTTTTTTTTCTATTCCCGTTGGCCATTTTTATGTCTTCTTTTGAGAAATGTCTATTCATGTACTTTGCCTGCTTTTTAATAGGATTTTTTTTGGTTGGGTTGTTTTGTTTTGTTTTACTGTTGTGTAAGTTCCTTTTTTATTCTGGATATCAGTCCCTTGTCAGATTAATAGTTTGCAAAAATTTTCTCCCATTCAACAGGTTACCTCTTTACTCTGTTGTTTCCTTTGTGATGCACAAGCTTTTTACCATAATATAGTCCCATTTGTGTATTTTTGTTTTTGTTACCTATGCTTTTGAGTTCTAAGCCATAAAATTTTTGCCTAGACCAATGTCCTGAAGTATTTCCCTTGTTTTCTCTTCATAGTTTTATAGTTTGGGTCTGCCATTTAAGTTTTTAATCCATTTAATCCATTTTCAGTTGATTTTTGTATATGGTAGATTGGGGTCCAATTTCATTCTTCTGCATATGCATATCCAATATTCCTAGCACCATGTATTCAGGAGGGTATCCTTTCCCCTGTACATGTTCTTGGTGCCCTTGTTGAAAATCAGTTGGTTATAAATGCACAGATTCATTTCTGGGTTCTCTATTCTGTTCCACTGGTCTGTGTGTCTGGTTTTATACCAACACCATACTGTTTTGGTTATCATAGCCTTGTAATATATTTTGAAGTCAGGTAGTGTGATGCCTTCAGCTTTGTTGTTTTTGTTCAGGATTGCTTTCCTATTGGTTTTTTGGCTACATCAGATCTAAGAGTTTTTTGTGGATTCTTTAGTTTTTCCTAGAAATAAGAGCATATCATTGGTAAAGAGGGACAGTTTGATTTTCTCCTTTCCAATTTGGATGTCTTTTATTTATTTATCTTGCCTGATTAATCTGGCTAGGACTTCCAGTACTGTGCTGAATAGGAGTGGTGAAAGTGGGCATGTTTGTCTTGTTCCAATTCTTAGAGGAAAGCCTTTTGGCTTTTCCTCATTCAGTATATTAGCTGTGGGTTTGTCATATATGGCCCTTACTTTGTTGAGGTTTGTTCCTTCTATGCCTAGTTTGATGAGAGTTTTTATCTTGAAAGGATGTTTATTTTCATCAAGTGCTTTGAAATCTATTGAGGTGATCATATGGCTTTTTTCCTTCATTCTGTTATGTGATGTATCACATTTATTGATTTGAATATGTTGAACTATCCTTGCATTCCTGGGATAAATCCCATTTGGTCATGGTGTATTACCTTTCTGATGTGCTGTTGGATTTGGCTAGTATTTTGTTGAGAATTTTTGCATCTATGTTCATCAGGGATATTGGCTTCTAGTTTTTTGTAGTTGTTGCATCCTTGTCTGGTTTTGGTCTCAAGGTAATGCTGGCCTCTTAGAATGAGCTAGGGAGAATCCCTTCTCTTCAATTTTTGGGAATAGTTTGAGAATTGGTGTTAGTTCTTCGAAAGTTTGGTAGAATTTGCAGTGAAGCACCAAGTCCTGGACTTTTTCTTTGTTGGGAGACTTTTAATTACTGATTCAATATATTTGAATCATTATTGGTCTTACACATTATTGGTCTGTTCAGGTTTTGTATTTCTCCCTGATTTAATCTGAGTAAATTATATGTATCCAGGAATTTATCCATTTCCCCTAGGTTTTCCAGTTTGTTAGTGTATAGTTATTCACTGTAGTCTCTGATGATCTTTGGTATTTCTGTGGTATCAGTTATAATACACTTCTGGTTTTGTTTATTTGGTTCTTTTATTTTTTCTTGGTTAGTCTAGCTAGTGGTTTATTAATTCTATTTATCTTTTCCAAGAACCAACTTTTCATTTTGTTAATCCTTTGTATTTTTTTGAGTCTCTATTTTGTTTAGTAATTTTCTGATCTTTATTATGTCTTTCTTTGTACTAATTTGGGTGTGGTTTGTTCTTGCTCTGTAGTTCCTTAAGGTGCATGATTCGATAGTTTAAAATTTTCTACTTTTTTGATGTAGGCATTTATTGCTATAAACTTTCTTCTTAGCACTGCTTTTCCTGTATCCCGCACATTTTGGTATGTTGTGTTTCTATTTTCATTTGTTTCAAGAAATTTACTTCCTCCTTTATTTCTTCCTTGACCCAGTGGTCATTGAGGAGCTTAATTTCCATGTACTTATACAGTTTCCAAAGTTCTGCTTCTTACTGATTTTTAGGGATTTTTTTCTATTGTGATCTCAGAAGATACTTGATATGATTTCAATTTTTAAAAATGAAACTGTTCTTCCTGCCCCTTATGTTGGTTATTCTAGGTGTTTTTTTGCTCCACTGTGTTGCTGCAGCTTCTTAACTGGATTCCAGAGCTCTCCTAGAGCTATTTTTATTCATGGATAGCTAATTGTCCACTTTTGTGGGAGGAAGGGAGCAAGAATCCCCTACTTTGATATCATGTGATATTACTACCCTTTCTTTGTTTCTTATGACAACATTTTTGAAGAAAAAAGTTGTTACTTTATATAATGTCTCTCAATTTTGTAGTTTGATGTATTCCCATAATGAGATTCAGGTCATGGATTTTTAGTGGAATACTGGAATTACTGCATAATTTATGTGTGGCAAAGGCCATAGTGCAAATTAAATGACATGATCTTTGAATAAGATCAAGACTCCTTTTGAAAGGCTGTTTGATCAGGGAACCTGCATTGCTCTACCACCTTATTTCATGGCTATGAGCATCAAATTTTAGGGAGTTGATTCTGACCTATAACAAATTTAGTGCCTTAGCTATGCACTGATACCTCCAGTTTAACCACTACTTATTTGGTATTCCAAGAACTACCCATTTGTCTTTTTTACAGTTTTGAAATTTTCTTACAAAAGCAATACAACACTGGAACTTTTGGGCCCATGAAGTCCAAGAGGACTTTATTAACATTAAAACCTAGGGGTTTGCTGCAACTTGGCCTGGTTTTCTAGACTGTACAAAACACCACCTATCTTACGATTTATATTGAGGGACAAGTCTTGTGTTTCTGCATGGGCCAGATCCTTTGAGTGGAGATATTTACAACCAAGTTAAAACTGTTTGTATAAGAATGTGTGGCTGGGCGCGATGGCTAATGCCTGTAATCCCAGCACTTCAGGAGGCTGAGGCAGGTGGATCACCTGAGATTGGGAGTTGGAGACAGGCCTGACCAACATGGAGAAACCCTCTCTCTACTAAAAATACAAAATTAGTTGGGCGTGGTGGCGCCTGCCTGTAATCCCAGCTACTCGGGAGGTTGAGGCAGGAGAATCACTTGAACCCAGGAGGCGGAGGTTGTGGTGAGCTGAGATCGTGCCATTGCACTCCAGCCTGGGCAACAAGAGTGAAACTCCGTCTTTAAAAAAAAAAAAAAAAAAAGAATGTGTGCCACCAGCCAGGTGCAGTGGCTTATGCCTGTAATCCCAGCACTTTGGGAGGGCAAGGTGGTCGGATCATGAGGTCAGGTGAAACCCCGTCTCTACTAAAAATACAAAAATTAGCTGGGTGTGGTGGCACACGCCTGTTATCCCAGCTACTTAGGAGGCTGAGGCAGGAGAAGTGCTTGAACCTGGGAGGCGGAAGTTGCAGTGAACCGAGATTGCGCCACTGCACTCCAGCCTGGGCCACAGAGTGAGACTCTGTTTCAAAAACAAACAAACAAACAAAAAAACTATTTTAAAAAATGATTAATATTGCCAAACCAAAGGTCATGAAGCTATCCTTCTACGTAATTATTTGAAACTTTTTTTACCTTTTACATTCACAATTAGATTGTAGGGGTCCAAATGAGGCAGGAGAATAGAGTCTGGAGACAGGGAACCTAAGGCCAACCCCTGCTGACTTCTTGGAATTGGACTAAGAGGAAAACCTCACCTCTCCGTGACCAAATAACGAGGCCAAAGGCCCTCCTTCTCTGAACCTCCCCTCCCCTGTGTCACAATGGGAATGCCTGTGATTGGTTCATTCTGAATCCCTCATTTGCAGGGTGCCTCTGATTGGTCCTGGGCAGAATTCTTCATTCCTATAGAGTATGACCTGTTAGAGGCTTCTAAAGGACGTTTAGGCGTGCTACTATGCTCTTTTAGTTTAATAAAATCCCCAAGGAACATTATAATCTGGACTTTTGAGCCACTTGTTTGAGCCCTCTCTAACTCTGTGGAGTGTACTTTCACTTCAATAAATCTCTGCTTTTGTTGCTTTTTCTTTGTCTGTGCATTTTGTTCAGTTCTTTGTTCAACATGCCAATAACCTGAACAACCCAATTAAAAACTCTTCATCTGGTAACACAGATTTATTTTATCTACATAGAGTTGACAAGGCAACATTTAATAAAAGATCACTCATACTCCAGTGTACCACAGGATTAACTTTGTCAGAAATCAAGTGAGTATATTATTTTCTTTTTGGACTCCATATTTTGTTCCATTGATTTGTCCATTGGTAAGGCCATACCACACTACATTAGTTACAACAGCTTTACCATCAGTCTGGATATTTGGTATTGTAAGTCTTCCAGCTTTGCTTTTTTCTTCAAATATTCTCTTGGCTATTTCTGAGCCTTTCATTTACTTATATATTTCAGAATCAGTTTGTCAGTTTCCAGCAGGACAAAACTGCTGGGATTCTGATTGGCGCTGCGTTGTTTATAGATCAATTTGTGGAGAATTAATATTTTTACTCGTAATCTTCCAATACATTAACATGTTGTATCCCAACATTTATTTGTCTTCTTTGATTTCTGTCAATATTCTGTAATTTTAACTATTTATATCTCATATTTTAAATTTATTCTTGGCACTTAAGAATTTATTTGATAAATGTTATAATTTAAAATTTAATTTCCTATTTATTTATTGCTGATATATGTATTTGATTTTTTTTCAGAGACAGTGGGTCTTGCTGTGTTGCCCAGGCTGGACTTGAACTCCCGGGCTCAAGCAATTCTCCTGCCTCAGCCTCCTGAGTAGCTGGGACTGTGGATGCATGTCACCATGCCTGGCTTATATTTAATATTTTATATTGACCTTTGTTTAGCCACATTGCTAAATTCACTATTTAATTTTAATAGGTTTTGTGTAGACTTAGATTTTCCATATATGCAATCATGACATTTGTGAATAATGAAGAGTTTCATTTCTTTTCCAGTCCCACGCCTTAATTTTTTTTCTTACCTTATTGTGCTAGGTGGAACTTCAAGTACATTTATGTATGTAACTATTAATTTTATTGAGGTATCAATAAAACTACAATAAATTAGGTACAATTTGATAAGTTTTGACATACACACTTGAAAAACCATTACCACAGTAAAAACAAACAAGCAAAAAAACTAAACATGTCTATCACCTCCTACTTTTTTCTCTATAATCCGTCTCACCTGCCCCAAGCCCCATATACCATTGGTATGCTTTGTTACTTAGATTAGTTTGGATTTTCTAAAACTTTATGTAAATAGAATAATACATTATGTATTATTTGTTGTCTGGATTCTGTCACTCAGCATAATTATTTTGAATTTCACGTTTTTGCATACATCAGTAGTTCATTTTCATATTACTGAGTGGTGTTATATTGCATACAAATATTACAATTTGTTTATCCATTCACTTGCTGATGGATATTTGGGTTGTTTCCAGTTTTAGCTATTTCAAATAAAAATAATGAGAACATTTATTTACAAGTCTTCATATGGATGTATGCCTTATTTTTTCTTAAGTAAATACCTAGAAGTGGCTAAATCATCTGATAGGTGTATTTTTAGCATAAGAAATTGTCAAACTGTTTTCCGAAGTGGCTTACCATTTCACATTCCCACCAGCAGTGTGTAAGAGTTCCATTTCTTGACCAGGCACAGTGGCTCACGCCTGTAATCCCAACAACTTAGGGAGGCCAAGGCAGGCAGATCATTTGAGGTCAGGAGTTCGAGACCAGCCTAGCCAATATAGTGAAACCCTGTCTCTACTAGAAATACAAAATTTAGCCGGGTGTGGTGGCAGATGCCTGTGGTCCCAGCTACTCGGGAGGCTGAGGCAGGAGAATCACTTGAACCTGGGAGGCAGAGGCTGCAGTGAGCCAAGATCTCACCACTGCACTCCAGCCTGGGTGACAGAGCAAGACTCCATCTCAAAAAAAAAAAAAAAAAAAAAAAAAAAAAAAGTTCAGTTTCTCAGTCATGCTAGCCATATTTCAGGTACTTATTAGCCACATGTGGCGAGCAGCTACCATACTGGAGAACACAGAACATATCCATCATTGTGCAAAGTTCTACTGGACAGCACTGGACATCTCCTTCCTATGAACTCCCAAGGCCTGTGACCTGAATTTCTTTACTGTCTTTTACCTGTAGGAAATGAGGGAGATGCACAGGGCTTTATCCCGTGATTAAGGACTCCATCTCAGGTTCATTTTCCATCCCTTTCCCCACATTTTGGAAGTCATCTGGTTTGAATATTTTGGTTCTCTCAAGCTGCAACCCAGGCCATGCACCTCGTCTGCTCATCTGTCAGATTAAGAGGGACCCAGAGGATCCTATTCAAGGCCCACATTCTCCAAAGGAGTTAAACTTCTAAGAAGAAATTAAATGGATTCGATCTTATCTATTTATTGAAGAAACCAATCCTGGGTAAAGAAAAAAGGGAATGAGGTTTTGGGACAGAGGTGCTGGGGGTGCGAGAGAAGCCCCAGCCCCTGAGTGGTGTGGTGGAGGGAAGGGAAGGGTCACTTGTAAAACTCATGCTCCTGCTCGTCCTTCTTGATGACAGTCTTGTATGCTTTCTCGAAGTCCTTGGCCAGGACAATGTAGCGGTTTTCACGGACAGCCAACATTCCACTCTGTTGAAGGATGAGAGTTAAAATCTACTTCCTGTGGCAGGGCACAGTGGCTCACACCTGTAATCCCGACACTTTGGGAGGCTGAGGTATACAGATCACTTGAGCCCAAGAGTTCGAGACCAGCCTGGGCAACATGGTGAAACCCTGTCTCTACAAAAAATACAAAAATTAGCCAGACTGGTGGTGGGCGCCTGTAATCCCAGCTACTTGGGAGGCTGAGGTGGGAGGATCACTGCAGTGAGTCATGATTGCCCCACTGCACTCCAGCCTGGGCGACAGAGTGAGTCCCTGTCTCAAAGCAAAACACAAAAACACTACCCCTGTACTATCCACCCCTAGTGATGGTAGAGGAAGAGAGAGATGGCGCCCACGACCCAGGGCAGCCATGAGGGGACAGGACTGCAGCAGAGTGGTTCAGAGAAGAAGGGTCCTCACACACCCGCTGCCTGGATCCAGAGAGAAACCACCACTTACCTCCTGACAGATGGAGTTAATATCAGCTCCTGAAATCTTATCTGGCCGGGCCACATCTGCAGCGAGTTAAGGAAACTATTCCCTGTGTGATGGGGTAAATGCCTGGGGCTGGAAGTCATCTTTGGCCATCTCTGTCACCTCCCCTCCTCCCTGGACCTTGGTCCCACCTGCACAGTCTGGGCTGTGGTGCTGGCAGAAGTTGAGCTGAAGATCTAATCCCCGTTCCCAACTAGGGCCCCTCCCTGACTTCTGGAGCAGGATACAGTCTTCCAAGTCAACCTCCTCAGAGAGGTTCATCTTGCTAGTGATAGTGGAGAAAATCAATCTCTTCTGGCGGCGGTCAGGAAGTGGAAATTCAATTTTACGGTCCAGCCGTCCTGGCCGTAGCAGGGCCGGATCCAGGGTGTCTGCTCTGTTTGTGGCCATGATTACCTGACATTGGGGGGCAGGCCAGCTCAGATCTCTGCACTCCTACCTCCTTCCTGTCACGATAACCACCCCTTAGGTGCCAGCCCCCAACTTTCCCCAGTTCCTACACCACACCTCCCCTTGTCCATCCCAAACCCCAAACCTTGACATTGACATTCTGATCAAATCCATCCATCTGATTCAGCAGCTCCAGCAGGATCCTCTGAACCTCCCTGTCGGCTGAGAGTGCACAGCACAGTCAGTCCCAGGCATCCCATGCGACAAGCCTGTCCAAGACCCCGGGCCTTGTTTCAGCATCACTTACCCCCTGTCTGAGCATCGAATCTCTTGGTGGCGATGGCATCAATCTCGTCTATGAAGATGATGGCAGGTGCATTCTCCTTGGCCAGGCGGAACACATCCCGGACCATGCGGGGGCCCTCACCCAGATACTTCTGTACAAACTCCGAGCCCACGACCCGGATGAATGCAGCTGATGACAGGATGACAACAGTTAGGCGGGAATGAGCCTCCTGAGGGGCCCATTCTGCTTTAACAGAAACTGCGAATTCCTTGAAGACATCCTTTTCCTTGGATACCCATACCTAGTAGTTGTGTCATTCCCTCATGCCCAAGGGTGAGCCCCACATCCAGCCCTGAGGAATAGCCATCTACTTGTACCCCACAGTGACCCAGTGGCCTAAATCATGAATCATCCTTACAAATGTGTCACTTTTTTTTTTTTTTTGGAGACAGAGTCTTGCTCTGTCGCCCAGGCTGGAGTGCAGTAGCACAATCTCGGCTCACCACAACTTCTGCCTTCAGGGTTCAAGTGATTCTCCTGCTTCAGCCTCCCGAGTAGCTGGAATTACAGGCGTGCACTGCCATGCCAAGCTAATTTTTGTATTTTTAGTAGAGACGAGGTTTCACCATGTTGGCCAAGCTGGTCTTGAACTCTTGACCTCAAGTGATCTGCCCGCCTTAGCCTCCCAAAGTTCTGGGATTACAGGCATGAGCCACCATGTCCAGCCAGATGTGTCATTTTTTTGGCCCAACATTTAAAAATCAGGATATGAAATACTAAAATAAGAAAGAAAAAAACCAGTCTACATTTCTGGAGCACTTGCAAAATCAGCAAGAAAACAGGCATGCTGCCCATACACTAAGACATCATACTGCCTCGCCAAGAGCTCTGAGTTCCTGTTTGCTATAAGGACCAGCTTTTTAATTTCCTGAAAAAGATCAGGGACCACGGGCATGTTCTGATATAACTGACAATTGGCAATGGGGTTGAAGACAGATTTGTTCTGGGCCCTCCCTTTGGACTTGGAGTACAGTGGTATCATCATAGCTTACTGCAGCCTCAATCTCCTGGGCTCAAGCAATCCTCCCTCTTCAGCCTCCCGAGTAGCTAGGACTATAGGCATGTCCCCACACCTAGCTTTTTAAAATTTTTGAGGAGATGGGGTCTTGCTATATTGCTCAGGCTGGTCTCAAACTCCTGGCCTCAAGCGATCCTCCTGGCTTAGCCTTCCAAAGTGCTGGGATTATAGACATGAGCCACCCCATGCTTGACCCTGGCCTTGTTTCTTAAAGTTACACTTGTTTCTTAAGGATCAGATGCTTTGTGTTGTATGAAGCATACCCCCAGGACTCTCCTTCCAGCCACCAGAGAAGGGAGACATGCAGTCCATAGATAGACTGAGTGGTTTTATGTCATAAGCTAGGAACTGTTCAAGGCTTCAGCCCTGCCCTGTTCACTCCCTAAGATCCAGACTTTACACCTGGCTCAAGGGGTCCCTCTTTCTTGATACTTGCATCAGCTGGGGGCTCATTCAGCATCCTAACCTCAAGATTTCTGACTTTTTCTGCTCTAAACAGAAAACACACCTTGACCACCTGACTTTGGCCATTTACTTGGCTGTTCTGCAAATGTCCAACCAGTTCCACATGAAACCCCCATCCCTGGAATTGCCTTATCTGACCGAGCCTGTCCGTCAGCCTTTCCTACTCAATCACTACAGTCCCCTTCCTACCCCAACCTTCCCTGTCCTCCCAATCTCTCAGCTCCCCCTGGGCTCTACTACTCCTTCCACCTATCCTGGAATGGGCTCCTGCTTCAGTTACTCACTCTTAGTAAGCTGTGCTGTCACCGGAACAAATAGATGAATTCCCCCCGAAAAACAAGAGGAAAAAAAGGCTCACACCTGTGATCCCAACACTTTGGGGAGCTGAGGCAGGAGGATGGCTTGAGCCCAGGAGTTCAAGACCAGCCTGGGCAACATAGCAAGACCCTGTCTCTACTGAAAATGAAGATACAAAAATTAGTTGGGCATGGTGGCACACGCCTGTAGTCCCACCTACTTAGGAGAGACAGGTGGGGAGGATTGCTTGAGCCCAGGAGATTAAGGTTGCAGTGGGCTATGATCACACCACTGCACTCCAGCCTGGGTGACAGAACAAGACCCTATCTCTCTTTTTTTTTTTGGAAACAGAATCTCGCACTATTGGCCGGGCTGGAGTGCAATGGTGCGATCTTCGCTCACTGCAACCTTGGCCTCCTGGGTTCAAGCAATTCTCCTGCCTCAGCCTCCCGAGTAGCTGGGATTACAGGCGCCCACCACCATGCCTGGCTAATTTTTTTGTATTTTTAGTAGAGATGGGGTTTCACTATGTTTGCCAGGCTGGTCTCGAACTCCTGACCTCGTGATCTGCCCACCTCGGCCTCCTGAAGTGCTGAGATTATAGCCGTGAGCCACCGCGCCTTGCCAGACATGACCCTGTCTCTAGAAAACAAAACAAAACTCAACCCCAGTCAGCAGCTTTTCCCATTTCTACATCCCTTCTACACCTTCTCTCTTCCCTCCCTCTGCCAGTGACAAACCACCCCAATTCACTCAGAAAAACGACAGAACCTGAAGTGAGGGTCTCTAGTGGGAAAAGCTGGTAAACTTTGAAGGAGGTCTAAACTTTAGTTCATTGTATTGTACCACTGTTAATTTCCTGGTTTTCCTAATTATACTATGGTTACATAAGATAGTAACATTAGGGAATCTGGGTGAAGGGTACACAGGGCCACACTGGAAGATCTGTCTTGGGCCACACATAAAATACACTAACACTAATGATAGGTGATGAGCTTAAAAAAAAAAATCACAGCCGGGTGCAGTGGCTCACGCCTGTAATCCCAGAATTTTGGGAGGCCAAGGTGGGTGGATCACCTGAGGCCAGGAGTTCGAGACCTGCCTGGCCAACATGGTGCAACCCCATTTCTACCAAAAGTACAAAAAAAATTAGCCAGATGTGGTGGCATGTACCTGTAATTCCAGCCACTCGGGAGGCTGAGGTAGGAGAATCGCTTGAACCCAGAAGGCAGAGGTTGCAGTGAACCAAGATAGCACCACTGCACTCCAGCCTGGGCTACAGAGTGAGACTCTGTCTCAAAAAAAAAAAAAAAAAAAAATCACACACAAAAAATCTCATGTTTTAAGAAGGTTTACGGGCTGGGTGCGGTGGCTCACGCCTGTAATCACAGCACTTTGGAAGGCCCAGGCGGGCGGATCATGAGGTCAGGAGATCTAGACCATCCTGGCTAACACGGTGAAACCCCGTCTCTACTAAAAAATACAAAAAATTAGCCGGGCGTGGTGGCGGGTGCCTGTAGTCTCAGCTACTCAGGAGGCTGAGGCAGGAGAATGGTGTGAACCTGGGAGGCAGAGCGTGCAGTAAGCCGAGATCGCACCACTGCACTCCAGCCTGGATGACAGAGCAAGACTCCATCTCAAAAAAAAAAAAAAGAAACTTTACGAATCTGTGTCGGGCCACATTTCCAACTAAGACATCACCTCCATAAGGAGGTGTTCTGTTTACTGCCACGTCTCTATTCTTTTTTTTTTTTTTTTTTTTTTGAGACGGAGTCTCACTCTGTCACCCAGGCTGAAGTGCAGTGGCGCCATCTCGGCTCACTGCAAGCTCCGCCTCCCGGGTTCACGCTGAGTAGCTGGGACTACAGGCGCTGGCCACCACGCCCAGCTAATTAATATATATATATATATATATATATATTTTTTTTGGAGATGGAGTCTTGCTTTGTCGCCCAGGCTGGAGTACAGTGGCGTGATCTGGGCTCACTGCAAGCTCCGCCTCCTGGGTTCACACCATTCTCCTGCCTCAGCCTCCCAAGTAGCTGGGACTACAGGCGACCGCCACCACACCTGGCTAATTTTTTTGTATTTTTAATAGAGACGGGGTTTCACTGTGGTCTCGATCTCCTGATCTCGTGATCCTCCCACCTCGGCCTCCCAAAGTGCTGGGATTACAGGCGTGAGCCACCGCGCCTGGCCCATGTCTCTAGCATCTACAACACATCCTGGCACATAGTGGGTGTTCAATAAACAGTCACTGAATGACTGAGTTCTAGGTGTCTTTTTCTTTTTTCCCAGTCAAGGCAAGGGACATCTCTGATTGTCATCTTTGCATTCCAGCACAAGGCTTGGTACAGAGTAAAAGTTCAATAAAGTACCAAGCAAATGAGTAACAATGACAACAGCTAACATTTATTGCCCATTCCAGATGCTTTGTATCAATTTGCTCTTCTGAACACCCACCCTAGAAAAATAGGTACTATGATTGTTTCCATCTGACAGGTGAGGAAACTGAGTCACAGAGAGGTTAATTTACCCAGGATCACATAAGAAGTTGCTGGGGGAGTAAGATTTCAAAGCCAGGCAGTCTAGCCCCAGAAAACATACTGCTTAACTACTACCTCCTACTGCTCCCTGGCTCACATGTGTTAAGATCTGAACATATGCTTAAGATTTTAGGGCTTTAAAAAAAAAAAAGTTATAGAGTGAGTGACTTTCAGACATTTTTGTCTGGCACCTACAATAAGAAATACATTTTTGGGGCCAGGCACATGGCTCACGCCTGTAATCCCAGCACTGTGGGAGGATCCCTTGAGCCCAGGAGTTCAAGACCAGCCTGGGCAACAGAGTGAGACCCTATCTCTACAAAAAAATTTAAGAATTAAAATATATATATATATTTTTGAAGAACCACAAGTATACATGAGTGTGCACATCTGTATGAAACAAGTTTCACGAAACAGATGAACTTGCACCATATATACTTGTACCATGGTATAAATACCATGTGGATGTTCTCTGGCGCTTTCTGTTCTATTTCATGTTTCAAAATACTGGCTGCAACCCACAAATTGAAATTCATAATTACTAATAGGTCACAACCCATTGTAGGAAAACACTGCATTATTTCATTAACTGCTCACTATCACCGGGTGAAATGAGTCTTCAACTACTAGGAGAGGCCCAAGGAGGTGAAGTCAGCACAGCCAGTAACATGCACACGTGGGCTATGACCCCAGAGTCTGTTTCTAATTACTGTGCAGTGCCAGTGAGCGAGCAGGGAGCAAGGCGAAGAGGCCAGAAGATGAGAGCTCGGGGCAGGGGCGAAAGGGCTCACCTGTTGTGTGATGTGCCACCGCCTTTGCCAACATGGTCTTCCCACAGCCAGGTGGGCCATACATGAGGACGCCTCGGGGGGGATCGATGCCGATCTGAAACCCAGAGGAAGGAAGAGAAGTGGGAGTCAGGGGTTCCACCTCCAACCCCAGACCCAATGGGGCCTCTCCCTTCCCTGCCACCTGCACCGCCTCACCTGCTTGTAGAGCTCGAAATGCGTGAGCGGGAGCTCCACGGCCTCCCGCACCTCCTGCTTCTGGATGTCCATGCCTCCGATGTCCGCGTACATCACATCTGGCTTCTGGTCTGGTGGGAGAGCAGAGCTGGGGCTCCTGGCCAGGTCCTCAAGGTCCCCATGGGGCCCTCCCAGCTGCAGGCTCCCCCTTTACCTGAGGTGAGCATCATGATGCTGCTGTCGGCTTCGGGGGGCAGCACGTCCACCAGTGCATTGCTGTGCTTGTGGAGGGCCACTGAGGCGTTGGGCTTGAGCAGCTCCCGATCGATGGTGCTCAGGATGCGCACATAATAGTTGGAGCCTGCGAGAAGGGAGAGAGGAAAACGAGAAGTGTCAGCCTGGAAACTGCCCCTTCCCCCTTCCTCCCTCCTAATCTCCACACCCCAACATCTCTGGTTCAGACCCTGAGGGGTCCCCTCTCGGCCTCCAGCCTTCCCTCCTGCTGTCCGTCCCCAGTATTCACACGAACTCCTTGTCTACCGCCCTGATTCTCTCTTGACATCCAGCCCTGGCTGTCCAGCAGGCCTCCCCCTGCATCTCATACTAGTGAGGCACACTTCTGTTTCCAGGCTCAGTCTCTCTCCTGATTGTCAGACCTGGCTGACCAGCAGCCTCCTGGACACCTCCCATGTGCTCTGGACTGCCCTCCCTGTCTTCCCACAAACCTACTCCTCTACCCATGGTGCCATCTCAGGGAAAGCCACACTATCCCAACTCCCACAGGTCAAAGAGAAAGGCCTCATCCTGGATACCACCCTCTCCTCACTTCCTCATAGCCCACCAGTCCAATTCCAGGCACAATCGCACACCTTTCTCCAAAACCTTTACAAGAACATGGCTTGGTCCAGAGGAGCAGAGCCCAGAAACAAGAAAAAACAGATAAGATGCCAGTGACAATGACTATCAAGAGGGCAAGGCCTAGACCTATATAAACAGCAGCAGCTACAATATACTCTGATAAGGACTCTGAGTCCCTATCAGGGCCCAGTATTTTTTTTTTTTTTTTTTTTTTTAGACAGAGTGTTGCTCTGTCACCCAGGCTGTAGTACAGTGTCACGATCTCGGCTCACTGCAACCTCCACCTCCTGGGTTCAACAGATCCTGTGCCTCAACCACCTGCGTAGCTGGGATGGCAAGTGTGTGCCACCACACCCAGCTAATTTTTATATTTTCAGTAGAGACGGGGTTTTGCCATGTTGCCCAGCCTGGTCTCAAACTTCTGGCCTCAAGTGATCTGCCCACCTGAGTCTCCCAAAGTACTGGGATTATACGTGTGAGGCACCATGCCTGGCCTCAGAGCCCAATCTCTTAACACTCCTACTCATCGTTTCAAACTGCAGGCCCCAAACCAGTAGTAGTTGTGAAATCAATTTGGAAGGTCATGACCAGAACTGTGTTTAAAGCAAAACAGACTAGAATAGGATAGAAAACATCAGCATATACCACACCTAGTAAGGCTAAATATTTCATGGTGAAACTTATGTTTTACACATCTATCTAAAAAGTAAGAGACAGATACAGATAATCACAATGTAAAATACATTTCTGGCCAGGTGCAGTGGGGCTCAGGCCTGTAATCCCAACACTTTCGGAGGGTGAGGCGGGTGGATCGCCTGAGGTCAGGAGTTCAAGACCAGACTGGCCAACATGGTGAAACCCTGTCTCTACTAATAATACAAAAATTAGCCAGACTTGGTGGTCCATGCCTGTAATCCCAGCTACTTGGGAGGCTGAGACAGGAGAATCGTGTGAACCTGGGAGGTGGAGGTTGCAGTGAGCCGAGATCATGCCATTGCACTCCAGCCTGGACAAGAGCAAAACTCTGTCTCAAAACAAAAAACAAACAAACAAAAAAAACATAGATATACATATATATATGTGTATATATATATATATGTATGTATTTCTACCTTTCGATCAGTCAAAATACTCTGAAGAACATTGCACTGCACTGCCCTGCCTTGTTTGCTGCTGCCTAGCACATGGTAGGAAATAGTTGTTAAGTGGACAGATGAATGAATGAGGTGTCCTTAGCACACCTGTGGTAGAGCCCACGATGGCTGTATTCTGATCCACAGCCTCCAGAAATTGTCCGATGACCAGCGGGATGCTTTGGATTCGCTTCACCTCCTCCTGGGCATGGAGAAATTCCTTTTTCAGGTTCTTTTGCTCATCTTTGATGTATTCCTCCTGCACCTCCAGGAACTCCAGCTCTTGCTGCAGCTTCTGCGAGCAGAGAGGGGACAGAAGGGGATGGCTCCAGACTTGCTGATCCAGAGAGTGGTGGAAAGTGGGGAAGAGTATGAGATGTCAGGTCCTGTGCAAGGTCTGGGTTGGGGGTCGAATGTACCTTGTAGCGGCTGTACAGGTCCTCCAGGTCCTCAGGCTCAGGGCCCAGGAAGGACAGGCCGGTCTGGGGCCGGGACACGGACAGTGCTGGGATCTCATCCTAGACGAAAGGGGATAACTCACATTGGAAGAAGACAGTCCTCTCATGAAAGCTTCCCAACTTCACTAATGTTTGTTCCCCTCCCCACTTCACCCTGATGTCACTTAGCCCCTAACAGACCCCTGATATCTTAAGACCCTCTAAATAGATCCTGGAAACCTTTTGGCCACCTAAACAAGCTCTTTATGTCAACTTGCCCCTCAAACAGATCTTATGTTATCATATACCACTCATAACATGTCCCCAGTGTCACACAACCCCCAACTAGGATCTAAACGTCACATCAACTCCTTATCAGACCCAAATGCCACCCAATCCCCTTCAAGAGGTTCCTAATGTCACATGGCTCTCCTAGATAGGCTGTTAAAGTGACTGCGCCTTCAACGAGTCCCAACATTCCCCAGTTTCCCCTCAAAGATCCCTTATGTCACAGTCTCCTAACTCACCTTAGACCTAAATATCACTCAGGCAAGCCACAGATAATACTTAACTACCCGCCCCATTACCCCCATCAGCAAAGCCCTGAACATCAGTCAGCCCCGCAGCCCAGACCCGGGGATCACTCGGCCGCACGGCGGGATCCCATATATCACTCACCGCCTGACCCAATCCCAACGCCGGGCCACCGACCTCACTAAGCACTACCGGCCAGGGTTCGAAATCAATCCGTCTCAAAGACCCACTAACGTCACTCACTCCCCCAGCCCCGCTTTCTGAGCCTTACCTCCTACCATCACTCGGCCACCCAGACAGGCCTTCGAATGGCACAAAGCTCTCCACCGAGGCCTCTAAAATAACCCCAACCTGGGCCGGGGTCCTGGAAGCCATTCCTCCCCCCACTCAGGTCTGGCTTCACCCTCTCCCCGCGAGCCCGGCCCGGACTAAAAAGCCCAAGTCCCCACTGTACCTGAGCCTTCTCCACCAAGATGCCTATCTCCTCCATAGTGACCAAGCCGGCCTCTGTGTGGCCTGGGATGATCTGTCACCGCTTCCGCTGACGACAACGGAAGTCCCTGGCTGAGGAGGCTTCTGGGAAGTGTAGTTTAAGTTACGGCTGAGAGGTGCTGGAAGGGCAGGATAGGACGAAGGGCTGGTCTGGGCTCCGCCCTCAACATAAGCTCATGCGCTGTCCGTACCCGCAGGCGCGAGGGCGGGACGGGAGCTGTGGGCGTGCGCAGTATCACGCGGTGGCGCCATCTCGCCCTGCCGTGGAGGGCTGGGGGTTCTCTCCGGGAGGTGGCGCAGCCCCGTTGCTCTTTCAACGGAGTAAGTTCGCAGAGCTCTGGCACGGACAGTCTGGCGGCCAACTGCTCTTCGCTTTCTAGTGTCTGGGCTGGAGGGTCCTTGAGCTGGGTTCCACAGAAGGGATTGATCGTACGGGCGGGTAAGGTCTCCACGTGGCGCTGATCCAAAGATTGTGCGCCGCGCGGGCGTGGGAAGATCCGAGCTGCCCCTGAAGGTGACATTTCATACTGGGCTTTACCCCGGGATTGAGGAGCCCCGAGCCCGCAGTGAGCAACCAATCGAGTAGAACCCACGCGTCTGGGCTGGGGAAAAGGAGGCAGCGAGTGCCCAGAAGTTGGGTAGCACAGGAGATCCATAGACCTTAGTTCTGTATCCCAGGTTTCCGCCTTACAGATCTATGCCAGGTCCTGCGCTTAAGCTTTACAGGCATCATCGTCGCAAGTATTATGTTTCCTCATTTATAGAGAAGGAGACAAGCTCAGAGCCACGAAGCCACCAGCCACAGTCAACAATGTGCCGAAGGGACAAAGCATAGATTGGGACCCAGGTCTGTCTGTCCCCAAAGCCTGTACTCTTGGCCCCAGGGAAACACTGCTACCCTTCACACCAGCTACAATTTTTGTTAAGTAAACCTTTTATTGAAGTTAAATAAAGAGAAGAGCACAAATCATTACAGCTCGACAAAATTACACAAAGTGAACATGCCCATACAACCTGAATCCAGATCGCAAAACCAAACAGTAGAAGCCTCATGTGCTCCCCTTTCCCCCATCCCTTCTTCTCCCCCCTCCACTCCCCGCCCCGAGACGGAGTCTCACTCTGTTGCCCAGGCTAATATTTGTATTTTTAGTAGAGACAGGGTTTCACCATGTTGGCCAGGCCGGTCACAAACTCCTGACCTCAAGTGATCTGCCTGCCTTGGCCTCCCAAAGTGCTGGGATTATAGGCGTGAGCCACCACATCCGGCCTCCCGATCCCTTCTAAAGGTTATCATTCATCTGTTTTTTTCTTTTTTTTTTAAGAGCTAGAGTCTCTGTCGCCCAGGCTGGAGTGCAGTGGCACGATCATAGCTCACTAGAGTCTCCAACTGCTGGCCTCAAGCTATCCTCTCTCCTCAGCCTCTGAAAGCACTGGGATTACAGGCATGACCCACCCCATGTAGCCTTTAAAAATATATCTTTTGAAAGAGATTCTTGCTCTGTTGCCCAGGCTGGAGTGCAGTGGTGAGATCACTACTCACTCCAGGTTCAACCTCCCAGACTCAAGCAATCCTATACCTCAGCTTCCCAAGCACCTGGAACTACAGGCGTGTGCCACCACGCCTTGCTAATTTTAAAATGTTTTTTGTAGAGATAGGGTTTCGCTGTGTTGCCCAGGCTGGTCACGAACTCCTGGACTCAGATGATCCTCCCACTTCAGCCTTCCAAAGTGCTGGGATTACAGACATGAGCCACTGTGCCTGGCTGGACTCGCCCTGACTTGTAACAGCTGGGTTACTTTTGTTTGTTTTGAATTCTCCTTCTCTCTAGACCAGTACTCTGTGTACTGTGTTTGGTTTCTTTTAGTTAATGTTGTTTTTGTGAGATTCATGCATACCGTGTGTAGAAATAGTTCTTTCATTTTCATTCTGGATGGTTTCCATTTTATGACTATGCCCTATACCTCAGACTGGATATTTTCCAGTTTAGGGGTGTTATAGTGCTATTGTTACTGGGGGTCCTTGTTCTTAGAGCTCCCAAGATGGTGGTGGGCCGCTTCCAAGATGGCAGTAAGTCTCTTGTTCTCTGACCTGGGGTTCTTGGCCTCACGGATTCCAAGGAATGGAATCTTGGGCCATGCGGTGAGTGTTATAGCTCTATTCAGCTCGATTAGGAGGAACCCCGGGCACTTAGCCCGCGCAAGAACAATGGTGAGCCTCTAGCCCAATTGGGAGCGGCAATGGGTGCCGCCTCGCTGGATCAGAAGTGCAGTGGACACCCGGATCCGGAGGGGTGGAAGTCAGCGGCAGGTCTGCCACAGCTGCCATGGCAGCAGACAGCAGCGGTGGACAGTGAGCGAAAGCTCAGCTCAAGCCATAACAAACACAGACCAGAAGAGTGTACAGTTGCAAGGTTTAATAGAGTGAAAACAGAGCTCCCATAAAATGGGAGGAGACCCAAAGGGGATTGCCTTGCGGGCTCCAGTGCTGGGTTATATCCCGCCGATCATTGTCCCTCTCTCTGTGCTCTCAGGCGTTAGATGATTGGCTATTTCTTTACCTTCTGTTTTTGCCTAATTCGCATTTTAGTGAGCTCTCTTTACTACCTGATTGGTTGGGTGTGACCTAAGTGGCAAGCCCCTTGTTTAAAGGTGGATGCGGTCACCTTCCCAGTTGGCTTAGGGATTCTTAGTCGGCCTAGGAAATCCAGCTAGTCCTGTCTCTCACTATGAATATTCTAGTACATTTCTTTGGACAAACTTACGTATTCATTTCTTCTGAAAATAGATCCCCCTCCCAAAGAAAAACAAAAACAAAAACAAAATAGACCCAAGTGTGGAATTGCTGGTCGTAGGGCAGGTATGTGTTTAGCTTTAGTAGACACTGTCAGACTGTATTAATTTACACTCCCACCATTTGTATGTATACTCTTGATATTTTGTGTGTTTGGACATTGTTTTCTATTTGGTGGATGGATCATGGGTTGTCACACGAGACACCACTTGCGCATTCACTTTTGGCCAGGAAAATTCCAAACCATGATCTCATAACAGCCC